>NC_000003.12:119766180-120069210 GCF_000001405.40 Homo sapiens | reverse complement strand
GTAGAGTGATTTTCATGGGAAACCTTTTCTCATAAAGTAAAATACTCTTCGTCCCTGTCAGGACATTTTTAGAGGAGCAGCAGACAGCCCCTCACTACTTTGTCATTACCCAGGGCAAGGGAAGGGAAGAATGAATGACAGGTTTCTTCTTTTTTCTTTTCCACCACTTGTTTTCCTTTCCCTTTCCTTCCTTTCTTGTTACCCTTAGGTGTCTGTGGGTTCTGAATTTGGATTTCAGCAGAATGGAGTAATTTTTATTAAACTTTTTAGGGAACCTGGTACTCCCAAACAGATAGTGAATACTTTTTTCCATTTTGGGGTTTTTATTTTTATGTCACTTTTAAATTATTAAGAAGTTTTCAATTATATAATACTAGATAGACTAGTTTAATAAACCACTGTATATCCATCATCAATTTCTATAATTACATGGTCAATCATACTTTTTCTATACCGTTACTACTAACCCCCAATTTATTATTATTATTATTTATTTATTTATTTATTTTTTGAGACAGGGCCTCACTCTGTCACCCAGGCTGGAGTGCAGTGGCGTGATCTCAGCTCACTGCAACCTCCGCCTCCCGGATTCAAGTGATTCTTCTGCCTCAGCCTCCCGAGTAGCTGGGATTACAGGTGTGCGCCAACATACTGGTTAATTTTTGGATTTTTAGTAGGGACGGGGTTTCACCATGTTGCCCAGGCGGGTCTTGAACTCCTGACCTCAAGTGATCTGCCCTCTTTGACCTCCCAGAGTGCTGGGAATACAGGCATGAGCCACCGCTCCTGGCGTCCCAAATTTTTTTTTTTTTTTTTTTTTGAGACGGAGTCTCACTCTGTTGCCCAGGCTGGAGTGCAGTGGCGCGATCTCAGCTCACTGCAACCTCCGCCTCCCAGGTTCAAGGTATTCTCCTGCCTCAGCCTCCTGAGTAGCTGGTATTACAGGCGCGTGCCACCATGTCTGGCTAATTTTTGTATTTTTAGTAGAGATGAAGTTTCACCATGTTGATCAGGCTGGTCTCGAACACCTGACCTTGTGATCCACCCACCTCCGCCTCCCAAAGTGCTGAGATTACAGGCATGAGCCACCGCGCCTGGCCCCAAATATTTTTAAAGCAAATTTCAGACATCATATGATGTTTTTGGAAAATACTATTTGTTTCTAAAAGAGAAGGATGCATAAGACAAAGAAATACAAATACAGCACCATGATTCCGCCTTTTAAAAATTAAAGAATTCTGTAACATCAGATCCAGTCAGTATTCACATTTCTGTGATTGTATCTTTTTTTCCCTTAAAAACATGGTTTGTTTTTTTACTAAAGATTCAAAACAAGGTCCGTAGCATTTGGTTGCTATTTTTAACTCTCCTTTCAATTGGTAATATTTTTTGTTTAGCTCTTCCTTGCCATTTATTTATTGAGGAAATCAGATCATTTGTTCTTTGGAATTTCCCACATTCAAGGTTTTGCTGATTGCATCCCTGTGGTTATTTAACAAGCTCCTTTATTTCTTGTATGTTCTGCAAATAGTTGGTTAGACTTTTTAGTCAGATTACTTTATTGCATGGTACTGAATACAGGTGATCCCGAATTCATGATGGTTCAACTTATGATTTTTTGATTTTATGATACTGCAAAAGTGATATGCATTCAGTAGAAGCTGTACTTTGAATTTTGATGCAAAATTCTTTATAATAACTTTGTTATAAAGTTTTATGTCAGGGCTTTGTGTTAGGTGATTTTGCCCAACTATAGGCTAAATTAAGTGTTGGATCATGTTTAAGGTAGGCTAGGCTAAGCTGTGATGTTTGGTAGGTTAGGTGTATTAAGTGCATTTTCAACTTACAATATTTCCAGTTTACAGTGGATTTAGTGGGCGTACTCCATTTTATGTCAGGGAGCATTTGTATTTCCTATTGCATAACATCAGGTGTCATGTGATGCCTAGTTACCTCTCTTTTTTTTTTTTTTTTGATGTTACAGTTGATTACTGCGTCTATTCTTTTGAAGAGATCCTTTATGTATTATAAAGTTCCCCATCAGTCTTTCACCTAATCTCTTTAACAGTCATTTATGATCATTGTCTAGAAAAGCTTGTCTAATTCCCGGGCCACATGTGGCCCAGGACAGCTTTGATTGTGGCCCAACACAAATTTGTAAACTTTCTTAAAACATTATGAGATTTTTTACAATTTTTTTTTCTTCATCAGCTATCGTTAGTATTCATGTATTTGTGTGGCCCAAGATAATACTTCTTCCAGTGTCGCCCAAGGAACCCAAAAGAATAGACACCGCTGGTCTAGATCAAGGTTTCTGCAAACTACAGCTTATAGGCCAAATACGATCCACTGCTTATTTTGTAAATAAAGTTTTATTAGGATGTAGCCACACTTGTTCCTTTATGTATTATCTGTAGCTGATTTTCACATACAGTGGCAGAGTTAAGTAGTTAAGACAGACTGTGTGTCCTGCAAAGCCTAAAATATTTACTATCTGGCCCTTTATGGAAAGTGTGCTGACCCCAATCTAGATCATTATTTCTTTAGAGATAGCCAATGGTCATATTCTGTCATTCATTTTGTATTTGTAGCTGGAATTTTTCTATAAAGAAGAACTTTACCTCAATTTTATTATTATCCTAAGAAAAAGCAGGGTAAGTCTTGATTCTTTAGCATTTGACAGAAACAGTGAGGTGTTTTCTTCTTTTTAAGTACGTATTTATATGAACCCCCAGTTTTGAGTATATTTGATGTTTTAATCTATTCTCTTTAATTGTCAAATTGTTCCATTTTTGCCAATGTGAGCCCCGTCATGTTGGCTCTTTTTATCTTTCCATATAACCTCAGTAGTCTTTGGTAATCCTGTTTTCTAGTATGACAAGATGTTCCAGGCTCATCTTGTACATCAACTGTCTTAGATATCTAGAACCAGTCATTACTCTAAGGGGTTCTGATTCCTTTTAGTGGGGAGTAGTATTTAGAGAGCACAGTTTGAGTGTTTGTTGCTCTGGGTTGGTGGTTGTTTTTAGGATCTTTTAGTGGACAGAGCTAGGGTGTGGTTGTATGTCTGTGTGATTTTTTAAAAAATTGTGTGAAAATACATATAGCGTTGTATTGACTACTTGAACGATTTTAAAGTGTACAATCATTAGCATTAAGTACCTTCACCACGTTGTGCATCTATTACCAATTAGTTCCAGAGCTTTTCCCTACCCTGCAAGGAAACCCTATATTCATTAAGGAGTCACTCCCCATTTCCCCCTTGCCCCAGACCTGGCATTAATTTGCTTTCCAACTCTGTGGATTTGCTTATTCTGGACATTTGATATAAATGGAATCATACTTTATGTGACCTTTTGTGTTTGGCTTTTTTCCACTTAGAATAATGTTTTCAAGGTTTATCCCTGTTTTAGCATGTATCAGTACTTCGTTCCTGTTTATGGCTGAATAATATTCCATTGTATGCATATATTACATTTTGTTTATTCAGTTGATGGACATTTTCATTTTTTATGGCTTTTGGCTATTGTGAATAGTGTTGCTGTGAACATTTGTGTACAAGTTTTTGTTTGAACACCTGTCATTTCTTTTAGGTCTGTACCTAATAATGAAATTGCAGGGTCATATGGTGTTTCTATGTTTAATTTACTGGACTGCCAAACTGTTTTCCATAATGGCTGCACCATTTCACATTTCCTCCAGCAGTGTAGTAGGGTTCCCATTTCTCCGCATCTTCTTCAAGCCTTATTTCTATTTTTTGATTATTGCTATCCTGGTGGGTATGAACTGGTATTTCATGGTGGTTTTGATTTGCATTTCCTTAATGACTATCGATGTAGAGCATCTTTTTAGGTGCAAACCACCATTGTTGGTGGTTTGTGTATTTTCTTTGGAGAAATGTTTATGTAAGTTCTTTGTCTTTTAAAAACTGGATAGTCTTTTTGTTGTTGAGTTTTAAGTGTTCTTTATATATTCTTGATACTTCACCTTTGTCAGATATTATAACTTCTCCATTCTGTGGGTTTTCTTTTCATTCTCTTTTTAGTGCCCTTTGATGCACAAAAGTTTTAAATTTAGATGAAGTTGAATGTTCCTGTTTTTTTCTCTTCTTGCTTATGCTTTTGGCATCATATCTAAAAAGAGCATTGTCAAATCTAAGGTTATGATTTACCCATATGTTTTCTTCTAAGGGGTTTGTAGTCTTATTTCATATATTTAGGTCTCTGATCCATTTTGAGTTAATTTTAGTATATGGAGTAAGGTAAGGGTCTAGTTGTACAAACTCCATTTGTTGAAGAGCTTATTTTTTTCCGCATTGTGTGGTGTTGGCACTCTTATTACTCATCAGTTGACCATAGATACATGGGTTTATTTTTGGATGCACAGTTCTTATTCCCTTGATCTGTATGTTTGTCTTTATGCCAGTACTACACTGTCTTGATTACTGTAGCTTTGTCACAAATTTTGAAATCAGTAAGTCCTCCAACTTCGTTCTTTTTCAAGATTGCTTTAGGTATTCAGGGTCCCTTACAATTTCATATATATTTTAGGATTGCCTTTTTCATTTCTGCAGAAAAGGCCTTTGGGATTTTGGTAGGGATTGAGTTGAATTTGTAGATCAATTTGGATATTGACATCTTGACAGTATTATGTCTTCCTATCCATGAACACAGGATTTCTTTTCATTTGTTTAGGTTTTCTTTAATTTTCTTTAGCAATGTTTTGTAGTTTTCAAGTTTTGTAAATCTTCAGTTAAGTTTATTCCTAGTTTTTTTTATTTTTCTTTTTGGATACTGCTATAACTTGAATTGCTTATTAGTATCCTTTTCAGATTGTTTATTGTTAGTGTATAAAAATTCTGATTTTTGTGTGTTGATCTTATATTCTGCAACTTTGCTAAATTTTGGAATTTTTTTAAATGGGAAAACACACTGTGATTCATATCAATACTTCCAAATCCGATTTTGTTTCAAGATTAAGGGTTTAGGGTTATAAGGTTTTCTCTCTTTCTTAGCTTTATACTTTTTTTCTCTTATGCTGGAAATTTTGAGAATAATGAATTGCTTTATTATTTATATTTATACATATATATTAGTATTTTTGAAGTTATTGTGAAAAATGGTTGTTGAAAAACAATTTAATAATTCTTTGCAATTAGTATAAATACTAGGGAGGTACAGTTAAATTGCTTTTTCATTAATTAATTATTTATTTAATTTTTTTTGAGACAGAGTCTCACTCTGTTGCCCAGGCTGGAGTGCAGTGGCACAATATCGGCTCACTGTGACCTCTGTCTCCTGGGTTCAAGTGATTCTCATGCCTCAGCCTCCTAAGTAGCTGTGATTACAGATGTGCACCACCATGCCAGCTAATTTTTGTATTTTTGGTAGAGGTGGGGTTTCGCCACGTTGACCAGGCTGGGATCAAGTGATCTGCCCACCTTGGCCTCCCAAAGTGCTGCGATTTTTTTTTTTTTTTTTTTTGAGACAGAGTCTCGCTCTGTCACCCAGGCTGCAGTGTAATGGCACGATCTCGGCTCACTGCAACCTCTGCCTCCTGGGTTCAAGCGATTCTCCTGCCTCAGCCTCCCAAGTAGCTGGTATTACAGGTGCCTGCCACCGCATCCTGCTAATTTTTTGTATTTTTAGTAGAGACAGGGTTTCACCATGTTGGCCAGGCTGGTCTCTACCTCCTGACCTCAGGTGATCCGCCCACCTTGGCTTCCCAAAGTGCTGGGATTACAGGTGTGAGCCACTGCACCCGGCCAGCACTGATTTTTGTATGTAAACAGTTCCATATTGATGGACATTAGGGTATTAAATAGGGAAAGTTTGATGGGACCAGATACTTGGTTCTTCTTGTGGCACTTAAACTTTAAAATATTTTGTTTTCATTTTTATCATAAAGATATTTTACCACGGATACTCAAAACAGTATAGAAGTGCACATAATAAAAAGTTTAAAATGTTCTCTGATTCCCATCTGCCCACTTTTCCTCTATTCATATCTCCAGAAGTTACTACTGGTTAGTTCAAGACTTTTTATTAAAGGCATGTGCAGCATTTATACACTGTGAATGCTTTTTTAAAAAAATTGGGATCATATCATGAATATTCTGCAACTTAATTTTTTAAACATAGCATTATTAGTTAACCTTTTAAGTTTGGCTAATGAGAAAAGAGTCCTGAATATAAATAAGATTTTACAAAATGATTTTGGGCCTTTTTTTCTGTGTCATTGATACTACATACATATTTTTTGCATGTTTGTATGCTTCCTAAATCTTACAGTATTGTAATCTGCTCTAAAGTCCAGAAAGTAGGGTATATATTCCTCTTTACTTTCTCTGTAGGCTCAAACTTATGTTTCGAAAGAAATTGAGAAAACTTTTATTGTTGTAATCAATTATGGTTTAATACTAAAAGTAAATCCAGATACAGTTGAGATGCCTACCAGCAGAGTTGAATGTAAGTTCCATAAAAGTAGGGGAAAAGCCTTCTGATCTTGTTCATCACTGGGTCCCTAGCACCTAGGACAGCGACTACCTCCTCATTCTTCCCATTCTCTGTATTTGTTTTACGTTTTACTATATAAATTATAACTGGATCACGCCATTCAAACTGTTCTGAGTTCTTTTTTCACTTGTCAGTATATCATAGATAGGTTTTCATGTCAATTCTTAAGTATCTGTTCTTTTAAATGAGTGTATTAATGGTGATACTATGGATTACATAATTAGGCAATTTTAAGACTTAATTTGAACTCCTTTTTTTCCCCTTAGACTTTGGTATTAGTGTTTTATCTTTAAATATTAGTGGGAGATACTAAGTTCAGAGTTAGGATGGAGTGAGAGTGTATAACTTGCTGTATATTTTTGAAGCAAACATGTAATGAAAGGTGGTACATGTAACATACTTTAAACAAGTCTAATATGTGATTATTCTGACTATGAATATTGGAGTAGTTCACTTTAAAATATTTTTGGCAATGAATTCACATGAAGAGGAATACAAACAGTCAACATGTAAAAGAGTGTTTAGTATAGTTAAAGAAACAAAAATAAAATAAGATAAAATTATACTCTGTGTTCCCCAAATTGTTAAAAATTAGAAATGCAATACTTAGTTGCTGACAAGGGTTTCAGGAGGTATGTTGCTAAAGGATAATAAATTCATATATGGCCGGAAATGGTGGCTTATGCCTGTAATCCCAACACTTTGGGAGGCCAAGGCGGGCAGATCACCTGAGGTGGGGAGTTCGAGACCACCGTGACCAACATGGAGAAACCCCGTCTCTACTAAAAGTACAAAATTAGCTGCGCGTGGTAGCACATGCCTGTAATGCCAGCTACTGGGGAGGCTGAGGCAGGACAGTTGCTTGAACTCAGGACCCCGAGGTTGCGGTGAGCCGAGATTGCACCATTGCACTCCAGCCTGGGCAACAAGAGTGAAACTCTGTAAAAATAAATAAATAAATAAATAAATAAATTCATATATTCTTTCTGGAGGACAGTTTGGAAGAGTTTCAGAAATTCTGCTTCTAGGACTTTTAAGTAAAATAAATTAAGGGTATGCCCACAAACTTAGATATACCTGACTGTTTATGAAAATTTTAATCCTGGAACTAATAACAATAATAGTGTCTAAACAGTGTTTCTTTTGTGCCAGACATTACATTTATTTAATCTTCTTAACACTCCTGTGGTATTCACACAGTAAGATTACAAATGATGATGATGTAGAACATTTTACATTGAAATAAATTGATAATAGTGAAAATAGCACATTGCAAAGGAGTATGTGCAGTGTATTTTCAGAAATTGACTGCAACAAAATCTAGAGAATTTGTGAGAATATGCTCTAGAATATTTAGTAAATTATAATCCCGTTATTCAAATAGATTTTGCTATCTTTATTTTCGAATTTTTCTACAGTAAACATGTATTATCTAACAAGAAACCTAAGTTATTTTTTAAAATGTCCTCTGATTTTATAAAATAATTTATTTCTGGATGCCTATAAACAGTAAATTCCTCACGCATCTTTAAAATAGAGATTTAAAGTGTTACTAATGGAATTCTAAGCAACGCTTGGTCAGCACACAAAATAGGAATTGAAATGTCCTTGTACAGCCTTTGATTTCTGCCAATTTGATGGTGTTTTTTTGATGACAGAAATGGAAAGAGTAGAAAGTTAAGGTTAAGCATCTAAAGTTTGAAGCCTGACAACAGAAAAGTGACAAAATCTTTTAAATGTTTATTTGTGGTTGCTGGCAATGAAGCATTACCATAAATAAACAAATAAATAAATAGGTGGACAGATTGACTGACTGACTTGCTACATTTTCATGGTGTTGCAATCAGGTATTTTCTTTTTCCCAGTTGAAACTTAGTAACTCATATTTATTGTTTAACCTTCCTAAGAATTGATTTCTTTCAAATCATCTGAGTCTTTCTGTCCCAAGATTTTCTCTTTTTTGTTTTTTTGAAGCAGGGTCTCGCTCTGTCACCCAGGCTGGAGTGAAGTGGCGTGATCAGGGATCACTGCATTCTTTATCTCCCAGGCCCAAGCAATCCTTCCACCTCAGCCTTCCAAGTAGCTGAGACCACCAGTGTGTGCCACCATGCCTGGCTAATTTTTTTATTTTTGTAGAGACGGGGTCTCCCTATGTTGCCCAAGTTGTTCTTGACCTCCTGGGCTCCAGTGATTCTCCCGCCTCGGCTCCCTAAGTGCTGAGATTACAGGGGTGAGCCACTGTACCTGGCCAAGACTTTCTGTCTTGCTCCTACCCTTTTCAAGAATTGAAGAAATTTGTTCCCAGATTGCTGCTAATGTATCTGGTCTGTCTAGGTCTAATACCTGTGTTAGTTTAATGTAGTATCGTCTTTAAGACCTTGTTAAAATGTTTTTCTTAGGCCTTCTTTTACACCTTTTTAAAAAAATCGGCAGCTGTTGTCCTTGACCCTGCACTTTCCATTTCCCTTCTGTGCTATATTTTTTCCTTCTAACACTTATCACCTTGTAATGTATAATAGATTTTGTTTATCTGTGTCTATTCTTCTCCCCTCCCTCTTTCCGATTTTAAGATATAAGCACCATTGATGCAAGGAGTTTTGTTTTTGTGTGGTTCATTGTGTATTCCCAGAGTTCAGGGTAATGCCTGTGTAGTTCATTGTGTATTCCCAGAGTTCAGGGTAATGCCTGGCATATAACAAGATTTCAGTAAAATTTTTTTTGAATAAATGAATAGTGGGCACTCAGTATTTGTGGAATGATTAGATGTTCTATTTGGTTGATGAAAGTGAAATTTATTCTAAGTGTTTACAGAAGAAGGTTAGGGTTCTATAGCTGTTTTGTAGTATGGCTAGTTCATTGTAGCTCCAGTAATAGAGTTAAATTTATAGGCAGGTTGGAATTTCAGAACTTTGTTCCCTGATACATGGTAGGTGCTTATTAAGTATTGCTAAATGAATGTCAAAAGAAGCTAATAAAGTGAGTGGGGTTGGGGGAAACCTAGCTTGCTGTGAGATTCTGGCCTAACTGGCATAGCCTTTTGGGTGAGGAAGTTGAACTAAGATTTCAGAGCTCTCTTGCTTTCTCACTAAGATTCACCTCCAGGGACTTTGTGTTTGTAAGTATATTCCTTTGGAATTCGGAAGTTGTAAAAAAGTGAATTGGATGAAACTTGCTGTAGGATTGCTTTTTTGGAATCAAAACTGTTGTTGAATGTTAATTAGCACCACAGCTTTGTGTGAAGGCTTTTAGACTTGAGTGATAATGAGATTCATTATTAGAGACAGTGTGTGTTAGGTGTTCCAAGGCTTCCACTTTTATTCATCCAGCACTTGAGACCGACTATATGCTAGGCATTCTGCTAGACTCCTGAAGATACAAAAGTCAAATAGGGCAGTAACGAAGAGAAGAAGATATAAATGTTTGTTCCAGAGTGCTGCTTTTTGAGGTTTGGGGTTTCCCAAAAGGCAGGGGAATTTATTTTATTGAGTATTTTTGGTTTTGATTTAATTTAAATTAAAAGTGAATATGAGCCATTAATTACTGAGAATATGTTTAATCAGAACATAATTTAATATCAATTTGCTATTGAGTCAGTATGTATGTATGTATGTCTTTTTTAAGGAATTAGCATTTATTGAGTATTATATCTTACACTCTTGACATGCATTCTTTTTTTTTTTTTTTTTGAGACAGAGTCTTGCTCTGCCACTCAGGCTGGAGTGCAATGGCGTGATCTTGACTCACTGCAACGTGTGCTTCCTGGGTTCAAGCAATCCTCCTGCCTCAGCCTCTGGAGTAGCTGGGACTACAGGCGCATGCTGCCATGCCCGGCTAATTTTTGTATTTTTAGTAGAGACAGGGTTTTGCCATGTTGCCCAGTCTGGTCTTGAACTCCTGAGCTCAGGTAATCTGCCCACCTTGGCCTCCCAAAGTGCTGGGATTACAGGCATGAGCCACCATGCCTAGCCACATTATTCTTTTGACACAGTCCTCATAATAATCCTGAGGGAGAAGCATTATTACCTGTATTTTACAAATAAGAAAATTGAGTTTAGAGAAGTTAAGTAATTTGTTTAAAGTTTACAGCTTTATAAGTTGTGGATTTCAAACCAGGTTTTTTTTTTTGATACTAAAGTACATTAACAGCAAGACATGCTAAAGATTACTGCATCTTGAGATGTAAGAATTTCTGTATATTTACTCTCAGGAGACTCTATAACTCCACCATCCAAAATTAGCAACTAATTACCGCTAGTGACATGTGGCTGTTGAGCCCCTGAAAGTTGGCTAGTCCAAATTGAGACTGGCTGTACGAATAAAATACACAACAGATTTTGAATACTTAGTTTGGAGGGGAAAAATTCATTAATAAGTTTTACATTGATTACTGAAATGGTATGATTTATATTATATTTTTACATAGTAGTTAAATAAAATATATTATCAGTATAAAAAAGTACATTAGCTTTTTGTGATGCTTCTCAAAGGAAGTTATTATAGTTTTTTTCTTTGTCTGTAGATAATGTTAAATAACAAGATGTATTGACTTTGAATACTGTACTGTAACTGTTCCCCCCAAATTGAATCTTTGGCTTTTTAACCAGAGTATTTAAAAGTACCTTTTTCCTTACTAAATAAATAAAATATTTTTGTTGTAGCAAGCAATACAAGATTGGTGGAAAAGAATAAAGAGAAAGAAGAAAATATAGCTGGGATAGGGAGAGAGAGATTTTGATTGATCCCTTTTAATCCTTTGATGTACAGGTGGTATTTAACATAATACAGTTTGGGCTTCTGACTCTCTGAGAGCTGGAGTCAAATCTGGGCTCCACTATTTAATGGGTTAATGATTGGTGTTTTCATGGTTTTGGGGTAAGTTACTTATTCCGGTTTTGCAAATGAGAGAACTGAGGTTTAGAGATGTCAGCCTATGTCATAGGGTTTTGAAGATTAAATGTGACAAGGCATGTAAAATGCTTGGAACATACCTAAAATTTCTAGGCACATCCTAGTTCTTTGCACATAGCTATATTATCTTTTACTAAAATGAGTCAACAAAAATTGTAACTGCTTATTTTGAACTTTTAATATATATCTATCTTTCCACAGGAATCAAAACATTTAAAATTATCAGATGATAACTAATATATACAATGGAATGCTGTAATATATTCAGTATCCTCTTCTTGCTAGACATTTAATTATTTCCAGTTTTACTTTTTGCAGTTAATGAAATGCATAGGTGAATATTTTCGTAGCAGAACTTTACCTATGTTCTTATCTGATTAGGATAGAGTTGGTTGGTTGAAGAGTATGTATACTTTAAAGATTTTTGACCCATTTTGCTGAATTGCCTTCTAGAAGTTCCTAGTCACGTTACTAGGATTTACATGTAATCCTAGAATTTATCTGGCGACCTGTTTTTCTAAATTCTTATTAAATGAGATATTATAATTTAAAAAAAATTGTTGATTTAACCACTTTTAATTTTTACATTGCTTTGATTACTAGTAAGTTCGAAGGTTCTTTTTCTTTTTCTTTTTTCTTTTTTGAGACAGAATCTTGCTCTGTTGCCCAGGCGGGAGTGCAGTGGCACGATCTTGGCTCACCGCAACCTCTGCCTCCTGGGTTCAAGCGATTCTCATGCCTCAGCCTCCTGAGTAGCTGGGACCACAGGCATGAGCCACCACGCATTGCTAATTTTTGTATTTTTTTAGTAGAGACAAGGTTTTGCCATTATGGCCAGGCTGGTCTTGAGCTACTGGCCTCCAGTGACCCGCCTGCCTCGGCCTCCCAAAGTGCTGGGATTATAGGCATGAGCCACTGTGCCCAGCTTCTGAAGGTTATTTTTCTACCTGTATATTGGCCCCTTGTGTATTATGCTGTTTTCCCATTAGTGTTTCATGTCCTCATTCCCATTTTGGGGGTATCTGTCACTCTTCTGGCTTTGGGGTCATGCTCAGAGAAACTTGCTCTTCCTCAAACTATAAATTGGCAGTGTTTAAACTTCTTGCTCTCAGGACTCCTTAGTACTCTTAAAAACTATTGAGAACCTCTGGTCAGGCACAGTGGCTCATGTCTGTATACCAGCACTTTGGGAGGCCAAGGTGGGGCAATCACTTGAGGTCAGGAGTTCGAGACCAGCCTGGCCAACATGGTGAAACCCCGTCTCTACGAAAAATACAAAAATTAGCTGGGTGTGGTGGTGCACGCCTGTAATCCCAGCTACGTGGGAGGCTGAGGCAGGAGAATCACTTGAACCTGGAAGGTGGAGGTTGCAGTCAGCCAAGATCGTACTAGTGCATCTCCAGCCTGGACAACAGATCGAGACTGTGTCTCAAAAAACAAAACTATTGAGAACCTCAAAGACTTTTGTTTACTCCATCTCAAAAAACGAAACTGTTGAGAACCTCAAAGACATCTGTAGATCTTTGCCATCTTAGAAATTAAAAGAGACATTTAAAAAATACTACTTTATTAAGATATAGTAAGCCATTTACATGTTAACATTTTTAATGAAAATTACATTTTCCAGAATAAAAATTACCAAGAAATTTTTCATTTTTGCCAGTCTGTTGCTTAATAGAAGATACCTGGATTCTGTATATGCCTCTGCATTTAATCTGTTGCAGTATCACATGATGTGTACCCTCTGGAAAAGTTGATTGTATAATCAGGAGAGAATGAGAATTAAAAAGGCAAATGATGTTATTATGAAAATGGTTTTGGCTTTGTGGGCTTCTGAATGGGTTCAAAGATCCCAAGACTACAGTTTGAGAACCACTGATGTAAATAATCACTTATATATTTTCCTTTTGTGTTTTTATGGCTGAATTTAAATTCCGAATAAATTCTAGTGGAAATTTTCTAATTTCTCCCCTCTCCTGCCTACCCTCTCCAATTGGCTAATATTCTTTGTTGAAAGATCCATTTTCATGTAAATAATTGACTGACTAGGATGAAACAGTAGACATATCTGCTTTTTCCCAGTTGTTACTGAGAAGCTCACTGTTCATTGAAAACAGTAGTCTTTGCAGTCTTTCCTTAATGTTGTATCTCTATTTTGGTATATTCCCTTATTTTCTTGATGTGTTCTCCCCTCCTCACTCTAACTCCCAGTTTTACAACAAATTGCCCTAAAATCTTAAAGATTTTTCATTCATACTGATTGTGGCATTTTGCTCTAAATATTGTTTCCTCCCTGATTTAGAAAGTAATTTAAAATGTACATAGAAACATAAACCAAAAAAGAATATTTTGTCGCTTTGAATATGAAAAGTGATATTGATATACTATTATTGCTGTACTGTGATGGAGTATATCACAGGTTATGGAGGTTATTTCAATATTGAAAAAATGCTAGTTGAGTATACATACATTCCTGCACCATTGTTAATAAATTATATTCTTTTTGATGTGTTGCTTAGCTTCTTGGGACCCTTTACTCACTAGACTTTTATTGACAGCTGTGTTCCAAAATACAGTTAGATAAAAAGAACAAGACACATTTTTTTTTCTAACTTTGCAGGTTGGTAGAGAAATACACATGTTCTGTGATAAGTATTATTATAGCCACAAACAATTAAGAATATTATGGGAGGGCCTAGGCAAGATATCGTTAAGAAGTGAGGGAGGAATGAAGGAAAGGGAATTGATTTGAAAAGATTAAGGTTGTACAATCTTCCTTTAGTAGTTGATGATTTCTTTAGGTGTCTGAGTCCAAAGGAGAGAGAAAGGAGGAGTCAAGAAAGACACCCAGATATTTGTCTGGGAAGACCAGATGGATACCAGTGTTTATCAAAATGTGGAATAAGCCCTACTTCCAACAAAACAAAACTCATTACATGTGCTACACTTTCAAAGACACTGTGTTATTGTTTTCCAAGATGAGTTCAATTGTGGGCATGTTAGTTTGAGGGGCCTAGGGTGGAGATTTGTGGAAGCCATTTGGAGAGCTATCAGGAGACTTGTATGAGCTGATGAGCAGTGTAGCATAAGTAGGTGAAGGAAATGCTTAAGATCATCCTTTGAGAATTTTTAGTAGGAGAAGAGAAGATGGTCAGAGACCCTCTGATAATTGAGGGACAGGCAGAGGGAAATAAATTAAGCAAAACATAAAAAAGAAAAAAGGGTCAGGTTGTGTTGAAGGCAAGTGACCAGTTTAAAGAAAAAAGGTTAGGGGAGAGAGGGATCTGAAATGTTAAATCCTGCCTAAAGGACAAATAAAATCTGAAAAGTGTTTATTAGATTTAGGAATAAGAAGGCATTGATGACTTTGGAAAAAGCAACTAAACTGGGAAGTTGGGTGTAGAAGCTGGAGAAGTGGAGGATATAGAGGTGAGGAAGTGGAAGACAGTGAGTATTGACTACCGTTTGAAAAGTTTGCCTATGAAGCTGGTGGAGTACAGGTTAAAAGTGAGCAAGCAGGGATTTGAAAGTGTTAATGTTCTAGGGAAGGAGAGAGAGGAGGGAATGAGAGATTGAACTAAGGATAAAATACCATCATCTTGAACTTTCTAGAGAAATGTTTTTTATGCTTCTTGTTTGCTCTTTTTGTAAAAATTGTTCTAAGGTATTTTTTAGATAATGCTGAATATCTTTTTTGATACCTTTATGATATTTCAGCTACCATGAATATCAGTTATTGTACTGCCGGTATCAAAGAATATATTAATAGCAACAGCCCTGTTCTAAAATACAACAGTTCAGGGCTGTATTAGTTCATTTTCATGCTGCTGATAAAGACATACGCGAGACTGGATACTTCATACAGGAAAGAGGTTTAATGGACTCACAGTTCCACGTGACTGGAAGGCCTCGCAATCATGGTGGATAGCAAGGAGGAGCAAGTCACGGCTTACATGGATGGCAGCAGGCAAAGAGAGAGCTTGTGCAGGGAAACTCCCCCTTATAAAACCATCAGATCTCATAAGACTTATTCACTATCATAAGAACAGTATGGGAAAGATGTGCCCCATGATACAATGTGGGTCCCTCCCACAACACGTAGGAATTTTGGCAGCTACAATTCAAAATGAGATTTGGGTGGGACACAGCCAAACCATTCAGGGGCCGTTTAATGTAATTATATAGTAGCTTTTTAATAGCCAGTTTTATCTTTTCCTTGTGGGTGCACATGTGTTTTGCCCACTAACTCATTGATGTGGTTGGTCCTAGCAATAGTAGTCCCTATTACTACAAATGTGCTAAGTAACTGTGAATGGGAAATCCACATTACCAAATTGTTAGAATTGTTCTTTGAATGAAATTACTGATTTTAATCATTAGATTGTAAGGAAGGTCTGGGGATTACATCTGTAAAGTGTACTCTGTGATAGATGTAGTTTTCTTTTTCTTTTGAGCCAGTGTCTCACTCTGTCGCCCAGGCTGGAGTGTAGTGGCGCGATCTGGGCTCACCACAACTTCCGCCTCCCAGATTTGAGTGATTCTTCTGCCTCAGCCTCCCGAGTAGCTGGGATTACAGGCTCCCGCCAACACACCCGGCTAATTTTTGTATTTTTAGTAGAGAAGAGGTTTCACCATGTTGGCCAGGCTGGTCTCGAACTCCTGACCTCAGGTGATCCACCCACCTCGGCCTCCCAAAGTGCTGAGATTACAGGCATGAGCACCATGCCCGGCCTATAGTTTTCTACTGCTGTTTTACTTAGAATGTAGAGCTCTATAGTAGAGCTCTGTAGTTAGACTGCTTTAGAATCCCAGCTCTAACACTTACGAACTCTGACCTTGAACAAATGACTTACCTAAGAGCTTTCTTCATCTTTAAGTTGGTGATAATAATAGTACCTATCTCACACGGCTATTGAGGTTAAATGATGTAATGCATGAAAAACATAGCTTGGTACAAACTAGGTACTTACTCAGTAAACAGCTGTTAATAATTATTTTCTCCCTGCCTCCAGGATTTTGATTTTCTAAGCTTGATGTTTTTGGAAGTCTTCTTGATTAGAAAGATGTTACTATATTTGAAAAGGGAATAGAGTCAACTAGAGTCATATTGCAAATTTTATGTGTCTGAGAGTGTAATGAGAATTTGCAGCATATGTAAACAAGTAGATTTATTTTTCTGAGGTAGGTCCATGGATTGTTAACAGTGGTTTAGGGAAGGTTAATGTGTTTAAAAATGAGAGGTAAAAAATAACCTAGAATTACCATATGGGATATTTTACTTGGGGTGCGTTGGGGGTTACTGTGGACTAGCTATTTTAGGACAGGAAATTAACATAACCTGGTGAGGCTCATGAATCTTTCAGCCTTAGTATCAGAACTACTCGGTAACCTGTAATTTAACCCATGGCAGTACTTGGAGGGCAGGAAGTTAGGGTTTGTGCCTGGTCTGAGAAAGCCTATTTTCACCTTTTTATGAGACTTGTGCTCTTAAAAGACAGAGAATGAAATTATCTAAGACATTTGACAACCATCAATTTAGTCATTTTCTTCCTTCTGTCAAATAAATTGTACTATTCTTTTAAACATTTTAGAGCCCTGTTGAAAATTTGCACCTTTTTTATATAGTAAAACATCAATGGATGGAAAATCCTGTTTTCTGGGGTAGCCCTCTTTATTGAACTTCTCTAACACCCACAGATCCCGTTTATAAAGAAGAGGCACATTTAGTATGTTTAAAAATAGTGAACTCTTTCCTTCTGTGAATTTCTCAGGATGTGTTAATGGTGTTTAAAGTTTAATGCTGCTAAACCCACACAGGAATTTTCACTGGTTTTAAATGCCACAAAAACAGTTTTTACTTTTGTTGATAGCTGGTTTAGTAAAAAGACCTTGTTGTTAAATTCAGGAATGATTTAACAAATTATTAAAGGTTTCATTGCTTTTTTCAAAATACTTCCTATTTGCAAGTCTCTTCATATCTGCAGTCATACCAAATTACTCATATCTTTTTTTTTTTTTTTTGAGATAGAGTCTCACTCTGTCGCCCGGGCTGGAGTGCAGTGGCATGATCTCTGCTCACTGTGACCTCCGCCTCTTGGGTTCAAGTGATTCTCGTGCCTCAGCCTCCTGAGTAGCTGGGATTACAGATGCCCACCACCACACCTGGCTAATTTTTGTATTTTTCGTAGAGATGGGGTTTTGCCATGTTGGCCAGGCTGGTCTCAAAGTCCTGACCTCAGGTGATACACCCGCCTCAGCCTTCCAAATTGCTGGGATTGCAGGCGTGAGCCACCGCGCCTGACCCAGTATAGTGCTTTTTATAATTAATTGTGTACTTTTAAAAAACCTTTATTCATGATAAAGTAAATCCAGTCTACTGAGTGGCTGTGCTATATCTTTAACAGCTATTTTATCTTTATTTCCTTCAGTGTTACAGCTTCCCTACATAGTACAGATTATGTTACCTAATTAAATAGTTGAGCTATGTCCCATTCTAGTTAAGAAAACTGTCCTGTTGCCTATTTTCATCTGATTAAAATTTTCTGACTTTCTTTCAATATCTGTTTTTTTGTAAACCAGCCTATTCAGTTTTATGTCCCAACGTCCTGTTCTCTTGCTTGCCCACTGATTTTTTTCTCCATCATTAAAAAAAAAAAAAAAGAAATTGATAGACAGCATCTGGAGTGTCCTAGACCCTACTAGACCTGGTGTTTGGCCCACTGATTTCTTCTCAAAATGATTGTATCCTGTAGTTTAATTTAGCTACAGTGACCCATAACACTTCACTCAAACTGCTTTTCTGCCTCTCAGATTGTTTCCTCAGTCTTGCCTGCAGAGCACTTCTCTACCTCTCCAGCCACCTACCCCGTTTAAGTGTTTATATTTTGACCTCAGCCATTTGTTCATACTCTGCCTACCTTCCTTCTACCCTAGTGATCTGGTTTATGAAAAACTAGATATTAATTCTACTGCTTTGACCAGATCTAGTCCTCTAACCCAGATCTTTTCAGAATCCTAGACCTGCAGGAATTACCACCTACATGTTCCACAGCTACTTTAAACTGAACATGTTAAAACTGAACTCATTTTCTCTCCTGACCTTCTCTCCTCCCCTAAACAGAATGAAACCTCTATATTCTTCTTCTTCCTCTCTATCTTGGTAAATGGCACCATTATCCATAGACGCCCCTGGCTTCCTTCCCAGGAACCAAAGTTGTTTCCTCCTTACACCTAGTTCTCCACCAGTAGTCATTCTTCAAGTCTACCCCCTAAATATCTTTGGAACCTATTCCTCTTCATTTACTAGAGCCTTCACTTTAGTTTAGGACCTTATCACTCTGCCTAGACCAGAGGTTTGCAAACTATAGCCCATAAAGCCAAATACGGCTAGCCGTCTGTCTTTGTAAATCAAGTTTTATTAGAATGCAACTTCTGTGGTTTAGATATGGTTTGTTTTTCAGCATTAAAACTTGTTTCGATCATCAATGTGGCAGTGTTAAGAGATGAGGCCTGGTGGGAGATGTTTTGTTTCATGGGGGGTGGATCCCTCATGAATGGCTTTGTACCTTTTTGTAGCAGTGAGTGAGTTCTTGCTCTGGTGGTACTAGATTAGTTCTCATGGGAATGGGTTAATTCTGAGATAATGGATTGTTATAAAGCCAGGATGCCGCCAGATTTTTTGTCTTCACATCTGACCACTTCCCCTTTGAGCTTCTTTGTCATTTTGTGATGTAGCATGAAAGTCCTCACCAGAAGCCAGGGCCATGCCCTTTAAATTTCCTAGCCTGTAGAACTGTGAGGTGAATAAACCTTTTCTTTATAAATTACCCAGTCTCATGTATTCTGTCATAGCACTACAAAATGGATTAAAGCAGCTGCCTTGCTCATTAGTTTATGTATTAATTGTCTATTGCTATTTTTATGCTACGAAGGCAGAATTTTGTAGTTGTGACCGAGACTGTATGGCTTGCAAAGCCCGAAATGTTTACTGTCGGGCCTTTTACAGAAAAGGTTTGCCTACCCTTGGGCTGTTACTTATTTTCTGTCTCCAGCCTTGTCTATTCTTCTGTCCTACCCCAGGTAAACATTCAGAAGTCTGATCATATATCCCCCCATATGAATCTTTTATTTACTACTCATTTGTTACAGAATAAAGCTTAAGTCCTTTATCATGGTGTAAGATCTTTGGCTACCTTTCTGGGTTTGTCTTCTGTTCAGAAGGCATGTGGATTTGTCTCTAGTATATGCTTTTACCTCTGCCTTAAATGTTCTCTCTTCTCTTTCTCGTCAACTTACCTGTCTCTCAACATCTAATACAGATGCTACCTTCCCAGGAAGTCTTCTGACATTCCAGATTTTTCTTTTTCTTGCTTCCTTCATACCCTCTACCGCTTTTGTTGTATTTAACATTGTGCAGCTTTTATCCATTTGACCGTATTTCCTTTGTAAATTTTAAAACCACCCAGGCCAGGCCTGGAGCCACATTCACTGAATATTCCCTCAAGAAGTGTCTGTTGACTGAATAAATGGATTGCTTTTGTGTTAGACTCTTCCTAACTAGTCAGTCAGAGCAAGGATTATGTCTCATACAATTTTTACATTCTCTGATTGTATCTAGGGACATGCTAGATTCATAGTAGGTACAGATACTGATTAAATTGTTGATTTGAATTGTCATGTAGATAAAGTGAAGAGACAGATTCATTTTGGAGGGTTGGACATTCATCAAATTGAGACTGTCTAGCAAAACCCATTAAAAAGGAACTAGATTTGCCTTAGCTACTAACTTTTCCCTTGACATGTATAGGGATTTTTTCCCTTTTCTGTACTTGGGAATTTGATTGACTTTCATTGAATGTTTTGTGTCATTGGTTAGGCATCATATGATCTGTTTTATGTAGTGCAAATATAAGTGACAATTTAGATGGAATGTGCTAAGTTGATGTATTAACATAGGGCAGAGTCATACTAAAAGTACTGTTATTCTGGGTATAAATGGGAGCAGAAATGGAGTGTTACCAATGACATTAGCTGTTAGGATCCATACCTTTTCTTAACTGGATTAATTTGCCTGTTTGTGGTACCTAGGTGCCAATTCTGGTAGGACTCCTAGTAGCAGCAGTAGCAGCAGTAATAAACACCTATCTAGTGCATTTTTTATGTGCCAACTACTGTTCTAAGCACAGTACATAAATTAACTCATTTAGTCTTCATAACAACCCAATGAGATAAGATTCTATTATCCCTGCTTAACAGATGAGGAGCCTGAGGCACAGGGAACTGAAATAAATAAACTTGGCTAAAGTAATACAGTTAGTAAGTGGCAGAGCCAGTATTTAACCCAGGCTGTCTGGCTCCAGAGTTTATGCTCTTAGTGACTATGCTAGACTTTGTATGAGTCTTGGAACAATTTGAATGCACAGTTCTTGCATTCCTTTTGTTCCCCTCTAAGAGAAACTCTGGAGTTTTGGAACAGAGGAGGAAATGAGGAAATACTAAATGGTTAAAGGTAGGTTTATTTTTAAAAGGCACTTATATCACATTCTATATTTATTATGAGTAGTTGTAGGACTCCTTTTTAGCATCATTCTGTTTTTATCTTTTCCTATAAGTTGAGGTAAGAGTTTGGTTTTCTTTTACCTTATCTGTAGCCAGTTGATGCTTACTAAATGATTGGCTTTAACGGTTCTAGACATTGTAATTGTATTTACATAGTTCTGTGAAGAACTGTGAAGATACGTAGTTCATATATTTGGAAGTGTATTAACAATTGTGGTAATCAAGAGGAAATCATCATTAGAGCTGGACAGCATTGATATTCTAGGTGTTGCTTTTAACAGGCTTAAAAAACACTTGGAGGTAGAACATATACAGCAGATTGCATAAAGCCTAAGTGTACTGCTCAGTGAATACAACACCCAGATCAAGTTAAGTACAGAACATCTTCATCATTATTCCAGAAGGCTTTCATGTGTCCTTTCCCAGTCAACAAATACCCTACCAGTTATGTTGCTTTGTTTTTAAAATATTGTATTTATTACCACTTGACATATATTAGTTTGTCTTCCCTAATGGAGTTTAAACTTGGTTTTGCTCATCATTCTGTTCCATTGCTCAGCATAGTGCTTGACATATAGTAAATGTTACACAACTATTTGTTGAATAAATTAATTGGAAAACACTTATTTGTTATGTACCATATTCTATAGCACACAGATGCTATTTTATGTACTAGTTGCTTGAGGATAGATCATAAATCTTAGTTTTCTAGGATGAGGCTTTTGATATTTAGTGTGAGACTTACACTACTTTTAAGACAAGGAAATTGACTTCTCCTGGCATTGGGTTTAGTGTGTGTTCGTCTTTGGTTACGTGAATGTTAGGGAATATGAGAAAGTTGCTACCAGTGAGAGATACTGGTAGCCTATCTATCTGGATTGCCTTCTTGAGAGTATCTGATTCCTTATAGTTATCTCAGATTCTTAACTTACACTCTTGATGATCTTTTTGAATACTTCAAACAGTTGCAAAAGACTAAATGCTCTTGATCTTGTGGAGAGAAAATTGTGATAGGAAATACATTACTTATCATTAATTTACTTATAAGACAGTTTGGTTATCACCTTACATTGAAAATAATGAAAATTCTGTTTGCCTATCGTGAAAAGGTTTAAGATAAATAAAGGAGTCTGTGCTTTAGAATTTGTTTTAGTTCAAACTTAGGTTCATGTAGAAAAGAAAATAAATTTTGAGCTGAAAGTGACTCTAGTATTCTGATTCATGTTCCTGTCTGTCAAATTTAGCTCTCTCATTTTACATTTGAGGAAACTGGAGTGCAAAGAAGTAATGTGATGGTCTAGTCTAAAATTAAAAGTTTAGGCTGGGAGCGGTGGCTCACACCCATAATCCCAGCACTTTGGGAGGCCGAGGCGGGCAGATCACTTGAGGTTAGGAGTTCGAGAACGGCCTGGCCAACAAGGTGAAACCCTGTCTCTACTAAATATACAAAAAAATTAGCTGGGCATGGTGGCGCATGCCTGTAGTCCTAGCTACATGGGTGGCTGAGACGTAAGAGTTGCTTGAACCTAGGAGGCAGAGGTTGCAGTGAGCCAAGATTGTACCCCTGCACTCCAGCCTGGGCAGACAGAGTGAGACGCTGTCTCAAAATAAATAAATAAATAAAATTAAATTAAAATTTTAATAATGAATAAACTTTCCAAGTGATACATACTCTAGTGGCTTAGAACCATTGTGCTGTCATGCCTTTTTCTTTCTTACTTTTTAAGAAAAGAGACTGTTCTTTAAAGCAGTTTTAGGTTTACATAATAAGTGAACAGAAAGTAGAGTGAGCCTATATAATCCCTTACCCCCACCCATATTTCCCCATTTCCCCTGTTATTAACATCTTGCATTGGTGTGGTACATTTTTCCCGGTTACTAACATCTTGCAATGCTGTGGTACATTTGTTACAATTGATGAACTAATATTGATACTAAATTATTAACTGAAGTATATAATTTACCTTTTATAATTTCCATTAGGGCCCACACTTTTTATTGTATAGTTCTGTGGGTATTGACAAATGCATAATGTCATGTATCCACGATTACAGTGTCATGCAGAATAGTTTTACTGCCTCCAGAATCCCAACATCCACCTATTTAGCCACCTTCTCATCCCCCTCCTCCCATCCCCTCCTCCCATCCACCTCCTCCCATCCCCTGGCCACCACTGAACTTTTTACTATCTCTATAGTTTTGTCTTTTTCAGAATGTCCTATAGTTGGAATCATACAGTATGTAGCCTTTTTAGACGTGGTTCTTTCACTTAGCAATATATTTAACATTCCTTTATGTCTTTTTCTGGCTGGATACCTAATTTCTTTTTGTCCCTGAATAATACCTCATTGTATGGATATACCACAATTTTTTTAGCTGCTTACCTATTGAAAGACATCTTGGTTGCCTCTACTTTTGGGCAAATATGAGTAAAACTACTGTAAACATTTGTGTTCACTTTTTTGTGTAGACATGTTGGAAGTAAATGCTTGGTGCTGCAAAGTGAAACCAGCACTCAGGCAAAAGTTTTCTTAGCAAGGCAGTTTATTTTTGCAGAAGGGCGTGTCTCGTGGATGGAGCAATGGCGAGAGCACAGGGAACAAAGGAGAGAAGGGGTTTTTATTTCTGATGTGTAGTCCCTACCTCAGTGTCACTCCCCTGTGGGCTGGGGTTGAACCGCACAATTTAAGCTGACTTGATTGGCTACTTGTGAATTTTTTTTTTTAAATAAGGAAGAGGGAAGGGGAAGGTGAGTTACAGTGGTGGGATGTGTGGTTTCGAAGGGTGGACGTGTGGTTTCAAAAAGGTGGAATGGGTGCAGAGTGGGTAACCAAGGGAACAGATGTGAGTTATTGATTAGAGCTGATGGGAAGGTTGTTTACAGTAACTAGAGGCAAGGAGGCATGGAGGACAAGAAAGTTGAGTTTGAGAACAAAGAACAAGGAAGTTAACAGGCTGAACCTTTGAAGAGAAATTCATTATATCTTACAGTTCCCTGCTTTTAATTTTTATAATCTTTTCTCTTTAAACCTTTTTAACATGTCTGGGCTTTGCTGTCCGACTTGATCCTTTAAAAGGAAAAGCTTACTTGCATAAGGTGGAGGAGAGCTAAGGGAGATTTTAGTAAGTGCTGTTTTTATAAGCGTTTGCACTAACCTACAATGCATGGTATGACACAGCACCCAATAAGAATGAGTACAAGTATTACAACTGCAAGCAAAGTAAGAATTGAGGCCACGATTTCTTTTCATTTATTGAACCACCTTTTTAGCCATCTTGAAAAAGAGTTGTTGATTCTAGTTAATTCATTGGATAAAGCTGTAATCCCTTGCAAGACCTTCACTATGCTCTCATTGGGGGCAGTATTGTTTGGGATGAAGGTACAATATTGAGTTTTCATTATAATACAAACTCCACCTTTTTCAGCTAATATCATGTCTAGGGCCATTCTGTTTTTCCAAGCCATTCTTGCTAGTAGGACCTAATTGGTCAGCTATTCCTTTGACAGCATCTCTGGTGTAATTAATAAATCGCTGCTGATTATAATAGATGTAATCTATCCAATCTACATTTTTGTTGATACTTACCCATGGAGGCAATGATTCAAATCCTGCAGCTATTTGGTCTTGGGCTTTGAATTTATCAGGTACTCCCTGTGAGATTCCAATTGCGTCTAAATAAACTTAAGAGTCAAAAGACCCATAAGGGGCTTCTCTTACTTTTCAGTGTTGTGATTTTTTTTTTTTCTCTGCTTGATGAAATGCCAGGGTGAAAGGGATAGCCAACTGGACAAGAGAGCAAGTGCTGCTCCAGTTACTTGGTGGAGTGCCCAGTAAGGGTCCACCACAATACCATCATATACCTGCTCAAGGATGGCTAAGGGCAGACTGATGGGTAAGCTCTTGGAAGGGCCTAAGCTCACTGTGTTCCATTAAGCTTCCCAGGAACGCCAAGTTTTTCCCATTCCGTGAGAGACACAAGGTGAAATTGACATTGAGAGATGGAAGCTGGATGGCCCTTGGGGGCTGACCCACAGGGTGTTGGACTTTGGGATAGAGCAGGGAGAGAGCTTGGCATGATTTATTACTCCTAGCTGTAGAATCCTGGAAGAGAGTTACCATGCAGCCCATGCCCGGTTGACTGGAGCACCATTCGAGTGGAAAGGGGACAATCTGGGCCTCTGGCCGGCCATGCACACAAGCATAACAATTGCTTTTGTTTAATGTGCGGACAGAATTTTTGATGCATTTCAACCAGACATTTGTATCTTGATATCCTATTTTAATTGCTAGAGTTTGCCTTAGATCATCTGCTTCTACAATGTTTACTTCAGCATTGTTGTAGGGCAGGGTAGAAGGTTTAGATGGAGAAGGAGGAGGGAGGTTAATAAAACGCATTTTAAAGAAGCATATAGGGTTGTATCCATTGGTCTTTACTCTTAAGCCGTAAAAGTGCTCTGAAGGGGGTGTAGGGTTGGTGGAGGTAGGAGTATTAATGGAAATAGTTACTGGGTTACAATGGTGAGATGGACAATTAGAGGGGGTGGTTCCTTTGGTAAAAGTGGAGGTAAGATTTTAGGTTGGTACAGCCATCTGGGGAGGTCCAGCCCGGATCTCTGGTAGTCCAGATGATATCTGCCCATTGGGAACATATCTCTCAATTTGGGGTGTCTTGGTACCCCTGCCATGAGCAAGATGCAGGGTCAGTGGCTTTTCTGGAGGGGCAGAGGTATTTTTCTAAAGTAGAGATTTGTCTTTGTCATTGTTCGT
This sequence comes from Homo sapiens, assembly GCF_000001405.40. Classification (NCBI taxonomy): domain Eukaryota; kingdom Metazoa; phylum Chordata; class Mammalia; order Primates; family Hominidae; genus Homo; species Homo sapiens. The sequence continues at coordinate 120,043,460 of NC_000003.12, read as the reverse complement.
CCTCACAAGGTGTAACAAGACAAGCATCAAAGGTAATGATTTGGGGTGAATCTGACCTAGTTACATTGATAACAAGGTGGTCATCAATAGAATGAGAAAAGAAGAAAGTAATAGAATAGATGGAAAGATGAAAGAGAGTTAAACTTTTTGTAGCTTTAGTTTGAGAGGTTTTTTTCTTTGGATAATGGCCCATGACTCTGGAGGTGGTGGTGTTTTCTTGACTCGGGTGTGATGGGTCCATCCTTTTTTTGCTGTCTGGACTGCGGTTTTAGTGGTTAGAAGCCGCAGGTAAGGTCCTTCCCAGGCCAGCTCAAGTTTTTCCTCCTTGATGAGGACGTGATCCCCAGGCTGTTATTAATGGACTGAGAGCTCCAGGGTTAGCGCCTGTGCTAAGAGACCTTTGGTTTTAAGAAAAAGAGAAAGTAAAGGAGAGACCAAGTATATAATTCTTGAGGAATTGGTCTTTTGTTTTAAATGTAGGAATGTCAGCAGTGGAGTGTAAATAAGGCAGTCTGTAGAGCCATCTCATAAAGGGAAAGGCCTGTATCTTTTTGAGGAGCAGTTTGGATTTTCATCAGGGCAATTGGAAGACATTTGGTCCATGGCAACTGAGTCTTTATAACTAATTTGGTTAGATGGTTCTTTAAGCTCTGATTTGTCTTTTTAACCTTCCTTAATGACGGTGGGTGCCAAGGAGTATGATATTTTCATTTAATGTTTAGGGCTTGGGATAGCTTTTTAATGATATGAGCTGTGAAATGGGTTCCATTGTCTGAGTCAATATTTTTTATTAGCCTGAACTTGAGCACTATATTTTTAATTAATGCCTTAACTATATTATTGGCTGTTGCATTTGACCCAGTGAGTGAGGTGATCTATTGTCATTAATAAGTATTTTAGACAACCCGTTAGAGGCATCTCTGATTAATTTGGGTACTTTGGAATGGTCTTAAGCCTGGACTCCTTTCCCCAAGGGATAATCTCTTTTATAGTTTGTTTATCAGTTTTCATATATTTACATATAAAGCAACTATCTATAACCCGTTTTGGCTAGGGTATAAGTTCCATGAAGACTGCATCACACATGGCCTGGGGTCCTTAATGAGTCCTTTGATGCAGGTTGGACAAGACTTGGTCTGTCAATATCTATTTTTATTCTGAGCTCTCTTTAGTGCCTGTTCTTACTAGCTTTTCTTTCTCAGTGGAAGAGAAAACAGAGATCACAGTAGGAGGAGGAAGGTAAGGAGTTAAGTGGAGAACAGGCATTTCAGAAGAAATGGCAGCCTGTTTGGCTTATCTGATCTGTTAGGTTATTTTCCTGACTCTTAAAAGACAGGCTTTTTTGGTGTCTGGGGACATAGACAATAGCGATTTTCTCTGGCAACTGAAGGTTATTCAGTGCTCGGGTGATTAATTCCTTGTGAACAAGGTTTTGACCTTACTGTTAATAAGACCTCGTTCAGCCTAAAATCTTTCCAAATGTATGAGCCACCCCAAAGGTGTACTTAGAATTGGTATAGATGGTTCCTCCTGGTTCTGCAAGTACTTTAAGGCTTGGCTGAGTGCAAACAATTCACAAGTTTGGGCAGACCAATTATTGGGCTATTTTCTTGACTCTATTTCTTTAAGAGCGTCTCCATCAATTACTGAATACCCATTGTGTCTTTTTCCTTCAATCACTTGGGAGGAGCCATCTATAAAGAACTGTCGCCCAGTCCTGAAGTGAGTTTCTCCTAACTTTGGCCGGACCTTTGTATGGTAATCAATTAAATCTAAACATGTGTGCTTTCTTTTTAGATTTAGAACTCTTGTTAAGAAACCTCCTGGGTTAAGCAAATTATCAGTGGTTAAATCATCCTCTTGTTTTAACAGAGTAGCCTCATACTCATACACATGTAATACTTTTCCAGTGGTATATTTTAATATAAGTGACTCTAAAGAATCAAAGTTCTTTTCTGGTCTGGGGTAGCCAACAATGATCACATTGAGGATTTCCTTATAGAAGTCTTTTTTGAAGGTATGCATGATATGTGTTTCCATGGGCTTCTTTGTATTCTTGTAGTATGGGTTCCATCCTGTGCTCACCACCATCTTATGGACATCTCTACTTCCAGCACTGGCCCAACTACAATAAATGCCGGTGGATATATCAGCTGGAAGGTTATCTACCACTTACTCAGGAAAATTAGCTGCAGGGATGCCCAGCTGCTTGGAGCCGCAGCCAAATCCCTGCACCACTTGGCCCCAGCAGAAGTAAGGCAGATGTCCCATAATGTAGCCTGTTCGGGGTTTGGCCCGTGGCCTGGTCTGCATGTTTTGCAGAGCCACCCTTTACATGGTGCCTGAACCCTGGACCAGCAAGGGGGCAGGAGCGTGGGCTCTGCCTACTGTGGAGGCACACCAGGGCCCGGACGATGCCAGTGACACAGTGTGGCAGATCCTTGATGCTGCCCACCCTACAAAAGCTGCCTGGCGACTTAGGTGCATGGAGTCCCTTTAAGGAGGGATACTTAGGCTGGGAGGGAATAGGTTCATAGGGTGTTGATTCCCAAGAGTGAGAATTGTAAGGAGGAGGAGTAACATGAGTAGGGGAAGGATATGAAGCAGGATCTAGGATGGCAACAGCTGCCTGAGAGGAAAGGGTTGGGGTCACTGAGCAGGGGAAGACAGTGTAGGGGATCCCATGTGATGGTCTTTAGGCATGGGAACTGGCTTTTCTAACCTTTTATTATCTTTCCAATATTTTAACATGAGACCTAGGGGGCTAGGTCTTTTAACAAGAGATTGGGGGGACTATCTTTGTTGCTGTTTTTATCCTTTTTACTTCTTGTCTTGCTTGGCGTATTTCCCATGTTGGGTCCTAGTTAGGCTGAATCCCTTGTACTAAAGACTTCTTGCCTATTCTTCTCTGGGGGCTTGTTAAGGCTCAATCCTTTGTATCAGTGATTTCTTGCCTATTCTTCCTTGGGGAGCTTGTTAAGGCTCAATACCTTGTGTTAGAGATTTCTTGCCTATCCTTTAGCCCCACCTACTGGAGGTTTCTTGCACCCTTTTTTCGCTGCATCTGCTCTGGCCACTTCCCTCGCGGGAATATTTCAGGTCCCTCTTAGCATTGATGGCGGGTCAGTATAAACTCCTGACAGGATCCCCAAAGGGCCGCCCTAAGCTGTATGAGGTGACCACGGAACTGCCGATAGGACCCACTCACTCTGCACAGCAGTAGTGCTTAGTACCATTCACACAAGCAGCACTGCAAGCAGTAGTGCTTGTGATCATTTACACACTTTTAACCTCCAGAATCCCAACCACCAAGGAAATACTTTGTCGCCCCTGCGACCTTCTGACTTTGGTCTGTGCACAGAGTTACCTAGTCGCTGTGGTATGTGAGCCTCCTTTCCCCGAGCTGCCGGCCTGTTTCTTTCCCATGTTGCTGAGAGTCTGGGTTTATTTGTCACACTGGGTGGGCCTCAATTCCTTTATCCCTGAGGCTGCTGCAACGAGGCAGTGGGGCGCACCTCTTCACGGGAGAGGACCAAGACCCTTTCCCAGAGGAGAATGGGAATCCCGGATGAGCCCGCAGATTTGTTGGAGATAAATGCTCAGTGCCAAAAGTTTTCTCAGCAAGGCAATTTACTTCTGCAGAAGGGTGTATCTTGCAGATGGAGCAATGGCAAAAGCACAGGGAGCACAGGAGAGAAGGGGTTTTTATCTCTAATGCATAGTCCCTACCTCTGTGTCACTCCCGCATGGGCTGGGTTCGGACTACACAATCTAAGCAGACCCGATTGGCTACTTGTGAATATTTTTTCCAAATAAGAAAAGGGGAAGGTGAGTTACAGTGATGGGATGTGTGGTTTCGAAGGGTGATGTGTGGTTTCTAATGGGTGGAATGGGTGCAGAGTGTTTAACCAAGGGAACAGTTGTAAGCTATTGATAAGAGCTGACAGGAAGATTGGTTTTTTTTTTACAGTAACTAGAGGCAAGGAGGCATGGAAAACAAGAAAGTTGAGTTTGAGAACAAAAAACGAGGAAGTTAACAACCTGAACCTTTGAAGAGAAATTCAGAAAAATTCATTGTATCTTACAGACATAAGTTTTCAACTCACTTGTGTAAATATCTATGAGTGTGATTGCTGGGATTGTGTGGTAAGACTACATTTAGCTTTGCAGGAAACTGCTGATGTGTCTTCCAGAATGGCTGTACTATTTTACATTTCTGCAAACAGTGAGTGAGAGTTCCTGTTGCCTCACATTTTCATCAGCTTTTGGTGTTGTCAGTGTTTGGGATTTTAGCCATTCTGTTCCAGTGGATGTATAATGGTATGGCATTGTTTTAATTTACAATTCCCTAATGACATATGATGTTGAGCATCTTTTCATATGCTTATTTGCTACCTGTATATCTTCTTTTGTGAGGTATCAGTTCAGATTTTTTGTACACTTTTTAATTCATTTGTTTTATTATTGAGTTTTAAGAGTTCTTTGTATATTTTGGATACTAGCCCTTTATCAGATATGTGTATTGCAAATATTTTCTCCCAGTCTATGTCTTGTCTTTTCATCCTGTTTCATAGTGTCTTTCTTTCAAAGAGCAGAAGTTTTTAATTTTAACGAAGCCCACTTTTCCATTTTTTTTTTTTTTATGGACTGTGCTTTTGGTGTTGTATGTAAAAAGTCCTCGTCAAACCAAAGGTTACTTGGATTTTTCCTGTTATCTTTTAGAAGTTTTATAGCTTTGCATTTTACTTTAGGTCTATGATGCAGTTTGAGCTAATTTTTTAATTTTTGTGAATTTTTGTGCATTTTGAGTTAATTTTTGTGTAAGTTGATGTGTGTTTATTTGCATGTAGATGGTCGCTTATTCTAGTACCATTTTTCAGAAAAAGACTGCCATCCCTTTTTGATGTCCTCTTTCAATGATGCACATGTTTTTTTGAGACAGAGTCTCACTCTTGCCTTGGCTGGAGTGCAGTGGCTTGATCACAGCTGACTGTAGCCTCAACCTCCCAGGCTCAATCAGTGCTGCCATCTCAGCCTCCCGCGTAGTTGGTATCATAGGTGTGGACCAGGGTTTCACCATGTTGCCCAGGTTGGTCTTGAACGCTTGGGTTCAAGGAGCACACCCACCTTGGCCTCCCAAAGCACTGGGATTACAGGCATGAACCACCATGCCTGGCCTCAGTGGCACAGTTTTGAGGGTGAATTATGATAACTAAAATTGAAGAAGAAACCTGAGATTGTTGTAATTAATAATTTGACTTCATATTATGCCTTTAAAAATAGCTTAGGAGGAAGTAACATGTTGAGTAAGCGCCTGGGCTCTGGGATAAATTCCGAATTTGCTATTTACTTGCTGTGACATTGGACAAGTTACTGAACTGTGCCTCAGTTTCCTTGTATGTAAATGTATTTTTAGGTTAAATGAACAATATTTAATATAAATTGTTTAGTACAGTATCTTGCATATGTTATAGCTATGGAAGATTATTAGTAATAAAGACTTCTTTAGATGTTTTATATATTTTTTATTCATCAGTTCCTCTTATTTTATTCTCTATAGTGTATTACAGGAAAATATAATAGTGTTAACCTATGGACTGTTTGTGTAGTTATTGATGTCATCTGGCAGAAGCAGATTTACATAAGGGAGTTTAATGACTGACCTAGAATAACCATCATAAAGAGCATAAAATGTAAAAAATGGAGTTCTAAATGCATGCTTATATGCTCAGTATTTTCTGAAACCACTAAATACCATTAAATACCTCAAGACTAAAGGTTTGATGTGTAAGATGGTAAAAAAAAAAAGAGCTGTAGTGCTTTATTTTTATTTTTTATTTACTTCTTTTTTTGAAATAGGGTCTCTCCCTGTCACCCAGTCTGGAGTTCACTTTATAAAACATATTTCCTTCCTTTGCATATGACGTATTACACACTACCGGCTTGCTTAATATATTTAGGATTGTTTCTTATTTTAGATTTTGAGTTATCTCTCCAATAAGAATACAAGTTCTTCGGGATAATGTGTCTTCAGTTTTTCAGTCTGTCACCATTTCTGGATGGAGAAGCTCATGTTTCTTAATTGCTTAAGAAGTTAAGCAATTTGGATAATTGGATAAGCTATTACTTTTAAATTATTGCTTTATTTTATCTTGCCATTTGATTCTTCCTTCTAGAGTGGATAGAGGGACCATTTACAATATAATAGCGAAATGCATATCTGTTTTTAAAGTTAGAACTGGAAGGCCAGTAAGATAAACAAGGGTCCTTTAGGGCAATACCTTGAGTAAAATAGCAAAGCAATTTTTTTGTTTGTTTCAAGTAATTGCTAGTGAATAAGGAGTATTTCTATACTTCTGTATATTCAGCATTTTTCTTTGTGTTAGGAAACAAGATGATAATTGTTTAATGCAGTGATAGGAACTGCTGTTCTGCTGAGTTATCACAGACTTTGGGTTTTGTCAGTTAAAACAAATTTTGAGTGTTAGGTTTTGTTTTTTAACAGGTGTTGACATTAATTTTATTTCTATGTTTGGGAACTTGTAAATTTGTCTGACATTGATTCTAAAACTTTTATTGTAGCATATTATTTTGATATCTGTGTATCCAAGCTTTTTTCCTAAAACTGCTAGATGGCATAGATCTGCTTTTTTTTTTTTTTTTTTTTTGAGTCGGAGTCTTACTCTGTCGCCCAGGCTGGAGTGCAGTGGCGTGATCTTGGCTCACCGCAACTTCTGCCTCCCGGGTTCAAGCAATTCTCTTGCCTCAGCCTCCTGATGAGCTGGGATTTCAGGTGCCCGCCACCATGCCCACCTAATTTTTGTATTTTTAGTAGATACGGGGTTTTGCCATGTTGGCCCGGCTGGTCTTGAACTCCTGACCTCAAGTGATCTGCCCACCTTGGCTTCCCAAAGTGCTGAGATTACAGGCATGAGCCACTGCCCAGCCAGATTTGCTTTTTAAATTAAATTTTTGTCTCTGAGTCATTTAGTAATTAAGTTAGTCATGGTACCCCCTTCTCTTAGATACTTTAATTGGCGATACTCTGGGGGTATTGCAACAACAAAACTGATGATCAGAATTAGTTTAACAACATAAATATTCTTAATGAGGATATCTTCTGAATTATCATAATAAAGTAGTGTTTATGTTTTTCTGTTACATAAAAAAATCGAGGACTTTCTTTGGTAAGTTATACTTCATACCAGTTTTAGTCATTTAGCACATTAGAGAGTACCAGTGAGCTATACATTATGTAGACTATAGATATGTTAAAAAGTACATTCTATTCATGATAAAACTAATAAACTAGGAATAGAAGGAAACTTGCTCCATCTGATAACATCTATGAAAAAACCCGGAGCTAATACATAGTTAATGGCAAAATATTGGATGCTTTCTGCCTAATATTAGGAGCAACATAAGGGTGTCCTCTGCTGCCACTTTTTTTTAACATTGTACTAGAGTTTCTAGCCAGAGCAATTAGGCAGGAAAAGAAGTAAAAGGCATCAGAGTGATAAGGAAGAAGTATAGCTATCTCTATTTGCAGATATTTATAGAAACATCCTAAGAAATTTGCTAAAAATCTATTAGAGTTAATAAATGAGTTCAGCAAAGTTGAACTCATTTTATGTAGGCTCAATGTATAAAAATCAACTATGTTTCTGTACAGTAGAAATGAGCAAACTGAAACTGAAATTAAGGAAACAGTTCCACTTATAATGCCATCTAAAGGAACAAAATACTTATGAATACATTTAACAGAAGTATAAAACGTATAATATGGAAATTACAAAACATCGTTGAAAGAAATTAATGAATACCTAAAAAAAAGGATGGACATCCTATGTTCATGAATTGGAAGACTTAATATTGTTTAAATAATAGTGCTCTCCTAGTTGATCTACAGTTCCAGTGGTTTATCAAAATTCCAGTTGCCTTTTGCAGAAGGCAAAGTTCCAATTGCCCTTTGCACAAATTGATAAACTGATCCTAAAATTCATATGGAAATACAAGGGATCCTGTATTAGTTTCCGAGGGTTGCAGTAACAAAGTACCAAAACTAGGTGGCTTAAAACAACCGAAATTTTTCTCACAGTTTAGAAGCTGGAGGTCCAAAATCAAGGTGTTGGCTCTGACTGCTCTAGGGAATTATCCCCGCTTGCTGCTTCTAGTGTTTGCTAGCAATCCCTGACATTTCTTGGCTTGTAGATCACTAAAGTCACTTAGATTTCCTCTACCTGTGTGTCTTCATATTATTTGCTCTCTGTGTATGTTTGTGTGTCCAAAATTCTTTTTGTAAGGACACCAGTCATATTGGATTAGGGCCCATGGGAATGACCTCATTTTAATTTTAATTTTTTTTTTTGAGATGGAGTCTCACTCTCTCGCCCAGGCTGGAGTGCAGTGGCACGATCTCAGCTCACTGCAACCTCCGCCTCCTGGGTTCAAGCAATTCTTCCACCTTAGCCACCCGAGTAGCTGGGACTACAGGTGCCTGCCACCACGCCTAGCTAATTTTGTGTATTTTTAGTAGAGGTGAGGTTTTGCCATGTTGTGGTCATGAGCTCCTGACCTCAAGTGATCTGCCCTACTTGGCCTCCCCAAAATGCTGGGATTACAGGCATGAGTTACCTCGACCTCTCCTGGCCCTCATTTTAATTTGATTACCTTTGTGAAGACCCTGTTTCTAAATAAGGTCACATTCTGAGTTACTTTGTGATTAGGAGTTTAACATATCTTTTTTGGGGTACCCAGTTCAACCCATAACAGACTCTGAATAGCCCCTCAAAAATTGAAAAATAAAGAATAAAGTTAGAGGAATCACATTTCTCAATTTAAAAATTTACATCAATCCAGACGGTGTGGCGCTTGGATATAGATTCATGGAGTATGATCATTAGTTTAAAAATAAGCCCCTACCTTTATGGTCAATTGGTTTTGACAAGGATACCAAGATAATTAAATGGTGAAATAATTTTTTATCCCCCACAAATGGTCTCAGACAGCTGGATATTTGCATGCAAATGAATGAAGTTTAACTCCTACCTCATACCATCTACAAAAATTATGTCAAAATGGATTAAAGACCTAAATGCTAGAGCTAAAACAAGTAGGAGCTAAAACTCCTAGGAGAAAACATAGGAGTAAGTTTTTCTGACCTTGGGTAGGCAGTGGCTTCTTAGATGTGGTACCAAGCACACAAGCAACAAAAGAAAAAATGGATACCTTGAACATTATCAAAAATAAAACCATTTGTGCTTCAAAACACCATCAAGAAAGAGACAACAGAAAGGGAAAATACTTGCAAATTATATCTGATAAAGGACTTGTATCCAGAATACAAGAAGAACTCTTACAGTTCAATAATAAAATAAAGTCCAATTAAAAATTTGGCACAGGTTCTGAATAGACAGAACCTATGTATATCTACTTCTACAAGGAAGATATACATAATGGTTGATAAGTGCATGTATTAGTCTATTCTTATACTGCTATACAGAACTACCTGAGACTGGGTAATTTATGAAGAAAAGAGGTTTAATTGACTCACAGTTCCAAAGGCTGTATAGGAAGCATGGGTGGGAGGCCTCAGGAAACTTAAATCATGGTGGAAAGTGAAAGGGGAAGAAAGCACATCTTACCGTGGTGGAGCAGGAGAGAGAGAGAGAGCGAGCGAGCAAGCAAAGGGGGAAGTGCCACACACTTTCAAACAACTAGATCTCGTGAGAACTCACTATCACAAGAACAGCAAGGGGGAAGTCTGTCCCCATGATTCATTCAACTCCCACCAGGCCCCTCCTCCAATACATGAGGATTACAATTTGAGATGAGATTTGGGTGGGGACACAGAGCAAAACCATATCAATGCACGAAAAGATGCTCAACATCATTAGCCATTATGGAAATAAAAATCAAAACCATGAGATACCACTTCAGACTCATTAGGATGGCTAGAATAAAAAAGTCAGATTATAACCAATGTTTGTTAGGATATGGAGAAATTGGAACCCTCGTACACTGCTGTGGGAATGTAAAATGGTACAGCTGTTTTGGAAAACAATCTGGTAGTTCTTAAAATACACACATAGAGTTACCATATAACCTAGCAATTCTATGCCTAGTTATATATACCCATATGTTCATATATACACATGTTCATAGCATTATTCATAATAGCTAAAAGTAGAAAAACAACCCAAACATCTATCAGTTGATGAATGGAGAAATCAAATACGGGATTTCCATAAATGGATTATTACTGAGGAACCAAAAGAAATGGACCAAAGCATACTACAACATGGATGAACCTGGAAAACATTCTAAGTAAAAGAAGCCAAGCACAAAAGACCAAGTATCATATGATTCCACCTATATAAATGTCCAGAATAGGCAAATCTGTAGACAGAAAGTAGGTTACTGTTTCCTTAGGGCTGGAATGGAAGGATTGGGGGATGACACCTAAGAGGTACAGTGTTTCTTTTTGGGGTAATGAAATTGATTGGGGTGATGGTTGCACAAGCCTGTGAAAGTACTAAAAATCGTTCAATGTGCACTTTAGTTGGGTGAATTATTTGTTATGTGAATTAAAACTTAATGAAGCTGGTTTAAAAAGTACATTGAATTATTACAAGGATAAGGGACCCTATGTTCTAGGGAAATGTACATATTGGAATATTTAACTAACATGAGATGTTATAAAGTAGAATATATATGCTGCCAAATGGATGGTGTAGATCAGTGCTGTTCAGAAAGTATATTGCAAGCCACGTATATAATTAAATTTTTCTAATAGCCACATTTTTATTTTTTAGAGAAGGGGTTTCACTATTTTGCCCAGGCTGGACTTGAACTCTTGGGCGCCAGTGATCCTCCTGCCTCAGTCTTCTGAGTAGCTGGGACTACAGGAACATGCCACTGCTCCCGCCTTATAAGAGCCACTTTTTAAAAACTTAAATGGATGAAATTAATTTTTTTTTTTTTTCCGAGACGGAGTCTCACTCTGTTGCCCAGGCTGGAGTGCAGTGGCACAATCTCGGCTCACTGCAACCTCCGCCTCCTGGGTTCAAGCGATTCTCCTGCCTTGGCCTCCTGAGTAGCTGGGATTACAGGTGCCTGCCACTACCCTTGGCTAATTTTTGTATTTTTAGTAGAGACGGGGTTTCACCATATCGGCCAGGCTGATATTGAACTCCTAACCTTGTGATCCGCCTGCCTCGGCCTCCCAAAGTGTTGGGGTTACGGGCATGAGCCACCACGCACAGGCTGAAGTTAATTTTAATAATATATTTTATTTACCCCAATATATAAAAATCTTAACATTTCAATATGTAGTCCTTATAAAAATCATTATTGAGATATTTTACATCCTTCAAAAAAAATTAAGGCCTTAAAATCTGTTATGCATTTCAGAACGTTCGATTCAAACTTTGCCACTTTCAGGTGTTCAATAGCTCATGTAGTGACTAGGACAACATAAGTAGAGACATTAAGTGTTAATCCAGAGGGAGGAGTAATCATTGTAGTCTGGAATGATTAGGAAAAGTCACAGAACTTGAGTTATTTTGCTCATTCTTTTATTTACTGATTTCAGTCATTTATCCACAAATATTTGAGCTCTTACTGTTTATAAAAAACTAGCAAAAAATGCAGATATGTCTTATCTCCTCATGGACAGTGCATTAAACAGCTAATTATATACTTACTTAGGGCTGGTTGCTTAAGAAGTAGTGGAAAGAGTATAGGCTTAGATTTAAATATTCCCTGTGAAACAGAGGATGGTGATAACTGCATTGTGGGATTGGTGGGAGTAAGTAAAATTGGTTTGTCACATGCCTAACACTGTGCTTGTTGTTAAGTGTTTTCTCCTTCTCCTACTTCACCCTCTGTCCCTCTACTTCCTTGTTGAATACGTGAGGTGGGCCATGGGAAAAAAAGGCTTAGGAAGTAGCAGAGTCCTGACTACCCAAGGACTTGAGAATGAGTTCTTACCCTCATTTCTTATCCTCAGTCGCCTTTCACGGGCCTTTCCAGGGCCCTGCTTCCTGGACCCAGACTCAAGTTTGTATTATTAGTACTAAAGCTTATTAACCAGTATTAAAGGGATTTTGGCGGGCTAATTTAGGAATGTAATTATTGCTTTTTCTAGAGATTTTTATCTACGTTTCATTCCACACAACTATTTTATTAATGAAAATTTGAAATGCTATCTGCTAAATTAGTTTGCCTCTTACTCAGCTAAGAATGTGTTTTAGAAATATTTCAAGAAGTGTTGATATAAAAATTATTTTATACCTTTTTTGAAATTCTAGACCTACCATTAAATACTTAGCACTTTGGTCCATGTAATTTTTGCATTGTATGATATCTTGGAATTTTAACATACTCTTTTACAGTAAGACTTGTTAGGTCTAGTTACATTATGTTTGAGACAATAATAGATGAGTTTGTTGGGAACAGTTATAGTGTATTGAACAGAGTTTGTTAGGAGCAGTTTTTATAGTGTATTGAATACTGGATTTAGATTGGGCAGATCTTGGTTTTCCATTTGTTAGCTATGTGGTTGTAAGTACATTTGTTCACTGGTTTTTGATTCATACAGAAGATATAGCTTGACTAATATGCTCAGGACATTATTGTGTGTTTACTTATTTAAAAATTGTGATTAAGTGCTTTGAAGGAAAAGAACTGGTTACTGTGAATATAGTAACAGGTGAAAACTATTTTAGATTGGATTGTCCTAGAGAAGGCATCTCTGAAGAAGTGAGGTTTAAGCTGAGACATAAAGGATAAAAAGGAAGGGATTAGGGATGGGGGTGGTAAAAGAATATTGTAAGGAAAGGGAACATCATGTGAAAAAGTCCTGAGGTGGCAAAATGCTTTGTGTATTCAATAAACTGAAAGAAGCCTAGTGTGACTGAAGGATTGTGAGCAAGGGAATAATGGCATGATATGAGAATGAAACTAGATCTTACAGGGTTTTGTAAAAGATGCTGAAGGCTTTAAAGAGTTTTAATCAGGGGAATGAGACACAAGTGTAACTCCAAAGTGGGGAGTTGAATATAGGAGTCTCTAAAGGTTGAAAGAGTAGTCTGGTCTACAGAAATACATTTGAGAACCAACAGCTCTCAAATGGTAATAATTTGGATAAATACCATGTATTTAAAGATCTGGGAATGCATGAGATAATCTGGGGAGAGTATGGAGACAGAAGATAGAAGAGAAAGGGAGTCTAGGACCAAGCCTAGAAGAACCCCAACGTTTAGAAGCTGATAGGGAAGGAACTAGCATAGGAGGACCTCAAGTGAGCAGAGTTTTTTGGATGACTGAGGAAATATAATGGTTCTGAAATAGCAATAGGGAACAAGGAGGATGTGATTTTTTTTTTCCAACTAGATATAAACCTTTATTTCACAACTTTGTCATAATTCACCTTTTAAAAGACAGACTGGGGGACACAGCTGAAAACACTGGGAGGCCAGATGCTGGTGTCTTTCAAGCCAGAGCATAGCTGTGGTCACTCTAGGGCCCATGTGTTCCTGTGGCTCTCAGGCATCATGGACCAGATACACCAGTACTGTCCAATCCCAGTTTTACTTAGAGCCACCTCCTTTTTTGGGGGCCATTAGTCCTCATTTCGTGCCAGATTTTCACTAGAAGCTCCCTGTTCTTCCAAAACAGTTAATGACCATAAGTAACATACCATATTCCAAAGAGAGCTCCCCCAGGATGCACTGCATGATAAAAAAATTTCCATCCCATGAAGATTTCTGCTGTATCCATGGCCATAATGGCTTTTAGGGCATTCTCTGCTATGAATGTGAACATCTGAAGGGAAATAATGGCAAGCCTCCCTTCTGGGATCTTAGTGCAGACAGCTGCAAAGACCATCATGATGGTGCCAGATGCACCAAGTGATGGTCCCTATCTTCCTGTGGCAACTTTACACACATAACTGACACAATTGGAAATAACACCTGCAGATAATAACACTGCTCTTGATCCAGAATGTTCACTGTGCTGGAGGCGAAGCTCCACAAAACATAAGATATTTGCTGCCATGTGAAATAAGGAGAAATGACTGAATGTTGACAGCAACATTGGAAAAGAAAGGGCTTTTGAGGCTGGATTAGATGCGAAATATCTGATCATTGTCCGCTGCAGAGAAGGTACTCTCTATAAACAGAATACAAAGACATTCATTTGCAGCTGTGATAACCTGTCATAGTCTGGTGGCCATCGCTTAGGTTATTCTACCACTTGTTAATCTCCTTTCTGAAGTCTCTTTTTTGTGATCTTATGCTATCCCAACCGTCAGCTTTTATATCATCAAAATAACTCTGGACCCTGGATTTCAGTGATTCATATTGCCAAATAGTAGCTGATCCAAATGCACAGCCTGTAAACCCAACAGTAAAAAATAAAGATTTTATGAGAGTCCCTATAGGATACAAAGAAGGATAAAAGGCCGTTTCTTCCACAGGAGGAACCAAAGCACTTCTCTTGTATGCTTCACCACTTGTGCCTGTGTCTGATCTTTGAGGTTCAGCCTTCCTGGGTGCTTTTCTGAATCCACATTTTTGCGAAGAAGCCAAACCTGCGTCTGAGCAGCCGTGGCGGGGCTAGGGCCTCAGTGAGTTCCTTGCAGCTGCGGCCGCCCACTGGCGGAGACCACGCCTGGTCGCTGCCCCAACCTCTCTCTGCCCAGCCTCACCAGGCCATCTTCCCAACCTCTGCCCCACCATGGCCTGCAAGGACATGGTTTTGAGACGTGTGGAGGAACTGAATAACATCAGCCTCTGTGGGATTTATTAAAGTAGCATATTTGGGGGAGTTATGTTTTCCATAAGGCTAGAAAGTGGAGTTTGCTGATCACAGAAGAGGTAGAGCTGAGGAGCTCATTCAGATGAGAGGGATGTGTAGAGTAGTAGGGGCATGAGAGTTAACAGTATTTCTGGTGGAGACTTACGTAAACAAGGATATGAGGTGTTGATAGATTTAGGCCTTTTAATCTCTTGTAGGCTAGAGGGATCTATGGCCTTAGTGGCATAGTCTGGAAGGTTTCAAATAGTTTGTTGGGTAAAGGACTAGTTTCTCGTGAGGTAAATCTGTCTCAGCAGGTTCTAGTTATGGTATGATGAGGCTCCAGGCTGGCCTCTTCATTTCTTTTATCTATTAAGTAGTAATAATACCTCATTAATTGTTATTTAAATGGACAGTCACATAGTGATTAATAAAAGTTAAGACTAGATAAACATACAGCCTTTTACGAAATCTTTTAAACACACATCCCAGTCAGTCATGCTCTAGCCAAGTTATTTTCTTGTCACTCTTTTCTGTGCTGAATATAACAATGCCTAATTGAAGAATAAACATTGACTATGAATGAGGCACTCAATTCATCTCTTTGCTGATTATACTCAATTTTAGAACTAAGGATAAATTATTCAAGAAATAGTTGCTGATTTTTTAGTTTGAAGTGTTCTATAAGCATATTGGATTTTTTTTTAGAACCCAGTGACAGTAATACTTCTTTGGAAAGAATATAATTGAATATCTTTTTAGAACTTTAAGCAAATTTATCTTTAAAACATTTTATATGCTCAGTGTAGATAATTTGGAAATTACAGAGAGATACAAAAAAGAAAATAAAAATTTGCCTGTATTCTCACTATCTAGAGAAAACTGTTTACTTTTTGGTGTGTTTGTGTAGCATTTGTTTTCAAAATTGGGATCACAATATATAGCAATTTGTAGCTATATACTCTGCTTTTTCATGTAATCTTATGTCATGAATATTTTCCTAAACCATTAAATATTCTTGGAAAATGTAATTTTAATGAGTGCTTAATAGTCTGTTCATTGTGAGTGTATCATAGTTTACCTAATGATTCTCTGCTATTGGACATCTGGATTGGCTCTAATTTATTGATATGGTAAATAATGCCTTAATGAATATCTGTGTAAATCAATTATTTTCTTCCAGTTTCTTTTTACTTTCTTTTGCCATATTCCTAGAAAGGGAAGTACTGGGTCAAAGAATAGGGTTTCATTTTTGTTGCTCTGCTTTTTTTTTTTTTTTCCTGAGACAGAGTCTCGCTCAGTCACCCAGGCTGGAGTGCTGTGGCGTGATCTTGGCTCACTGCGACCTCCACCTCCTGGGTTCAAGTGAT
Organism: Homo sapiens; assembly: GCF_000001405.40. Classification (NCBI taxonomy): domain Eukaryota; kingdom Metazoa; phylum Chordata; class Mammalia; order Primates; family Hominidae; genus Homo; species Homo sapiens. The sequence continues at coordinate 120,027,288 of NC_000003.12, read as the reverse complement.
TCTCCTGCCTCAGCCTCCTGAGTAGCTGGGATTACAGGCACGCACCACCACACCTGGCTAATTTTTTGGTATTTTTAGTAGAGACAGGGCTTCACCATGTTGGCCACACTGGTCTTGAACTCCTGACTTCAAGTGGTCTGCCTGTCTTGGCCTCCCAAAGTGCTGGGATCACAGGCGTGAGCCACCGTGCCTGGCCGTTCCTGCTGCTTTTTTTTTTTTTTTGGAAGTCTTGCCCTGTGGCTCAGACTGGACTGCAATGGTGCGATCTCAGCTCACTGCAACCTCCGCCTCCTGGGTTCAAGTGATTCTCCTGCCTCAGCCTCCCAAGTAGCTGGGATTACAGGCGCATGACACCACGCCTGGCTAATTTTTTGTCCTGCTGCTTTTAAGGAAAATTATACTTCAAGATTTCATATTTAAAAACCAACGTGGGTCGGGCTCGGTGGCTCACGCCTGTAATCCTAGCACTTTAGGAGGCCGAGGTGGGTGGATCACTCGAGGTCAGGAGTTCAAGACCAGTGTGACTAACATGGTGAAGGCCCGTCTCTACTAAAAATACAAAAATTAGCCAGATGTGGTGGTGCGCGCCTGTAATCCCAGCTACTTGAGAGGCTGAGGCACGAGAATCACTTGAACCTGGGAGGTGGAGGTTGCAGTGAGCCGAGATTGCCCTCTAGCCTGGGCAACAGAGTGAGACTCCGTCTCAAAGAAAAAAAAAAAGAGTGTGTGTGTGTTTGTGTGTGTGTGTGTGTGTGTGTGTGTGTGTGTGTGTGTGTATTTGGCGGTATAGCATTGCTTATTTCTCTGTTTCCAGCAGTGGTTTATTTTTGTGTGGATTTGCAGACCCCCTTGCGGTAATAAATCCTTACAGGTTCTCTTTGGCTTATATGTTGAGAACAACTACTATAGATTATAAACTACCTCAGTTCTCTCCCGTATCCTTTGTTTCGCTGCTCTTGCTCCAGCAGATACCTTCTCATTGCCTCTAACAAATAACTCTTTCTCCTTTATTCAGTGATTGTTTTTTCCTAGCATCCCTTGCTTGATATTTGGGGAAAGTTTTAAGACTTTTAGAAAATCGTGTTTGAGAGCACCTGGTTTTATTGTATCGCTTGTTAGCCTTGAGTGTTTATTTTTTAATATTTGCTGATTTGTGAGATGAAATATGATAGGTATATTTGGGGGTAGGAGGAATGTCTGAAATACATTTTCTTTCCCAACTTATGATTTAATAAGAGCTGGAAGGAGAAAAGTAAGCTATAAAACCCAGTATTTGACATTTTATCCTCTTAATCTGGCTACCGTCCATCATACTTTCAGAGCTGAAAGGGCTTTAAATTTCATATTTATCCAGTCCTTTCAGTGTACAGATAGGGAAACTAAGGCCTAAAAAGGACATTGCTTGACTTCCTCAAGGTCATAAGCCAAACAGTGGTAGAAGTTTGGCCTGTTTTTTCATAACTTAGTGTGTTGGTTTTTCTACAAACATCTTCTGCCTCTCTGCCGCATGTGTCCCCCAACCTGCCTTTTAGGTTGACTAACTTTTAGGTGACTAATTTTTTTCTGTTTGGATGCCTGGTAGACTCTTTTTTATCCTTGAGTTTAACCACAGTACTTTGATCATCCTGAGTCAGTTCTTGCATACATTGTACCTTTTTGTCCTGCAGATATAGTGCTCTCAATTTCAAGGAAAGTTTCAACGAAATTTTCTATTCATGTGTGGCATCTACTTATGGAACAATAATTATCCTTATATTGGATCATCTTTGTTCTTCATATTTGCTATCTTCTCCAGAATTACTTCAATCTCTTAAGTGATTCCCTCTGCATTCACTATTATGATTTCCTTTCTTCCCTGCCATTAATTTTTCACTGTGTTTTTTTCTGTTCTTTGCTGTTTCTAGTTTATTAGATCTCTGATGTTTTGTTCTGCTAAGAACAAACTGAGAACTGTTGTAGGCTAAAAAACAGCCCTCCAGAAGATATCTGTCACCCAGGCTCATTGCAACTTCCGCCTCCTGAGTTCAAGTGATTCTCATGCCTCAACCTCCCAAGTAGCTGGGGTTACAGGCACCCACCACCATGCCCAGCTAAATTTTTATATTTTTAGTAGAGATGGCCAGGCTGGTCTCAAACTACTGGTGTCAAGTGATCTGCCCGCCTCCGTCTCCCAAAGTACTGGGATTACAGACATGAGCCACCACACCTGGCCCCCAGAAGAATCTTACTATCCATTAGCAGTCACTCCCCATCTCCTGACACACACTGCCTGCTTTAGATAACCAGGTAGATTAGTGAGTCTATCTTCTTTCTATAGATTTGCTTATTCTGAACGTTTCATGTGAACAGGATCATACAATGTGCAGTCTTCTGTGACTGTCCACTTATTTTCAGTTTGTTAAACTCCTTCAAGATCTTTCTTTTTACATGCCTTCTGCCATTAATGTTATCGCTTCCCACTCCATTGCTTCCCTCCTCCCCCTACCCTCTCACACATTTCAGAATTTCAGCTGAAATACCACTTTTTCGGAGGGACCTACCCTGATTGGATTCTAGATACTCCATTATGGACTTAATTGTACCCCACCATTCTCTTTTGTACCTCTTACTTCAGTTATTATCTAATGCAGCAGTTATTTGTATAAATAGTATCTGCTTTTCTCATGAGGTAGGGAGTTTGTTGTTGTTTTGATAAATACTTAGATGAACATATTCAGGCACTTTACCCAGTGGGAGGGGAAGGAGGTTTTCAGAGAAGAGAGATATGTGTACGTATGTTAACTATTAATGTAGCAATGAAAATGTAAGCTGAAAAAATAGAAAATTAGTAGTTAACTAGGCTGTATGTGTGTAGACTGGACAGGTACCATAAAGAATGTCAAAGAATGTCTATTATACTCTCCCAGAAATACCATGAATCTGGAATTGTTTTTTTTGAGACAGGGTCTTGCTGTGTTGCCCAGGCTGGAGTACAGTAGTGGCTCCAGTAGTGGAGAGCATACATGGCTCACTGTGGCCTTGACCTCCTGGGCTCAAGCAGTTCTCCCACCTCAGCCTTCCAAGTAGCTGGGACCACTGGTGTGTGCCACCGTGCCTGGCTAATTAAAAAAAAATTTTTTTTGTAGAGACAGTATCTCACTATATTGCCCAGGCTGGTCTTGAACTCCTGGGCTCAAACAGCAGTCCTCTCACTTGGCCTCCCAAAGTGCTGGGATTATAGGTGTGAGCCATTAAAACCTAAGACTGTTAAGTGCCAGCTTAATTTTTGGAGTCCATTTATGTTGTTGGTTAGAATATTTGGAACATTTACCCTACCTGAAAAGTTGAATAAAACTGATATATTCTGTTTTAAATTTGGATTCATCAGTTCAGTTTTTCAAGCTCATTTGTAAATAATGGGGCATATTGCCTACGCGGGTCACAATTTGTTTCAGGAAGGTGCTGCATCATCTGCTTTGATGGAGATCTTAATGAAATTGGCTGCTCTTGACCTCTGAGATTGACCATTTCTTCATCTTTTCATGGTACCTAGATTGTCAGGTACACTGTTCTCTTCTCCCTTAGTGTTTGCTTTACTCTTTAGTGGATATTGGAGATACCTAGGACAAAGGTTTGTGACGAGGGTGTGTGTATGAGGGTCTTAAGATAAGGGAAATGGTATTTTTCTTCTTGATTAAATTTAAGGGGCATCATGAAATTTAAGTAACACCTTAAGAGTAATAGGTCAGATGGCTTTTTGTTGATATTATTGATCTATAAAGTTATTGCTAGCACTGTGTTTACCATATTAAGTATTAAAACCTTATATTCTGTGGGACTCTTCACATGGGTATTTAGTTTCAGTTTTTATAATGGAAATTGGTGAGAAAAAAGGATGACTCTACAAATTTTTGTTTTGTAGTTAACTTTTATTACAATTTCATCTAGGATGCATGAAAGTACATGGAATTTAGGGGCAGTGTTGGACATAACCTTGGAGGGACCCAGCTCAGGAAAGTCTTCAGTGGAACCTTTGTCTTATTATTTGCATATATTCACATCAAACCCTTTTAAAGTTTCCACTGATTTTTTTTTTTTTTAAATGAGTATGTGTTCAATGCTTCTGCAGGTTGTAGAGGTATGGTATAAAAAAGAAATTCACCAGCAGTCACAGCTAGCAGACTTGGGCTAGTCCTATCCTGGTATATCATTAAGTCAGGTAGTTAACAGTAGGAGATGACAAAGACCATTTAAAAAAGGGCAGAGTTAGGCATGTACATATTTCCCAAGGATGAAAGTTCTGTTTCAAGGGAAATTGTTTCCTACTTTAATGTCCTTATCTACTTTTGACACTGCGAATAATGAGTAAGCACTGTGGGAGACACTCTGCTTTGGCATCGGATGTCCTAAGACATTCTTCCATGACCCACCAATAAGAGGATTAGTCTCATTTTATTTCTCAGGCAGTGATAAAGGAACCAAGTCCCAGTTGTAGACCCACTGTGAGTGCAGGATTATTCCAGTGTCTTTTATTTAATAGAGCCAGTTAGCATCTCTTCTAGTAGAGCTTTGTGGGGAGAAAGAAATGCTAAGTGGACTGCTTTGTGAATTGACCCACTTAATCTGACAGTACTCTTCCGCCTTGAAGAGGTGGACTTGGACTTGCCCTATTTGAATGGCATTGCCAGGTTCTCTAAAGGCCGGTCTTTTTTTCTTTCATTTCTTTCTTTTCCTCTCTCTCTCTCTTTTGTGGGGAGAGGATTGGGAGGTGTTAAGCAAGTTTTTAGAGGGAGGAAGATAAGGCAAATACAAAAACCAATATGGATTTGATTATAAGTAACTGTAATCAGTTAGGACAATGTTATTTAATATGTGCATACCTTGACAATATTGTGGGTTTGGTTCCAGACCACCACAGTAAAGCACATCACACAATTTTTTTGGTTTCTTAGTGCATATAAAAGTTACGTTTGCACTATACTGTAGTTTATAAAGTGCAGTAGCATTATGTCTAAACAGCCTTAGTTAAAACATCCTTTATTGTTTAAAAATGCTAATAATCTGAGCCTTCAGCGAATAGTCATCTTTTTGCTGCTCAGTGTTGATGGCTATTGACTGATTAGGGTGGTGGTTGCTGAAGGCTAGGGTGGCTGTGCCAATTGTTTAAAAGGAGACAACCATGAAGTTTGCTGGATTAATTGACTCTTCCTTTCACGGAAGATTTCTCTGTTGCATGAGATGCTGTTTGATAGCGTTATATTTGTTTTTAGTTTTTAATAGAGATGGGTGTCTCACTGTGTTGTCCAGGCAGGACTCAAACTCTTAGACTCAAGTGATCATCTTACTTCTGCCTCCTGATTAGCTGGGACTACAGTAGCCAGCACCCCAGGCATTATAGCATTTTACCCATAGTAGAACTTTCAAAATTGGAATCAGTCCTCTCAAACCCTGCTGCTGCTTTATCAGCTGAGATTATATCCTAAATCCTTTGTTCTCATTTCTGCAGTAGTCACAGCATATTCACCAGGAGTACATTCCATCTCAAGAAATCACTTTCTTTGCTCATTCATAAGAAGCAGCTCCTCATCTGTTCAAGTTTGATCACAAGATTGCAGCAGTTCAGTCACATCTTCAGGCTCTGTTTCTAATTCTGGTTCTCTTTCTATTTCTACCACATCTGCAGTGACTTCCTCCACTGAAGTTTTGAACTCCTCAGAATCATCCAGGATTGGTATCATCTTCCAAACTCCTGTTCCTGTTCCTATGAATCATGAATATTCTTTTTTTTTTTTTGGAGATGGAGTCTCACTCTGTTGCCCAGGCTGGAGTGCCGTGGCGCAATCTCGGCTCACTGCAACCTCTGCCCTCCGAGTTCAAGTGATTCTCCTGCCTCAGCCTCCCGAGTAGCTGGGATTACAGGTGCCCGCCACCATGCCCGGCTAATTTTTTTTTTTTTTTTTGTATTTTTAGTAGAGACGGGGTTTCACCATCTTGGCCAGGCTGGTCTTGAACTCCTGATCTCGTGATCCACCTGCCTCGGCCTCCCAAAGTGCTGGGATTACAGGCATGAGCCACCGCACCCGCTGAATCATGAATATTCTTAATGGCATCTAGAAGTTGTTTAGTGTAGTTATCTTCATCAGTGGTCTTAGCTAAATCTTCTGGATAACTTGCTACAGCTTCTAAATCAGCACTTACTGCTTTACCTTGTACTTTTATGGTATGGAGAGGGCATCTTTCCTCTGCTAGCTTCAAACTTGGCAGCCTTCCTTGAAGGCTTCTGTCGGCCTTCAGAGAATTGAAGAGGGTTCCGGCCTTGCTCTGGTTTAGGCTTTGGCTTAAGGAAATGTTGTGGTTGGTTTGGTCTTCTATCCAGACCACTCAGACTTTCTCCGTATCAGCAATAAGGCTGTTTTACTTTCTTGTCATTCATCTGTTTACTGGAGTAGCACTTTTAATTTCCTTCAAGAACTTTTCCTTTGTATTCATAACTTGGCTGTTTGGCACAAGAAGCATAGCTTTCAGCCTATCTGGGCTTTTGACATATTTTCCTCACTAAGCTTAATTACTTCTAGCTTTTGATTTAAAGTGAGAGATAGGTGACTCTTCTCTCACTTGAACACTTAGAGGCCACTGTAGGCTTATTAATTGGCCTAATTTCAATATCGTTGTGTCTGGAATAAGGAGGCTGAGGAGAGGGAGGGAGATGAGGAAACAACTGATTGGTGGAGCAGTCAGGGCATACACAATATTAATCTATTAAGTTTGCCTTCATTGATCACAGATCACCATAATGGGTATAATAATAGTGAAAAGTTTGAAGTACTGCAAAAATTACCAAAATGTGACACAGAGACATAAAGTGAGCATATGCTGTTGGAAAAGTGACACTGATAGACTTGGTTAACATGGGGTTACTATAAACCTTCAATTTGTAAAAAAACATAATTTCTGCAAAGTGCAATAAAATGAGGTATGCCTATATATTTTTCTCTTAGGCATGTTCCTTATTATATTAACTATAAACAGCATCATTACTAATGAAGTTGTAAACTAGAATTTAATCAGTATTTGAAAATGTATGGTGTCCCTTGCAGAAATGGAATTAATGACAAAACTCGTAGTTATTACCTGCTATTTTATTTTCCATAGTTAATTTTAAGAGGTTCTTATAAAGTTGTTTGGAGGTACTCTATCTTCGCAACAGTTAAAATTGTAATATTTTAGGCATATCTCCTCCTCCTATTTTGTTATACAGAAAAGCTTTAGCTGATAAACAGATTGCATTCTAAAAGTTCATAAACTATTTTGGAACTTAGAAAGTATTTTTTCATAGTAAGTTTAGTAAATATGTAAATGCGAATAGGTTCCCAGGCTATCCTACAAAAGCCTAGTGAAGCCATAGTTAGCTCAAATATCTACATATTTACAGTGACACATAATAGAAAATAATATGGCAAGAATAGTAGTTAACACCAGAACACTGTTAAGAATTAGTTTTGAAAAATTTTCTTCTATGTGTGATTGATACAGGGATTTAATCAGAGGGAGGTCAGGCGTAGAGACTTGCGGGAGTCTGGCAGGCCTTTCTGTGTCCTTTCAGGTACTTTATAGGTTGCTGGCATTTCTTTGTTTTGATATTGGTATACAGCAGAAATGCTATCTTTTTGCTTACCGGCTATGGTTAAGATTGTATTTTAGGTTCTGAGTGGAATGAAAATGGTAGAAAAGAAATTGTTTCCTCAGGTAAAAAAGATAGGAAAGAACAATGGAAGACAGAGTAACCTAGGATGTGTGTTTGAAAAAGAAATTGTTTGAGATAGATTTCATTGACACACAAATAATGCAGGTTTAAGGGAATAGGGGTAGAGTATAACATGCAAATGATTCCTGATGGAGGAGAGCAAAGGTGTTGATAAAGTGTTTTGGGTTAGCAATCCTTATGCTGGTCAGTAAGTGGTTTTGGATATCTTTGGAAGCTATTTAGAACTGGGAATGGGGAGTAGAATGCTACTATGGTATTTTTATATGAACTGTTTCAGTATTTTTTTTTTCATAACATGGTACATCAGCTCACCAAAAATATTTAAATAGCTTGATATACATTTGGAGTGTTTTTTGATGTATTAAACTATTATTAAGAAAATATATTTTTTGAATGTATGAAAAGTAAAAGTAAAATATTGTACTTTAGCTAATTCAACAGATGCCTAAAACTATTATGTGATGAGAGAGATTTGGTTTTTACATTCCTTTTTTTTGTTTGTTTATTGATTAGAAAAACCATGCTTCCTTTTTCAATTTCCAAAATGTTTCATATTTAGAAGAAAGCAGTCCAAAAAGAAAATCAGGAAATGTTCCTTCTATTCCTACAAAAGTAGCACCTGTTGTTAGGCTATGTATTATTACTTAGTATTGTGATAAATCTGTTGAAGTGTTTAAATGTTTGCTATCTGTTCACTGATGTGATTTGCCTCGGGAATTTCTGGCTCTCTTTTTACTCGTTTTAGATGATTTGTCTCTCAGGTAGCTTTGTATATCAGCAAAATGACACAGTTTTATATTTAAAGGTATTTTTGCAGTTTATATTAGAAGATGTAAAGACTCTTACTCAAAATGTGTGGTTATATTGGACCGAGTTATTTTTATGGATTTATTTTAGAATGTAAATTATTCAATTCACTTTCACTTTTATAAGTAATGGAAAGTATACTAAACTTAGGAATTGGATGAGGCAATTTGGATGAGTACTATAAGACTATAGTATAGTTTTTAATACTACACAGTCTAAACTGTAGTGTTATACTCTAGTTTTTAATACTATAGAGTCATTGCTGTTATACATGGGGCATTGGTTCCAGGACCACTGGGCACATCAAAATCTTTGCATATTCAAGTCCTGCAGTTGGCCCTATGGAACCACCGTATGTGGAAAGTTGGCCCTATGGAACCACCGTATGTAGAAAGTTGGCCCTCTGTATATGTGGGTTTTACACCCTGTGAATACTGTACTTTTAATCTGTGTATAAGTGGACCTGCGCAGTTCAAACCCATATTGTTCAGGGGTTACCTGTATATAACCTTGAGCAATTTTACTTATTTTTTGAGTCTCAGTTCCCTTCTCCCTGATTTAGTACTGGTTCTTCCTCCTTTGTAGGACTGTTGCTTGGATCAAATGAGATAATGGGTCTAACTGTGCTTTTAAACTGTAAAGTGCTTCACAAATTTATTTGTGATGATGAGTGATGATGGTTTGGTGATCATGATTGGTCCTAGGGAAAACTGTCAAATATATGAATTTTAACTGCATTATCTTCTCAATCTGTTGAATTGACTTCACTCTTTTAAGAGGGTGATTGCAGGGTCCGAGGTCATCTCTGAGGAGGAAGTAGAGGTATTTATTTTGGTGACTTTCAGACTTTAGTTTCCAAAGTATAGTAGAAGCCTGTAGAAATTTGTCACTTATAAATGAACAAATATTTTTTCAGACTGCTATCTGCATAGTCATAAAATGGGACGCCCCCAGTGTGTGATAACTGTAAGTGTTGCCCTCATGGATTGGGTATTAGTTGTTAAATCGTAATTGATAAAGTATGTAGGACTGACTTAGAGTAAGCAGTAGTCTTCTGGGAGAAAGCAAATCCTGTCCTCTCTCCTCCCCTCCCTACTGTTTTAATTCAACAGCAATTTTTGATTTAATAACCTCCACTTTAAAGTGATTAAAAATGTGTGTAAATTTGTATGCTGTGCTATGGAAAAAGCAGTTTGGATTAAGGAGTGCAGATATCTGCATATTTCAGGTGAGGGCAGGGTTGGATAAGCTGTTATATTGGGGGCATTTGGGTTGTCAGAATGCAATATTGAGGACCAAAGGGATGTCTAGTAGGCCAAGAACAGACCTAATTGATTTAAAAAATATATTTAGAGCACTGATCTGGTATTACTGTCACTAAAGATTACAGTAAAATATACCAGCTTTTTGAGATCTATTTTCTGGCTTTCTTCTGGCTGCTCAAGGTTGATGTTTCTAGAATGTGACCACTGACTGGATCAGTGAGTGAGTAATTGTATTTTTAAAAGTAATTATTTACTTCTTTAGTTTAAGTACTTACCATTTTCTCTTTTCATCCATGTATAGCGTACTAATTCTTTGATAATCTGGTAACCTTCCTTCTTAAGAAAAATTTAAATATAGTGTCTACCCTTGCCCTCCAAATTGGGCAGCTTGTAAATCAAACGGATAAGCGTGTTTTTAAGAGTTAAAAATTCTAATGTAAATTCCTAAAAGCCAAAGATTTTTATGCACATGCTGTAAGCCTTTTAGACGTGTATGGAAAATAAACCTGTTTCTAAATTACGTCTTGAAATTATTTCAAGTGAGGAGTTAAGACCAAGTGAAATATTTATTCACTTTGGGTTTGGTTTGATTTTATTCCAGTTCAGTGAAGTTAGAGAAAAGGAAAATACACTTGATTCCAGTTTATGGCTTACAAGTAAAATAATATTTAAGTTCAGACTGTTGAAAATTAGCATGTTTCTGATTTTAGGTTTATTGTTTGGTTTAAAGTAAAATTTGGTTTTGAGGTAAAACCAAGAAGATAAAAAATTGAGTCAATTAAAATTGGCTCAGAAGAAGTATGGATATTTCAAAGAAAAAATTGGAGTGGCTAATAGATATTGGCCTCAGCACCTTTTGTAAGATATTTGGAGTTTTAGGTTTTGCTGAACACAAAAAGTTGGTTTCAGGGCCTAAATACCCATCTCTTATATTTATGACATGGTCCTTAGCAAAGTAATGTAGTAGGACACGAGTTTTTCAGTAAATGGACAGGTCTGAATCCTGTGGATATGAGTTGTTGAAGGGATTACTTTGAGCAAATTATCAAATCTTTTTGAACACCGTAAATTTTCCCATTTGTTAAAATGAGTGTTCTGAGTATGTCACAGGCTTTTTGTAGGAATTAAATGGTATATTGTGGCTCTTCAAGTGTGGTAGCTGGACCTGCATTAAGAAGCATTTGAGGTGCTTATTAAAAATACAGTTTCTGGAGCCCCACTTCAGAGCTACTGACCTTTTGGGGGATATATTCTAGGGTCTTCATTTTAGTAAACTCCCAGGTGATTCTTATGCCCACTGTGAGTGGTGCTTGCAAACTGTAAACAGTTCTCAAGGAATATGCTTACATAAATTGAACTTAAGATCTCAGTTTTGTCTCCTGTCCAGTTTTTGCCAATTGCTGCATATTGATGCTCTAAAGAAACCAGAATTATTTGGAAAAGGGTTAGGAACAGAGTAAATTTCCCACCCATACCTAAATACACATGTGGGACATTGAGTCATTTGTTTTGGCTGCTTGTTGTCACCATGTTTTCAGTAAGCCCTCCATTCTGTTTTACTACTTGTAAGGCTTTTCTATATATCTTCTCCCCAGGAATTTATATCTGACCAATGGCAAGCATAGGAAGACACAAAAGCACTACTTAGGTTTAACATGAATTAGTCAGTTCTCAAATCCTAACAATTCTGCTTGAATAATTCTTACAAAGTCTGTGGCAAACCTTTGCTGAGCATTTGCATTGTGCTGAACCTAGTGCACATGGGAAATGTAAATGATTCCAATAATGTCTAGTTTTTTTTTTTTTTTTTTTTTTTTTTTTTTGAGACAGAGTCTCACCCTGTCTCCCAGGCTGGAGTGCAATGGCGTGATCTTGGCTTATTGCAACCTCCACCTCCTGGGTTCAAGCGATTCTCTTGCCTCAGCCTCCCGAGTAGCTGGGATTACAGGCGTGCGCCACCATGCCCAGTTAATTTTTTGTATCTTTGGTAGAGATGGGGTTTCACCATGTTGGCCAGGCTGGTCTCGAACTCCTGACCTCATGATCCACCCGCCTCGGCCTCCCAGAGTGCTGGGATTACAGGCGTGAGCCACTGCGCCTGGCCAATGTCTAGTTTTTCTAAGAGCTCTTAGTGAAGTAAGGGGTTCAGACTTTTAATTATAGGGCATTGTGATAAGTACCGTGATAGGGCACATGTGAGTGGTAAAAGAGCATAGTGGAGCAGAATAATATATTCTTTCCTATTTCCACTGCTAATAATTTGAAGTTCAAAGAAACTGTAATTTATTGAGCACCCACTAAGTGGCATGCATTTAAAAAACAACAACTGTGTAACCTGTGCTATTCAAGTGTCACAACCCTAAGTAGCAGCTATTTCCATTTTATAGATATTAAGTAGGTTGAACTTGTGATATAAACCTTTGTATGACTTCAAAGCCCATATTCTTTTCATTAGGCCTCTAAGGACAAAATTTGATTTTTTTCTTTTTAAAGAAGGGGATGTTATGATTCTTCAGAATTGATATCTGTTAATTTCAGTAGCATGATGTCTTCCTGTGATTGAAAAGAACTCTGGAGTCTTTCTGTCATCTCTTGTCCTCTGCCACCCTATGTTTTCCTTTTCATTTCTAAAAGTGATAAACAAGTAAACATCTCCGGAAGCCAGCCTATGTGACATCTGTCCATTTTGTTTTCTCTGCCTCTCCTTTTATTTACTCTTCCTATCCCCAAAGGAAATTTAGTAATTGTTTTTTTTGTTTTTTCTAATCTCTTAGGTTAGAATCATGTGAAGATGAATGGTATCTAAGGGAAAAGACCTTGTTAGAAAGATTTTTATCACATGAAGTTTACATAGAAATTGCCCTGGAATTTTTATCCTGCTGTTGATCATTAGGGTTGATTTGATTGATTCAACTGCTTGGTTGATATTTCCTTTCTTTCTTCATAGTTTCATTTGTTCCAACATATATAAGCAGTTGTGCACTCTGGCTAGAGCTTCCGCATCATAAATAAAGCCCCTATTTTAATCACAAGAATAAGTTCATTTTTGAATTTTCTAACTCTGATCCCATGGGGCTCAGTTTTCTACTTTTTATTCCCTTTGCTAATTAATTTTTATGTTGTTTTCTTGTTTCTAGCAGTTTGTTTATTTTGGGGAGAACATCTTTGCTTTTTAAAATTAAATTTATTTTATTTAAAAATAAATAGAGACAAAGTTTCACTATGGTGCCTGCCATGGCCTCCCAAAGTGCTGGGATTGCAGATGTGAGCCACTGTGTCTAGCCCAACATCTTTGTTGTTGTTGTTGTTTGTTTTGTTTTTGCTTTTTTTTTTTTTTTTTGACAGAGTCTCACTCTGTCTCCCAGGCTGGAGTGCAGTGGCATGATCTTGGCTCACTGCAACCTCCGCCTCCCGGGTTCAAGCAATTCTCTTGCCTCAGCCTTCCAAGTAGCTTTTTGTACTTTTAGTAGAGACGGGGTTTCGCCATGTTGGCCAGGCTGGTCTCGAACTCCTGACCTCAGGTGATCCACTCACCTTGGCCTCCCAAAGTGCTGGAATTATAGGCTTGAGCCACTGCGCCCGGCCAACATCTTTGTTTTAATAGTTTTTTTTTTTTTTTTAAACGTGGTTTCTTTGGATAAAGAGTTGAACTTCAACTTAACCTGAAAAATTTACAGTGGCCAGAGTTTCCTCTTCTGACAGTCTTATGTAAACATCCTTTAAAAATAGCTGTGTGTTATTTCTCTACATGATAGAGAAATAATTGGCAGTGCCTTTCCCTCTGCTAATACTATTGTTAGACAGAAAATGTCATGAAAATGCTTTGTATCTTCTGTGTATTCATGGGCGGTGTGCTGATTTCTCTAGGCTTTTGTTGCAGACTTTTAATTTTCTGTTATTTCTACGTGGAGACTTCATTCTTGAGGTGAAGGAAAATTTTTATAGAGGCAGTCATTGCAGACTTAACTCTCCACAGCAAGGTCACCAGAGTATTTATTAGACTGTGGCATGACTTTTCTCAGTTTGTAGTACACCTTATTCATATTCTCTAAAAGCACCTCAGTTACAAAGTGTCTCAGTTGTTGCTTTTTCTCAGCACTGGATTTTAAGAACTAGTCTCCTTAAAACAAGAAACATCAAATTAAATGCCTTTGTTAAATGAACAAAGTATGTTCAGCTTTGAGATTTATCATTTGAATAAAATTAGAGTGTCAGTGCCAGACACCTACCTACGAAATATTTAAACATCCTTGAAGTGGACTTTTGGCTTTTGGATACTCCCTCCATACCTTGGATGGGTCCATGTCACCGTATTCATCGTGGAGTGGATTGGTCTGAGGAGTGACTTGAGAAGACTTCAAAAAATATGACTACAAAATGTTGTTTACAGGTACAATCCTGTTTTTAGGAGATTGAGAACTAGGCTGTGTGTATTATTTTGGGATATGCCTAAACCGCCAAGGCTTTTGTAAAAATTGTATTCTAGACTGGATACAGTGGTTCACACCTGTAATCCCAGCACTTTGGGGAGGCTGAGGTAGGATGATTTTAGACTTAAGGCCAGGAGTTAGAGACCAACCTGGGCAACAAAGTGAGACCCTGTCTCTCCAAAAAATAAAAAAATAAAAAATATTAGTGAGGCATGGTGGTTTGTGCCTCTAGTGTTAACTACTTGGGAAGCTGAGGCAGGAGGATTGCTTGAGCCCAGGAGTTCAGTGTTACAGTGAGTGAGCTATGATCACGTCATTGCACTCTAACCTGGACGACCCTGTCTCTTAAAAAAGAAAAAAATTATTCTGTATTTAACAGCCTTCAATAGAAAGTGATTGTTCTGTTGTATACCGTCTTTTCATTGCGTCATGAGGGGTCTATTCTGGTTTATGTATTTAAGATTTATCTATTATGGTAAAGAGTAGGGATTTAATGCTGTGTTTTAATTATGTAGGGAATTTGTACAATGTGAGTGAAGTCCTCTGACGGGAGAGAGGGCCTGAAGCTGAACTAGTTCCTGCTGCTGTGCTGTTGTACCTTCAAGGCGGTTTCGAAGACCAATTTTATTATAATCGCTAGTGCCATATAATTAGTTTGGAAATTACTGTTTCATGTATGCTAGGAAATTTAGTACTGGGCAAAGTGGTTATTTTTTGTTTAAGCAGATTTGTTACAGTTTCTAGTTTTTCTTGAGGATTTTGGTCTCTTGGAAGCAGTGCTATGGTCTGAAATAGCCCAATTTGTTGTAGCAAATATTAAGTTGTTTGGATGTCACAGAATCAACTGTTGTACAGTTTTATTTTTGATATGGTTTTGCTTTGGTATAAATTTCAAAACCTAATGTTGCCAAAGTGTCTCTGGGAATAGATGTTGATATTAAGGAGTACATGGTTGAGGCCAGAAAACTATAAAAGCCTGTTGATTTATTCTCTTACTTCCTATTACTCTGGAGCTGATCCTTTTACATTATGTTATTGGAAACATTATCTTCTTTTTTTAAGGGGAAATGGAGAAAAGAATATGAAGTTAGTGGTAGTGGGAAGGTTTTAAAATACAGCAGAGGCAGCACGAGGCATGCGATGAGTTCTGCTACCTAAAGCTTTATGATAAATTAATCTATTATAGGTATTAATGTAGATGAAACAATGAATGGGATTGTTCTTTGTAAACAGTACAATTTTATACAGTTGTTATCTTATTGCCAAGTTGGCTAATTCCAATGCCAAATGGTAATGCGCTTTTCCTTGGCACGCTAGTTGCTGACCGACCCATGGCACTACTAATGTTCATGCCAAGTCATCCCCCATATTGCCCTGCCATTCTTTTCAGCTCTGCTATTTATCTTTTAATTACTGCTAAGGTAGTAAGTACCTTGTCTCTAGATGTGCAAAAGTGTGAAAGAATTGGTCCTTGTCTACATCAAATCTCAGCTTAAAATTAAGAGGCCTTAAGAGTCTCTTTCAGCTATAGTATCTGTAGGACCTGTTTTACCTTTCCACTCTGCTTTTAATACTTTAGCAGAATTGTCTTATTTGATGCTTTTTCCCATTTGCAAATTATGATGCTGGGATAGACATTCCTAGGCTCAGTGGCTGGAGTGAAGAGATGCTAAATCCCAGGGTTCTAATGGATATCTATCATAGCTAGTTTTCAAACCCTTGAAATGTTACCTTTTTTAAAAAGAAGTAGAACCTGTGGAGGCAAATAGGGAACGTCATCACAAATGCTTATATTGCTTAAGTTCTCTTACTAGAGCAAGGAAAATACAAAGGTGGGGCTCCTGTTTCCTTTATTGAAATATGGTTATGCAGTAGAAAAACATAATTTTTGGTTGGACCCCAGACAGTTTTTGTTTTCCGTTTTTCAGTTAATTAAAATTGTGGAGTACAGTAGGCTTTTTGTGTTGCTGTTATTGGAAATGGTCTTGCTGTGTTGCCCAGGCTGGAGTACAGTGGCATGATCTCAGCTCACTGCAGCCTCCCGCCTCCTGGGTTCAAGGGATTCTTGTGCCTCAGCCTCCCTTGTAGCTGGGATTACATGTGTGCATCACTGTGTTTGGCTAATTTTTGTATTTTTAGTAGAGACAATGTTTTGCCATCTTGGCCAGGCTGGTCTTGAACTGCTGGCCTTGAGTGATCCGCCCACCTTGGCCTCCCAAAGTGCTGGGATTACAGGTGTGAACTACCATGCCTGGCCATTTATTTATTTATTTATTTATTTATTTAGAGACAGGGTCTCCCTTTGTCACCCAGGCCAAAATGCAGTGGCGCAGTCTTGGCTCACTTACAGGCATGTGCCACCACACTCAGCTACTGTTCTTAAAATCTATATTAGTTTATTAATGATCCTTTGTTTTGTGAGTTAGATGTGAGATTTTGCAAGCAACTTGTTCAGTGGAATTTTTAATTCAGAGTCCTCGAAATCTTTTTTTGGTGTTACAGTTTTGACTTGGATAACATAGGGAAGAGTCAGACTATGTTTGAAATAACGTATGCTTTTTATGTTCTCTTGAGACAATTGGATTGTAAGAATGCATTCAATACCTTGGATTTTAACCTTTCTGGATCTCTTCATTTAGAGTTTAAGTTCAGAAGACTGTGATTCTGTTTTTAGGACTGCTAAGATACAGGTAAAGAAAAGTTATTTTACAAATGAGGGAGAGAATAACTTATGATAAGGTTTATAGTCAGCTTGAAAAGTTGTAGTTAAGATTAGCATAGAATTTTGGGGGGTGGGGCATGATAATTTAGAACTCAGATTAAACTAGGTTTTTAGCAAATATACCTAAGGTTTATTTTACTGAGGGATGAGACTTGAAGGGAGAGTTTGAAAGCTTTGAAAACTGCTTTTTTTATATTGGCTTATGCTGGGGTTTGTGTGCATTTAAAGCATATATAATACTGCTGTAAATAAAAATGGTGGTGCTGACAAGATTTGAGTTCTTTCTTTTCACAAGTGGTTTTGGATTTGGGGTGATTAAATCATGCCAGTTTGAGTGTTTTACCTTGGACCTAAAGACATAAATATTCAAGATGGCTGGCCATGATAAATATAGACTGCCTGTATTTCACCTGGCTATCTTATGAAGGAATCCCTCATTGCTTTTGAATCTGTCATGAGTGCCATCTTTTTTTTTAATTATTATTATACTTTAAGTTGTGGGTTACATGTACAGAACGTGCAGTTTTGTTATATAGGTATACATGTGCCATGGTGGTTTGCTGCACCCATCAACCCGTCATCTACATTAGGTATTTCTCCTAATGTTATGTCTCCCCTAGCCCCCCACCCCCCACAGACCCTGGTGTGTGATGTTCACCTCCCTGTGTCCATGTGTTCTCATTGTTCAACTCCCACTTATGAGTGAGAACATGCGGTGTTTGGTTTTCTGAGCTTGTGATAGTTTGCTGAGAATGATGGAATGATGGTTTCCAGCTTCATCCATGTCCCTGCAAAGGACATGAACTCTCCTTTTTTATGGCGGCATAGTATTCCATGATGTATATGTGCCAAATTTTCTTAATCCAGTCTATCACTGATGGACATTTGGGTTGGTTCCAACTCTTTGCTATTGTGAATAGTGCCGCAGTAAATGTACGTGTGCATGTGTTTCATAGTAGAATGATTTATAATCCTTTGGGTATATGCTGAGTAATGGGATGGCTGGGTCAAACGGTATTTCTAGTTCTAGATCCTTGAGGAATCGCTACACTGTCTTTCACAATGGTTGAACTAATTTACACTGCCACCAACAGTGTAAAAGTGTTCCTATTTTTCCACAACCTCTCCAGCATCTGTTGTTTCCTGACTTTTTAATGATCGCTATTCTAACTGGCATGAGATGGTATCTCATTGTGGTTCTGATTTGCATTTCTCTAATAACCAGTGACGATGAGCATTTTTTCATATGTCTGTTGGCTGCATAAATGTCTTCTTTTGAGACGTGTCTGTTCATATCCTTTGCCCATTTTTTGATGGGGTCGTTTGCTTTTTTCTTGTGAATTTGTGTAAGTTCTTTGTAGATTCTTTATATTAGCCCTTTGTCAGATGGATAGATTGCAAAAATTTTTCTCCCATTCTGTTTCTTTTGCTGTGAAGAAGCTCTTTAGTTTAATTAGATCCTATTTATCAATTTTGGCTTTTGTTGCCATTGCTTTTGGTGTTTTAGACATGAAGTCTTTGCCCATGCCTATGTCCTGAATGGTATTGCCCAGGTTTTCTTCTAGGATTTTTATGGACCTAGGTCTTAACGTTTAAGTCTTTGATCCATCTTGAGTTGATTTTTCTATAAGGTGTAAGGAAGGGGTCCAGTTTAGTTTTCTGCACATGGCTAGCCAGTTTTTCCAGCACCATTTATTAAATAGGGAATCTTTTCCCCATTGCCTGTGCGTGTCAGATTTGTCAGAGATCAGATGGTGGTAGATGTGTGGTGGCATTTCTGAGGCCTCTGTTCTATCCCTTTGGTCTATATATCTGTTTTGGTACCAGTACCATGCTGTTTGGATTACTGTAGCCTTGTAGTAAAGTTTGAAGTCAGGTTACATGATGCCTCCAGCTTTGTTCTTCTTGCCCAGGATTGTCTTGGGTATGCAGGCTCTTTTGTGTTTCCATATGAAATTTAAAGTAGTTTTTTCCAATTCTGTGAAGAAAGTCAGTGGTAGCTATAAATTACTTTGGGCAGTAAGGCCATTTTCACGATATTGATTCTTCCTATGCATGAGCATGGAATGTTTTTCCATTTGTTTGTGTCCTCTTTTATTTCCTTGAGCAGTGGTTTGTAGTTCTCCTTGAAGAAGTCCTTCACATCCCTTGTAAGTTGTATTCCTAGGTATTTTATTCTCTTAGTAGCCATTGTGAATGGGAGTTCACTCATGATTTGGCTGTTTGTCTGTTATTGGTGTATAAGAATGCTTGTGATTTTTGCACATTGATTTTGTGTCCTGAGACTTTGCTGAAGTTGCTTATCAGCTTAAGGAGTGTTTGGCCTGAGACGTCAAACAGAGACAATTTGACTTCCTCTCCTCCTATTTGAATATGCTTTATGCTTTTTCTTGCCTGATTGCCCTGGCCAGAACTTCCAATACTATGTTGACTAGGAGGGATGAGAGAGGGCATCTTTGTCTTGTGCCGGTTTTCAAAGGGAATGCTTCCAGCTTTTGCCCATTCAGTATGATATTGGCTGTTGGTTTGTCATAAATAGCTCTTGTTATGTTGAGATACGTTCCATCGATACCAAGTTTATTGAAAGTTTTTAGTATGAAAGGCTGTTGAATTTTGTTGAATGCCTTTTCTGCATCTATTGAGATAATCATGTGGTTTTTGTCATTGGTTCTGTTTATGTGATGGATTACATTTATTGATTTGCATATGTTGAACCAGCCTGTCATCCCAGGGATGAAGCCGACTTGATCGTGGTGGATAAGCTTTTTGATGTGCTGCTGGTTTCGATTTGCCAGTATTTCATTGAGGATTTTCGCATCAGTGTTCATCAGGGATATTGGTCTAAATTTCTTTTTTTTTGTTGTTGTGTCTCTGCCAGATATCATTTGGTATCAGGATGATGCTAGCCTCATAAAATGAGTTAGGGAGGATTCCCCTTTTTTCTATTGATTGGAACAGTTTCAGAAGGAATGATACCAGCTCCTCTTTGTACCTCTGGTAGAATTCGGCTGTGAATTTGTCTGGTCCTGGACTTTTTTTGGTTGGTAGGCTATTAATTATTGCCTAAATTTCAGAACCTGTTATTGATCTATTCAGAGATTCGACTTCCTGGTTTAGTCTTGGGAGGGTGTATGTGTCCAGGAATTTATCCATTTCTTGTAGATTTTCTAGTTTATTTGCGTAGAGGTGTTTATAGTATTCTCTGATAGTAGTTTGTATTTCTGTGGGATCAGTGGTGATCCCCTTTATCATTTTTTATTGCATCTATTTGATTCTTCTCTCGTTTCTTCTTTATTAGTGTTGCTAATGGTCTATTTTGTTGATCTTTCAAAAAATCAGCTCCTGGATTCATTTATTTTTTTTTTTGAAGGTTTTTTTTCTGTCTCTATCTCTTTCACTTCTGCTCTGATCTTAGTTATTTCTTGTCTTCTGCGAGGTTTTGAATTTGTTTGCTCTTGCTTGTCTAGTTCTTTTAATTGTGATGTTAGGATGTTGATTTAGATCTCTCCTGCTTTCTCTTGTGGGCATTTAGTGCTCTAAGTTTCCCTCTAAACACTGCTTTAAATGTGTTCCAGAGATTCTGGTATGTTGTGTCTTTGTTCTCATTAGTTTCAAATAACTTATTTCTTTCTGTCTTAATTTCGTTATTTACCAAGTAGTCATTCAGGAGCAGGTTGTTCAGTTTCCATGCAGTTGTGTGGTTTTGAATGAGATTCTTAATGCTGAGTTCTAATTTGATTGCACTGTGGTCTGAGAGACAGTTTGTTGTGATTTCTGTTCTTTTACATTTGCTGAGGAGTGCTTTACTTCCAATTATGTGGTCAATTTTAGAATAAGTGGGATGTGGTGCTGAGAAGAATGTATATTCTGTTTATTTGGGGTGCAGAGTTCTGTAGGTGTCTATTAGGTCCGCTTGGTCCAAAGCTGAGTTCAAGTCCTGAGTATCCTTGTTAATTTTCTGTCTCCTTGATCTGTCTAATATTGACAGTGGGGTGTTAAAGTCTCCCATTATTATTGTGTGGGAGTCTCAGTCTCTTTGTAGGTCTCCAAGGACTTGCTTTATGAATCTGGGTGCTCTTGTATTGGGTGCATATATTTTAGGATAGTTAGCTCTTCTTGTTGAATTGATCACTTTACCATTATGTAATGGCCCTCTTTGTCTCTTTTGATCTTCGTTGGTTTAAAGTCTATTTTATCAGAGACCAGGATTTTTTTTTGCTTTCCATTTGCTTGGTAGATCTTTCTCCATCCCTTTATTTTGAGCCTATGTGTGTCTTTGCACGTGAGATGGGTCTCCTGAATACAGCACATTGATGGGTCTTGAGTCTTTATCCAGTTTGCCAGCCTGTGTCTTTTAATTGGGGAATTTAGCCCATTTACATTTAAGGTTAATATTGTTATATGTGAATTTGATCCTGTCATTATGATGCTAGCTGGTTATTTTGCCCATTAATTGATGCAATTTCTTCTTAGCATCGATGGTCTTTATAATTTGGCATGTTTTTGCAATGGCTGCTACCGGTTGTTGCTATCCATGTTTAGTGCTTCCTTCAGGAGCTCTTGTAAGGCAGGCCTGGTGGTGACAAAATCTCTCAGCATTTGCTTGTCCGTAAAGGATTTTATTTCTCCTTCACTTATGAAGCTTAGTTTGGCGGGATATGAAATTCTGGGTTGAAAATTCTTTTCTTTAAGAATGTTGAATATTTTCCCCCTACTCTCTTCTGGCTTGTAGAGTTTCTGCCGAGAGATCTGCTGTTAGTCTGATGGCCTTCCCTTTGTGGGTAACCCAACCTTTCTCTGGCTGCCCTTAACATTTTTTCCTTCATTTAAACCTTGGTGAATCTGACAATTATGTGTCTTGGGGTTGCTCTTCTTGAGGAGTATCTTTGTGGTGGTCTCTGTATTTCCTGAATTTGAATGTTGGCCTGCCTTGCTATGTTGGGGAAGTTCTCCTGGTGAATATCCTTAAGAGTGGTTTCTAACTTGATTCCATTCTCCCCATCACTTTCAGGTACACCATTCAAACGTAGATTTGGTCTTTTCACATAATGCCGTATTTCTTGAAGGCTTTGTTCATTTCTTTTCACTCTTTTTTTTCTAATCTTGTCTTCTCGCTTTATTTCATTAATTTGATCTTCAGTCACTGATATCCTTTCTTCTGCTTGATTGAATCAGCTACTGAAGCTTGTGTATGCTTCACCATGTTCTCATACTCTGGTTTTCAGCTTCATCAGGTCATTTAAGCTCTTCTCTACACTGTTTATTCTAGTTAGCCATTCGTCTAACCTTTTGTCAAGGTTTTTAGCTTCCTTGCAATGGGTTAGAACATACTTCTTTAACTTGGAGAAGTTTGTTATTACTGACCTTCTGAAGCCTACTTCTGTCATCTTGTCAAACTCATTCTGCATCCAGTTTTGTTCCCTTGCTGGCGAGTAGTTGTGTTTCTTTGGAGGAGAAGAGGCGTTATGGTTTTTGGAATTTTCAACCTTTCTGCTGTGGTTTCTCCCCATCTTTGTGGTTTTATCTATCTTTGGTCTTTGATGTTGGTGGCCTACGTATGGGGTTTTGGTGTGGATGTCCTTTGTGTTGATGTTGATGCTGTTCCTTTCTGTTTGTTAGTTTTCCTTCTAACAGTCAGGTACCTTAGCTGCAGGTCTATTGGAGTTTGCTAGAGGTCCACTCCAGACCCTGTTTGCCTGGGTATCACCAGAGGAGGCTGCAGAACAGCAGATATTGCTGCCTGATCCTTCCTCTGGATGCTTCGTCCCAGAGGGGCACCCACCTGTATGAGGTGTCTGTTGGCCATTACTGGGAGATATCTCCCAGTCAGGCTACACAGGGGTCAGGGAACCACTTGGATAACAGTCTGTCCCTTATCGGGAGCTGAAACGCCATGCTGGGAGAACCATTGCTGTCTTCAGAGCTGTCAGGCAGGGACGTTTAAGTCTGCAGAAGCTGTCTGCTGCCTTTTGTTCAGATATGCCCTGCCCCCAGAGGTGGAATCTAGAGAGGCAGTAGGCCTTGCTCAGCTGTGGTGGTCTCTGCCGAGTTTGAGCTTCCCTGCTGCTTTGTTTACACTGTGAGCATAGAACTGCCTACTCAAGCCTCAGCAATGGCAAACGCCCCTCCCCCCACCAAGCTCCCACATCTTAGGTTGATCTCAGACTGCTGTGCTGGCAGCGAACAAGGCTGTGTGGGCGTGGGACCCGCCGAGTCAGGCATGGGAGGGGATCTTCTGGTCTGCCTGTTGCGAAGAGCATTGGGAAAGTGCAGTATTTGGGCAGGAGTGTATCGCTCCTCCAGGTACAGCCACTCATGCCTTCCCTTGGGTAGGAAAGGGAAATCCCCCAACCCTTTGCACTTCCCAGGTGAGGCAATGCCCCACCCTGCTTCGGCTCGCCCTCCATGGGCTGCACCTGCTGTCCAACCAGTCCCAGTGAGATGAACCAGGTACCTAAGTTGGAAATGCAGAAATCACCTGTGTTCTGCAAAGATCTTCCTGGGAGTTGTAGACCAGAACTGTTCCTATTCAGCCATCTTGGAAGCGACCATGAATGCCATCTTACAAATGAAAGTGTTAATTGGTCACAGACATTCACTGGCTTTTGTGTATATTAATACTTCTGTGAATTTAAATGGATATAAATATTGGTTATAATATTCCACTAGTGCATTTGGATATTCATTTATCTAGCAATTTATATTTCACAGAGAAAAATACTCATAAATATTATATTACTTTTCTTTTATTAGGTTAATTGGAATTCAGTTAGTATTTTAGAAAGGAAATTGTAATGGAAGAATAACAGGAAAAAATAAAAGTCCAATAAGTGAGCCTAAGGACTTATATTGTACTGAGAATTGGTTTTAGATTTGTCAGGGAAGAGAGAAGAAACAGTAGACATTTTTGTGTACGTTGAAGTCACTAAAAGAACAATGTAAAGCTCTTTTAGATCAGATACTAGGTAGCATAATACACAGAATCGATTAAGAATTCAGAAAACAAGATGGTGACTGTGGACTATCCCTAGTGAAGTAGGAGGTGGCTCTTGTGCCTGAATTGAAGAGAGCCGTTGGATTGCTACTGGGGTGAGAGAAGGCAAAAAAGGAAAGAAGAGGTCTGTGAGTGAATAGAGACCCTGGAGCCAGTGATATGCTTATATAATTGGGCCTCAGTTCAGAATGGGTTGGATTATTTAAATTTTTATATCTGTTAACCCCAAATTAACATTCTTTTCTCCACCTGAGCTTTCTCTGAGAGGTCTTCTACTTTGCTAAAAAGAAGATTCAGGGAAGCAAACACTCAAAGCCTTACTTTCCTAAATGCAGAAGGATCTGAAGAGAGAAGTTTTAAACATTTTTATTTGCACATATTTTATTTTCAAGTAAAATAAGGTCTTGAAGAAAGCCCTAAGGCCTTTTAGAATTGGATGGATAAGGTCAGACTCTTATGGGTTCACCTTTTGCTATTTGACCATGGGCAAATTTAACATTCTTCCTATTACCTATAATATGGGAACAGTACTGTCTACCTCATGGGGTTGAAACTAAGCATTGTGTCTGGTCTATAGAATGACTGAATACATGGGAGTTTAAAAAATGACTTATAATTGAAACAAGTAATTGAAGTAATTACATGTAATAAACTAAAAATAATTTGTAGTAAAGAATATAGTTTACTTTGACCAGGCGTGGTGGCTGATGCCTGTAATCCCAGCACTTTGGAGGCCAAGGAGGGCGGATCACCTGAGGTCAGGAGTTCAAGACCAGCCTGGCCAACATGGTGAAACCGCGTCTCTGCTAGAAATACAAAAATTAGCCAGACGTGGTGGCAGGTGCCTGTAATCCTAGCTACTCGGGAGGCTGAGGCAGGAGAATTGATTGAACCCGGCAGACGGAGGTTGCAGTGAGCCGAGATTGTGTGACTGCACAACAGCCTGGGTGACAAGAGTGAGACTCCATCTCAAAAAAAAAAATAAAATAAAAAATAAAGAATATAGTTTACCTTGTATATTTTGGCAGTTTTCTCTATTTAATTCCTTACAGTTCTCGTGAAAAAAAAATTTCCTTTCTTCCTTTAGGAGACAAGGACGGCAGCAAGGTGACAACAGTGGTGGCAACTCCTGGGCAGGGTCCAGACAGGCCACAAGAAGTCAGCTATACAGACACTAAAGTGATTGGAAATGGATCATTTGGTGTGGTATATCAAGCCAAACTTTGTGATTCAGGAGAACTGGTCGCCATCAAGAAAGTATTGCAGGACAAGAGATTTAAGGTAAAATGTCCAGTATTTCATATATTTTGTTGCTGTCGTAATACATATACCATAAATGATTATTTTTTTAGTTGCTTCTTTTTGCTTCAAATTTCTTCTATTGTGCGCATTTTTGTTCAGCTCAACCATTGTAGTGATTTTATTTCTAGTCATGTATTTTGTAGAGATAACATTCACTGAAGATTGCAGTATTACTTTTGTAGTCATTACAAATGACATATGTAATATATGTATTTTTTAATCCTGTGAAAGGTAAGTTAAAATTTCTTAATTTATACTATAAAAAGTGACCTGTCCTCACCGTTGTACTGTGTTGATGTAGACCAGAGGAACACTGCCTGTAGCATATAAGCATTTTATGTATTTGACTATGCTTCCTTTTTTCAAAAAATTTTTTTAATCCATGTTGCAACTTGTGTTAGTCTGTTTTTGCATCTCTATAAAGGAATACCTGATATTGAGTAATTTATAAAGAAAAGAGGTTTAATTGGCTCACAATTCTGCAAACTGTACAGGAAGTGTGGTGCAGACATCTGCTTCTAGTAATTGTCTCAGGAAACTTCTAATCATGGGCAGAAGGTGAAGGGCGAGTAGGTGCATCACATGGCAAGAGCTGAGCGAGAGCATGAAGGGGGAGATCCAGACTTTATTATTATTATTATTGTTATTACTATTTTGTAGAAACGGGGTTTTGCCATGTTGTCCAAGCTAGTCTCAATCTCCTGAGCTCAGGCAAGTCGCCTGTCTCAGCCTCCCAAAGTGCTGGGATTACAGGCGTGAGCCACCATGCCCGTCCCCAGACTCTCTTAAATAACCAGATCTCCTGTGAACTAACTGAGTGGGAACTCACTCATCAACAAGGGGATGGTGCTAACCCCATTCATGAGTGGTTGACCCCCTTGATCCAATACCTCCCACCAGGCTCTACCCCGTCTCTACTAAAAATACAAAAAATTAGCCGGGTATGGTGGCGGGCGCTTGTAGTCCCAGCTACTTGGGAGGCTGAAGTAGGAGAATGGCGTGAACCCGGGAGGCAGAGCTTGTAGTGAGCCGAGATCGCGCCACTGCACTCCAGCTTGGGGGACAGAGTGAGACTCTGTCTCAAAAAAAAAAAAAAAAAAAAAAAAGGAGATTACATTTCAACATGAGGTTTGGAAAGGGATAAACATCCAAACCATATTACAACACTATCCATTTTTCTCGTAACTTTTTTTTTTTTTTTTTGCTATCTTCCCTTTTTTTTCTTGTCCTTCTGCCTTTAGACACTAGCAATCCCAAAATTCAGTTCTCGTCATGTATTTTCATTTTCTGTACCTCATTAGGGGAGCCTATGCATGGAAGCTCAGATGTCATCTCTATGTTGTGGTATAGCAGAGAGAGTCAGAAGACACCGGGTGTAATTAAGCCTCTGTCACTATGCAGCGTTGCTCCCTTTACTACTCTTCCAACCTCTGCAACATTTTAGTGGGAGCCTCCAATGTACCAAGATCTATGGTAAACATGAAGGGATATAACAAGAAGAAGTGATCACTGTTCTGGTATAACACTAGTTATACCACATTCTAGTGTCCATCTGCTGTAAATATCTGGAACATTCTAAAGAATTTTTAAAAATTCAGTTGTTTTTGTTTTCAGTTCTCACCTCTCCCCCAAGTACTAGTCTCATGTTGTCAAATGCCCACTGGATCTTGATATCTGAATATTGTACTGTTATCTCAAATTGTCAAGCCATCTTATCTAACTATGACTTAACTTTTAAGACTCAATGGAAATCTCTCCTGCTAGTTCCCAGAACTTTGGATTTGCCTTTTCTTTTTAATGGTTTTATAATTCACTGTTATTCAGACTGTTCCATTTGCTCATCCCTAATATCCAGTCATTGTTTAACTTGATTTTCTTTTTTCCTCATACTGCCTTGTGGCTGTGTCTCTTCTTTTTCTTTCTCTTCACTACTATTCTAGTCAGAACCTGTCATTATTTGGCTTAACCACTTATAAACGTGTACCTTAGTCTTCTCCTTTCTAATCTCTTCTGTGTACTAAGACTAGAATAATCCCAGAGTTCTCATTGGTCATGTTGTTTCTCTTGCCCATAAATCTTCTATGGTTCTTCATAGTCTAGAAAGTAAAACCTGCCTAGTTTACTTGTGTACGCAGAAACTTCCATAGTCTTCCATTTTCTCCAGATACTTAACTTTCCAAACTTTTTATGTTACTCTCCTTGAAATATGTTCTTCTCTATGACCACTCTGCTTTTATTCAGCTCTTCTATCACTCCCATTCTCCTGCTGTCTAAATTCTGTGCATTTATGAAAACTCAGGTCAAATTCTTCCTGTATGAAACTTCCCAGATGATTCAAGTCAGCTATGGAGATCTTGCTATTCTAAATTCCTCGAGCCCATATTGTCCATAACCTAGGAAATTCCATATTTTTTATGACAGGGTCTCCATTTTTTAAATATTTGTCTCCTAAATACCCACACATTCCATTTTTTGGGATTGGTAGTTAATGATGATAGCAGATACTTACTATATGTATTTTTTGACATGAGCAGTTTTACATAATTCTTACCATTAGTACTGTGTGATTGATATTGTTATTATTTGGATAAGGAAACCTAAGTACAAAGAAATTTTAAATTAACTTGTCAGGGTCACACAGTTGGCAAGTGGATGGATGAGCAAGGATTCGAATCTAGACAGACTCTCCAGTGCCTTACCACATTTTATCCTCGCTGTATCAAGCCCCTCTACCCCTTCTCTCTTTCTCTCACAGTATTCATCCTCTTTCTATATCATAGTATCAGATTCTCACAGTGTCATAACCTCTTTCTATCAAAATATTTAAACCACACCCTCTTTCTCCTTCTCAAGAGAGATTGGTTTTATTTCATTCTCTAATGGTTGCATTATATTTTATTGTGTGGATATACCCTAATTAGCCATTGTTCAATTGATAGCTATTAAAATTTTTTTCCCTGCCAAACATTGTATATATGTGCTTTATCAGAATACAGTTTATAAAAGTAGAATTCTAGGGTTTAAACTTTAAACCTTGATATAGGAGAGCACTTTAAACCTTGATATAG
This sequence comes from Homo sapiens, assembly GCF_000001405.40. Taxonomy (NCBI): domain Eukaryota; kingdom Metazoa; phylum Chordata; class Mammalia; order Primates; family Hominidae; genus Homo; species Homo sapiens. Next base: position 119,998,956 of record NC_000003.12, on the reverse strand, counting down.
GCTGTCTTCCAGTTAGATTTTATCCATTTAAATGTACGTTATTTGAATATGAGTAATGCCCATTTCCTGTGTAGCCTTTAGATATTAGGAGTATTTTTATGTTTTTCAGTTCTGTAGGTGAAAAATTATTTTTATATTTTGTTACTTTCTTTTCTGTTTTAAATTTTTTGTAGAGACGCATCTCACTACATGGCCCAGGTTGGTCTTGAGCTCCTGGCCTAAACTGGTTCTCCCTCTTGGCTTCCTAAAGTGGTGGGATTATGGTCTGAATCATCATGCCTGGCCCTGAAAAATTATTTTAATTTACAACACCATTTTACATGTTGTGACCCTTTTTACCCCTTTTAGAGTGTGTGTCTTCCTTACTCATTTGTTAAAACCCATTTAAAATGTAATCTTGTAGAGCAACAAAGATTTTATTATCTCAGTGCTTCTGTGCGTTGGAAATTCAGGCATGGCTTAGCTAGGAACCTCTGGCCCAGGGCCTCTCACCAGACTGAATCCAGGCATCAGCTGGAGCTGCAGTCTCATCTGAAGGTTTGTCTGAAGGAGGAAATATCTGTCCCCAAGTGTACTATGTGATTGTTGGCAGACTTTGGTCCCTTGCCACATGGGCCTGTTCACTGGGCTTTCTGAGGTCTTACCAGTTAGCTTCCTACATGGCAAGGGAGCCACTGGAAAAACAGTAAGCCCAAGACAGAAACCACAGTTGTTTTTCTAACCTAATATTGGTGAGTTGATTAAACAAGGGTGTGAATACCAGGAGGCAGGTATCATTTAGGGCCATCCTAGAAGCTGCCTCCACAATAATATGAACCATCTGTCATCATCTCAAAGTGAGAAAAAATAATTTCAGTTTGTGTTGACTTTGCTTGTGATATCTTTTGCTTTTCAGATATTGTTGATTTGGGCTTTGGTATAATGCTGAGAAAGGGCCTGTTCTATCTTGCTTATAAATAATGTCGTTTTCTCTAGGAATTTTATTTTCACATATTTCTTTAATTTTTCTGGGGTTATATTTTGGGATGTAGTGTAAAGTAGTAATATAACTTAACCTTTCCCCAAGTAGTAGGTCATTGTCTCAGAAACCATTTTTATAAAGTTTATCCTTTTCCCACTGGTGGGCAAATGCCATTTTAAAAACCATGTATTATGTTACCATATATACATTGGATTTTCTTCTGGGTTTCCTTTTCTTTTCCGCTGATTTGTCCATTTTGGCTTATGTAACACTTCTCTGATGATGAGAACTAACAGCATATTTTGAGTGTTCCTTGTTTTTTCTCTTAAAAAAATCTGTGTATCAAATATCATCAGCCTGTGATGTTTCTCCTGCAACCCCAACAAAACAAAAACAAACTTTAGATTTGATTAAAATTGTGTAAAATTTGCAGATTAGTTGGGCAGAATGTGCAGATTTACAATATTCAGCCTTCCCATCCAGAAATGTGATAATTCTCAGCATTTAATCCATTTTTGATATAAAACTTTATAGTTATGTACGTTTTAAACTTTTCTTACTTTTTTAATCTAGATATGTGTAGTAATTTTTCTGTTGCTCTTGGGAATGGGAGTCTTCCTCCATGTAAATACATCTTCCATGTAAATGCAAGTCTTCCTCCATGTAAATACATCTTCCATGTAAATGCAAGTCTTCCTCCATGTAAATATGTCTTGTTTTAGGCATTTGAACACTGCCTCCTCCGTTGGTTTTGAACTTGGGCATCTTCTAGATGCATTTAATGTGCTGAGGCCCTTTAGTAGGGTACTTTACTATGTTGCTTTTCTAAATATTATTACATGTTCATTATAATTTTCTAGCTTACCTAGAAACCTGAGTTTAAAATGTTACTGGTGAACTAGAGTGTTTTTGTTGTTTTGTTTTCTGTTGTTAGATGAACAGTTTTTATTATGATTAGACACTGATTTTCATATAGGGTTTATGGTTTTTTTCCCTATGATCTAAATGTAATATATAAACATGATAATATTCAGTCGGTTTTGCTTTCTAATAATCCTGTTTGCTCCAGGTGTTTTAACATTGTGATTTTTTTTGGAGGTATTTTATGTATTAGTGCTTTCTTTTATTTTTTGTTTTTCTCAGTCAGACTTGCTATATAGCTTTGCTTTAGTTATCATCTCTTTTCAAGGAACCAGCTGTTCTACCTTTCTTCTAATCATTGTATCTTTCATCACTATTCCTTTTTAAGAAGGTTCTAAAGAAAGAATATGTCAAATACTTTGATTAAAGATTGAAAATATGTCCCTATGTAAATGAACTGTAGAACTCTGAAAACAAACATTTAAATAAAACTATTAATAAACAGTGAGACCCTTTCTTTTTTTATTAAAAAAAAAAACACTAAATAAAACTATTTATATTGGGTAGCATAGGGTAAAACACAGTAATACTTCTGATTGTCCTCACTGGGAATTTGAATACTTTTCATGTATTACAGAGAGGAACAAGTAACCTGGCTGAAAATAAAAGGATGTGAGTCAGGAAAATAAAATAATAAAGCAAGAGAGCACCCAAAGCCTTGGCTTGCAAGAAATTGTGTATTAGATACTATGGTTTTTATATGTACTTATTGACAGAGAAAGTGGGGATCTATTGCTTAGGTAACAAAATAGTAGATCTAATGTTTTATTATGATTTTTGTCCTTTTTTCATGTTTTGATGGAGAAGATGTACAGACAGTGGTTTAAGAATAACAAACACTTGAAACTTGCAACTTAGCCTATGCTAGGATTGTGTGGGTATTTCACCAATTAATTTAATAAATACAGAGTTTTGTCTAATGAGCGGTTTGAAAGTAATAATGTGCACACATAGCATTTTGTAGTTTAAAAATTAGTTTCATATACATAAATCATTTGATTTTTGCTACTTTTTATTTTGATATAATTTCAGGCTTAGGCCAGGAGTGGTGGCTCACGCTTGTAATCCCAGCACTTCAGGAGGCTGAGGCAGGAGGATCACTTGAGGTCAGGAGTTTGAGACCAGCCTGGCCAACATGGCAAAATCCCGTCTCTACTAAAAATACAAATATTAGCAAAGTGTGGTGGCACGTGCCTGTAGTCCCAGCTATTTGGAAGGCTGAGGCAGGAGAATTACTTGAACCTGGGAGGCAGAGGTTGCTGTGAGCCAAGATTGCGCCACTGCACTCTAGCCTGGGGGACAGAGTGAGACTCTGTCTCAAAAAAAAAAAAAAAAAATTATTTCAGGCTTAGGCCGGGTGCGGTGGCTCATGCCTGTAATCCCAGCACTTTGGGAGGCCGAGGCGGGTGGATCACGATGTGAGGAGATCCTGACCAATATGGTGAAACCCTGTCTCTACTAAAAAATACAGAAATTAGCTGGGCACGGTGACTGAGGCAGGAGAATCACTTGAACCCGGGAAGCGGAGGTTGCAGTGAGCTGAGATCGCGCCACTGCACTCCAGCCTGGTGACAGAGTGAGACTCCGTCTCAAAAAAAAAAAATAATTATTGTTTCAGGCTTAACATTGCCATTACTGTAAAGAACTTCCTTAAACCTTTTATCCAGATTTCCAAATATTAATATTTATCACACTCACTTTTGCAGTTTCTTCCTCTCTATATATATTATTTTTATTTTTTTCAGGTGAGATCTTGCCGTATAACCCAGGCTGGAGAGCGGTGGTAAAGTCACGGCTACTGCAGCCTTCAACTCCTAGGCTTTAGCGATTCTCCTACCTCAGCCTCCCAAGTAGATAACCATAGGTGTGCGCCACCACACCTGGCTAGTTTTTAATTTTTTTTTTTTTTTTTGTAGAGACAGTGTCTCCCTGTTTTGCCCAGGCTGGTCTCAAACTCCTGGGCTTAAGTGATCCTCCTGCCTTGGCCTTCTAAAGTACTGGGATTATAGACGTGTGTGCCAGGCTACACATATTATTTCCTGAAATGTTTGAGTGCAACTTTTAAGTATGAGGCTCTTTTATCCCTAAATTATTCAGTGTCTGTTTCCCAAACTCAAAAGACATTCGCTTATGTAACCACATAATAATTATAAAAAAATCAAGAAATTAACAATTATACAATACTATTATCTAATATGCAGGCTTTATTGAAATATCTCCAGTTGTTCCAAAAATGTCCATTGTGGCACAAGAAAATCCTGGGTCATGTGTTTAGTTGTGATATCTCTAGTCTTCTATACCAGGAAGAGTTCCTCACTTATTGTCTTTCATGACATTCATGTTTTTGAACAGTATAGGACAGCTATTTGGGTTTGTGTAATGTTTCTTCATAATTAGGTTCAGCATATTCATTTTTGGAAAGAATGTCATTGAAATGATTTTTTTCTTCTTAATGCATTATATCAGGAGACCCATGATGTCTGTCTAGTTAATGATGATATTCACTTCTATCACTTAGGGTAGTGTTTGCTAGGTTTCTTTACTGTAGAATTACGGTTTTTCTCTTCATAATTATAAGGAATATGTAGGAAAATACTTTTAGACTACATAAATAACCTTTTTCTCATCCAGCTTTTACCAACTAGTTTTAGTATGCATTAATGAGTTTTTGTTAGAATCAATTATTATAATAATGGCTACAAATGGTGATTTTCTAATTCTTTTTTTCTTTATTAATTAGATTCTACTCTAAGGATTATGAGGAAAGCTTTTCCCTTCTCTCATTTAATTTTATATATCATACGGACTCATTGACTCTCATTTAATTGTATATATCATATGGACTCATTGACTCTCATTTTATTAAATGGGTTATAATCTTTGGTCATTTATTTTGATACTCAGATTGCTTCAGGCCAGGTGCAGTGGCTCACACCTGTAATCCCAGCACTTAGGGCGGCCGAGGCGGGCGGATCACGAGGTCAGGAGATTGAGACCATCCTGGCTAACATGGTGAAACCCCGTCTCTACTAAAAAATAGAAAAAAATAGCTGGGCATGGTGGCGGGTGCCTGTAAGGGAGGCTGAGGCAAGAGAATGGCCCAGGAGGTGGAGCTTGCAGTGAGCTGAGATTGCATCACTGCACTCCAGCCTGGGTGACAGAGCAAGACTCTGTCTCAAAAAAAATTGCTTCAGATTTGGTCAGCGAAAGCCCTTTCAAGCTGGATCTAGATCCCCTTAGCCAGTAGAACTAGAGAATAGGTGTATGTGTGTGCACATGTGTGCAAGCATATTCACACGTTTTTTTCTGTATTTCTTTCTATTAAAAATTAATACTTTTAATTGCAGAGCAACATCACAGAGTTCACTCTAGCCTTCTTTATTTCTATATTTGTAACTCCTCTTTCTGAACTGAGAAAACCTAGCTGCTGTTATCCACAATATATTTACTTATTTGCTCAATCCTAGAATTTACAAGCTAGTTTCAGAGCTGCTAACTCATATCCCTGGGGGCAGAGTTGGACTTACTAAGAGTTCACTGTTTATGTTTTTTATCTTTAGCTTGAAAGGCATATGGATTTTATATTATATTCAAAAAGTATTTGGGTTTTTCTTTTTTTTTAATTTTAATTTTTTCCTGTAGCATAGACTATTAATTTGAAGTAGTTAGGTTCATCTGTTTCTGTATGTATCGCTTCTTAGAACTTCACCCCCTTTCTTTTTGATTAAAAAAATTATTTATGTTTTCATTCTGTGAAACACTAACATGGTTCCAAAAGTCAGAAATCTAGTGTCATTTCTTTTCGATTCTTTCTATTTTATTTCCACTCACTCCCTGTAGATGGCCAACCTCATTATGTTCTGGCTTACTTTTCCTCAGTTTTGTTTTACACATACCTGCTCGTTTGTGCATTTTCTTTTTTTTTTTTTCTTCCTTACACAGGAGGTAGCATATTGGAGACACTCTTTTGTACTTTGCTTTTTCTTTAAGCTATATTTCCTGGCAATCATTGCATATCAGTTCAGAGATTTTTTTTTTTTTCATCCTTTTTACAGCTGCTAAATGCCCCTCCATAAAGGTTATACCAATTTGCATTCTCTCTAGTTAAGTATGAGTGCCTGTTGGTCCATAGTTTTGGCTATAAAAGTTGCCTTACTTTTTAAATTTTTGCTAATCTCATAGGTGAGAAATGGTATCTCATTATAGTTTTAATTTACAATCTTCCTATTTTGAGTACACTTTAACATCTTTTCATGTATTCAAGGTCCATTTTATTTGTTTTTGTGAGTCTGTATGAATTGTCCTTTTTTTGGTCCATTTTAAAAATGTGATTTTGATTTTTCCCAATCAACCCTGAAGAGTACTTTATTATGGAATTTATATTAGGTGTGATATGTGTAATTTTTACTTTGTGTATGGTAGTTTTTTTTTTCTGATATGTAAGAGTCCTTCCTTCCCTCTATGCAGTTGAATTTATTGCTCTTTTATCTGGATTTTGTGTTATGGTTATAAAGCTTTCCAGCTATCCTCAGGTTAAAGAGGAAGTCATCTATATTTTCCTCTAGTAGTTATCAGGGTTCAGTTTTTGCATTTAGATCCCTGATCCATTTGGAGTTTATTCCTATTATGGTATGAATTATTGATCTAATTTTATCTTTTCTAAATCATTAACTACTTGTCTGGGTACAATTTAGTAGAAGACTATCTTTGTTCCAGTTATTTGAGATGTTACTGTTATTATATGCTAAATTTCTACATGTACTTGGCTCTATTTCTGGACTTTCCATTTTATTCCACTAAGCTGTTTGCATATTCATGTGTCACTACTATACCGTTTTGATTATAGAGACTTTATAGTATGTTTTAATGTCTGATAGGGTTAATATGCCCTTGTAGCTTTTCTTTTTGGTGTTTTCCTACCTATTTTTACATGTTTATTTTTCTATATGAACTTTGGCATCAGTTTATCTAACTTTATAAAAAAAGTGTTGATCTTTTAAATTGGGATTTTATTTATAAATTAATATAGGAAGAACTGATATATTTGTGAGCTTGAATTATCTTAGCCAGGAATAAGAAATATTTTTCCATTTGTTCAAATCTACTTTTATGTCTTTCAGAAGTTTTGGCTTAGTCAGGCTTTAGAAATTTCTTAAGTTTATTCTTAAGTATTTTATTGTTTTTGTTGCTATTGTATAGTTTTTCTTGTTTTTTATTCTACATGTTAAAAAGTGATGGACTGCTTTATACCAAGCTCGGTTTTTTTCCTTGTATCACCCTTCCTTTGTGGAATTTAAGTATTCTTTGTTGTGGCCAAAAAATAAAATTTGATATATTGACCTATTTGTTTCTCTTGATTATCATAAAATAGGAATTTCTCTGACAACTTAAAAGTCTGTAGTTTTAAAATCTGTGATTTACATAGCTGCTGTTTGGGATTGCCTTAAATTATTAGGTGTTTCCAGCAGAAGGTTGAAATAGGATCTTCTCCTTGTTCAATTAAATAAACCAACCTGCGAAATCTCCTAATGGCAGTGAGAGGCTTTTTTTTTTTTTTTTTTTTTGGTGAATAGTAAAGATGAGAGATAATGGTCAAAGATAAAAAGAAAACCAAGAATAATTATCCCTGTGTGCCAGGAGTCACATAAACTGTACCTAAGACACTGGGCTTTTTAAAAGAATTTCTGGTATAATCTTCATTTCAGTGGTATTTTATTTTTTTCCCACTGTTGTCCATCATACTGTGACAGAGTACTTAAACTATCTTAACTTGGGCAGTTTGGAAGTGCTTGTGATAGGAAATATTTGTGTTGTGGGGATAAAGATTGGGTAGGTACCTAATTAATGTAGGAGACCTGTACTGTTGTAACAGGGAGAACATCAGTCAATCCCAAACCTCCTTATGGTTTGTTGAGGCTGACTGTTCCAACTTGAAAATCAGTAAGTTGCATGTTTATTAGTGATCTTGGCTTCATTTACTATTCATTTCTCCTTTGAAGTGAGTCATAGGTTTCAAGTCTCCTGCCTAGTTTCACTTGTTCTGTAATTGGGATATAGAGGGATAGGGATGTGAGGTATCACTATTGTTAGGTTGTGAATGGAGAGCATAGTCTACTTTTAATACCATTTTATTTATTTATTTATTGGAGACAGAATTTCACTCTTGTTGCCCAGGCTGGAGTGCAATGGTGCAATCTTGTCTCACTGCAACCTCCGCCTCCTGGGTTCAAGCAATTCTCCTGCCTCAGCTTCCCAAGTAGCTGGGCTTGCAGGCATGCGCCACTACTCCTGGATAATTTTGTATTTTTAGTAGAGATGGGGTTTCACCATGTTGGTCAGGCTGGTCTCGAACTCCTGACCTCAGGTGATCCACCCACCTCAGTCTCCCAAAGTGCTGGGATTACAATTGTGGGCCACCGCGCTTGGCTTAATACCATTTTAATACCTGCTTTTATAGCATTTTGGAGAATGAGGAAAGATGATGTCTGTTTTTGATCCTTAAGGATATGAGTATTCTCTGAATATATTCTGGAGACAGTGCCAGAGGAAGATTTTGGTCTTACTTAATAATTTTGAAAGCTTGAGCATATCTATTGTAAGAGTTAAAGAAAGAGGAAAGAAACACGAAATGTGGCTGGCAGTTAAAGACAAGTTCACTTTAGACAAAACCTGAGAGGTGCTCCTGGCTGATTTTGATCAGGAGCGCTTTCTCTTACAGACTAAGAGTATATATTGGTTTTAGGGTGAGGGGGCTTATCACAAGATTGGAATGTTTATGTGTGTGGAGAAGTTTATGGTGGGGTTAGAATCTCTCTGGGAGGAGGGGAGGTTATCTTGGGGCAGACATCTTTCCGGCCAGGAGGGGTGTTATCTCGGGGCTAGCATCTTTCCAACTGGAGCGGGGTTTATTTCGGGGCTAGCATGTCTCTGGTCAGGGAGGAGTTTGGAATGTTTCTGGTTGGAGATGTTATTTGTGGTTTATGGTCATGCTGACCTTAGCCATTAGGCTGATGCCCTTTGAATTTAGGCAGTTTTTTATTAAGGTGAATTTTAGAATGAGGGGCTTGTCCAAGATGGCGATGCTCCTACTCTGTCAATCCAGACCCTATAATTTGAGGAGGGACGGCGTGTTCTTCTGGCTACTTCCTGCTGACTAGGGGATGGAGAGTTTTCTGGTCTCAGGTTGACTGTAGGAGCAATGACATCTGTAGATGTTTTTGGGTAGTTGTCTGTGAAATGGCCATGATCCTGTCAGATAAAAATCTTTGAAAAAGGTTAATTGGGCAGGGTAAGAACATTAGTCCCAGGCATATTATTAGAAGGGGGCTCAGGAATGGGATGACACATGCTATGATTTTGTTTCCAAACCAAGAATCTGTTTGGTTGTTTAGATATTTCCTTAGCTTTTTATTTCCTTTTTTTTTTTTTTGGAGTCAGACTCTTGCTCCGTCACCCAGACTGGAGTACAGTGGCGCAATCTCAGCTCAATGCAACCTCCAACTCCCAGGTTCAAGCAGTTCTCCTGTCTCAGCCCCCGAGTAGCTTGGGACTACAGGCGCCTGCCTGTACGCCCGGCTAATTTTTGTATTTTTTAAGTAGAGATGGGGTTTCACCTTGTTGGTCAGGGTGGTCTTGAACTCCTGGCTTCAGGTGATACATGTGCCTCAGCCTCCCAAAATGCTGGGATTACAGGCGTGAGCTACTTCACCTAGCAAGATTTCTTATTTCTTTACATTGATATTTATGACTTTTGGGGGCTGTCAGGGGTTGCTTCCTTAGCTTTCCAGGCTTTGACTTGAGTGTGATGTATTTAGGAGTTGATTCCTGTAACAGGTACCATTTTAATTACCCTGGGTTCCGTGGATTCACTAGACATGGGGGTGAAGGATTCTGGGCACCCTCAGTTATTAGTTGTCAGCACCAGCAGTGAAGAGATTTCCTTCTGTGATGGTCGGGGAGCTTAGAGGCAGCGTCTGCTGAAACATCTAGTTTTCAGTTTATAGGGCTTTAAGAAAGCCCGACTTATTTTGGAAACTTGTAGCCAGAAAAATTAGAATTTAATTTAAGCAGTAGAAAATAATAAAAACTGAAAAATGTTAGGCAACACTAGAATTTAACAACAGGTGTGCTATGGTTTTTTAAATATAATTTTCTTTTTCCAGTTTCCCATTTTTATTAAAAGACAAATCATGGTAGGAATGGTTTGCTTTATTATACTTGGCTTAATTATTTGCATACAGTGCAGCAAGAATAATTATTTGTTACATAGGCCTTTTAAATTGGCTTTGATGGAACTTTGTTCTGTAGAAGGAATCTGAGAGAAAACCGTTTTAGCCAAGCCCAGCCCTGGATTTGTACTATCAAATATCTATGAGTTGGTGAATTTCTTTCCTCTTGAGGTCCCAAGATAACTTGGTATTCCTGGTCTGCTAGAAAGTGACATTCTTTACTTACCATAGACCAGAAACCCTGTACAGGGACTGTGTACACAAAATATGAGGCCAGTTTTCCAAGGGCATTTTTGCCTTTGTAAGTATGGTTCCTTAAAGGAAAGCATATTATTCCAGTTAAAGCCTTTGTAAAAATAACCAGTTTTTCCAATTCTGTCCTGTTACAAAAGAAAACAGATTTTTAGTGCACTTATGCAAGTACTGTAACTTAAGAATACTCACAGATAGTTTCAAAATTATGGAGAAAATCAGGTAGAGAGAAACAAGTATGTTCCAAATTTTGTTCATGGTAGTATAGTAAATTGTTAAAAGCTGTTAATAGCTCAAAAGAAAAATTTCTTTGACTTTGAAAAGCAAAACAAAGGATTAGCAATATGTTAAAACATTAAAAAGATTGGTCTCCTGTTAGTTTAGTTCATGGAATTAATTCCTGTCATGCTCAATATTAACATTTTATCTCTTCAAAAGTCCTGAACGTTTTTCCTCTATTCTGATGTTACAGTCTCCAGTGTTATCAGAAACCTGCATTTAAGAGCACCTGTTAGAGCTTTATAGCTGATTATAAAACCACCTTTTAAAGAGGACCAAAACAAGGCAACAATTGTTTATGGATGACAAAAAGTTTTAGGGTAGCCATAAAGACACAATTGACAAGGATGACACACAATAATTTTAACATAACGATTGTAATTATTACTGAAAATGTACACTAATATATATCAGAATTATAGGAGTCTTCCATAACTTTGGAACACATATGAGTAACATACAAATATAGACCAAAGAAAGCCAAATACCGTTTTATATTTGACAATGCTTCTTGTATGATTTTATACCAGATAAGCTAAATTTCACCTTTCTATTAGTGTGCTATTAATGTTAAACTCAATTTTAATAAGACCTTGTAGGCATATTTATCCAATTTTAATATCTGACCATAAGGTAAGATTTTTATAGACTTTTTTTAATGCTTTATAAGTTTTGTTAAAGAACAGGTTAGTGCTTTAAGAAAAACCCATTGTGCTTTTGTTTTAATGCCCAATTTACAGAAAAACTGGATGATACCCCTTTAACTTTACCAATATGTTTACACACAGAATTTCCTTTATAATTAACGTTTCAAAACTTGCTTAAACCTTCAAAACAATTTTTTAACTTTTTAATGTAGGTAAAAATCCACATTCTTATGCCTCCTTATAATCCTTTTACGAAAAGTATATTTTACTTTCCTTACACACCTTGCATATAAACTGTTTTTTCAATAGCTTTAAATACATGTTACACCATTAACTTTTATTATTATACTTTAAGTTCTAGGGTACATGTGCACAACGTACAGGTTTGATACATAGGTATACATGTGCCATGTTGGTTTGCTGCACCCATCAACTCATCATTTACATTAGGTATTTCTCCTAATGCTATCCCTCCCCGCAGTCCCTCATCCCCTTACAGTCCCCAGTGTGTGATGTTCCCTGCCCTGTGTCCAAGTGATCTCATTGTTCAATTCCCACCTGTGAGTGAGAACATGCGGTCTTTGGTTTTAGGTCCTTGTGATAGTTTGCTGAGAAGGATGGTTTCTAGCTTCATCTGTGTCCCTGCAAAGGACAGGAACTCATCCTTTTTTATGGCTGCATAGTATTCCATGCTGTATATGTGCCACATTTTCTTAATCCAGTCTATCATTGATGGACATTTGCGTTGGTTCCAAGTCTTGTGAATAGTGCCACAATAAACAAACGTGTGCATGTGTCTTTATAGTAGCATGATTTATAATCCTTTGGGTATATACCCAGTAATGGGATTGCTGGGTCAAATGGTAATTCTAGTTCTAGATCCTTGAGGAATCCCCATACTGTCTTCCACAATGGTTAAACCAATTTACACTGCCACCAACAGTGTATAAGCATTCCAGTTTCTCCACATCCTCTCCAGCATCTGTTGTTTCCTGACTTTTTAACGACCGCCATTCTAACTGGCGTGAGATGGTATCTCATTGTGGTTTTGATTTGTGTTTCTCTGATGACCAGTGATGATGAGCATTTTTTCGTGTGTCTGTTGGCTGCATAGATGTCTTCTTTTGACAAGTTTCTGTTCATATCTGTTGCCCACTTTATGATGGGGGTTGTTTTTTTTTTTGTAAATTTGTTTGAGTTATTTGTAGATTCTGGATATTAGCCCTTTGTCAGATGGATAGATTGCAAAAATTTTCTCCCATTCTGTAGGTTGCCTGTTCATTCTGATGGTAGTTTCTTTCACCGTGCAGAAGTTCTTCAGTTTAATTGATCCCATTTGTCTATTTTGGCTTTTGTTGCCATTGCTTTTGGTATTTTAGTCATGAAGTCCTTGCCCATAACTATGTCCTGAATGATATTGCCTAGGTTTTCTTCTAGGGTTTTTATGGTTTTAGGTCTAATATTTAAGTCTTTTATCCATCATGAATTAATTTTTCTATAAGGTGTAAGGAAGGGGTCCAGTTTCAGTTTTCTGCATATGGCTAGCTAGTTTTCCCAGCACCATTTATTAAATAGGGAATCCTTTCCCCATTTCTTGTTTTTCTCAGGTTTGTCAAAGATCAGATGGTTGTAGATGTGTGGTATTATTTCTGAGGGCTCTCTTCTGTTCCATTGGTCTATATATCTGTTTTGGTACCAGTACTATGCTGTTTTGGTGACTGTAGCCTTGTAGTATAGTTTGAAGTCAGGTAGCATGATGCCTCTAGCTTTGTTCTTTTTGCTTAGGATTGTATTGGCAATTCAGGCTCTTTTTTGATTCAATATGAAGTTTAAAGTAGTTTTTTCCAATTCTGTGAAGAAAGTCATTGGTAGCTTCATGGGGATGACATTGAATCTATAAATTACTTTGGGCAGTATGGCCGTTTTCACCATATTGATTTTTCCTATCCATGAGCATGGAATATTCTTCCATTTGTTTATGTCCTCTTTTATTTCGTTGAGCAGTGGTTTGTAGTTATTCTTGAAGAGGTCCTTCACATTCTTTGTAAGTTGTATTCCTAGGTATTTAATTCTCTTTGTAGCAATTGTGAATGGGAGTTCACTCATGATTTGGCTCTCTGTTGGTCTGTTATTGGTGTCTAGGAATGCTTGTGATTTTTGCACGTTGATTTTGTATCCTGAGACTTTGCTGAAGTTGGTTATCAGCTTGAGATTTTGGGCTGAGACGGTGGAGTTTTCCAAATATACAATCATGTCATCTGCAAACAGGGACAATTTGACTTCCTTGTTTCCTAATTGAATGCCCTTTATTTCTTTCTCTTGCCTGATTGCCCTGACCAGAACTTCCAACACTATGTTGAATAGGACTGGTGAGAGAGGGCATCCTTGTCTTGTGTTGGTTTTCAAAGGGAATGCTTCCAGTTTTTGCCCATTCAGTATGATATTGATTGTGAGTTTGTCATAAATAGCTCTTATTTTGAGATACGTTCCATCAATACCTCGTTTATTGAGAATTTTAGCATGAGGGGCTGTTGAATTTTGTCGAAGGCCTTTTCTGCATCTATTGAGATAATCATGTGGTTTTTGTCTTTGGTTCTGTTTATGTGATGGATTACGTTTGTTGATTTGCATATGTTGAACCAGCCTTGCATTCCAGGGATGAAGCCTGCTGGATCGTGGTGGATAAGCTTTTTGATGTGCTGCTGGATTCAATTTGCCAATATTTTATTGAGGATTTTTGCATCAATGTTCATCAGGGATATTGGTCTAAAATTCTCCTTTTTTTGTTGTGTCTCTGCCAGGTTTTGGTATCAGGATGATGTTGGCCTCATAAAATGAGTCAGGGTGGATCCCCTCTTTTTCTATTGATTGAAATAGTTTCAGAAGGAATGGTGCCAGCTCCTCTTTGTACCTCTGGTCCTGGACTTTTTTTGGTTGGTAGACTATTAATCATTGCCTCAATTTCAGAGCCTGTTATTGGTCTATTCAGAGATTCAACTTCTTCCTGGTTTATTCTTGGGAGGGTGTATGTGTCCAGGAATTTATCTGTTTCTTCTTGATTTTCTAGTTTATTTGCATAGAGGTGTTTATAGTATTCTCTGATGGTAGTTTGTATTTCTGTGGGATCGGTGGTGATATCCCCTTTATCATTTTTTATTGCGTATATTTGATTCTTCTCTCTTTTCTTCTTTATTAATCTTGCTACCGGTCTATCAATTTTGTTGATCTTTTCAAAAAACCAGCTCCTGGATTCATTGATTTTTTTTTTTTTTTAAGGTTTTTCTGTGTCTCTATCTCCTTCAGTTCTGCTCTGATCTTAGTTATTTCTTGCCTTTTGCTAGCTTTTGAATTTGTTTGCTTTTGCTTGTCTAGTTCTTTTAATTGTGATGTTAGGGTGTCAATTTTAGATCTTTGCTGCTTTATCTTGTGGCCATTTAGTGCTATAAATTTCCCTCTACACACTGCTTTAAATGTGTTCCAGAGATTCTGGTATGTTGTGTCTTTGTTCTCATTGGTTTCAGAGAATATCTTTATTTCTGCCTTCATTTTATTATGTACCCAGTAGTCATTCAGGAGCAAGTTGTTCAGTTTCCATGCAGTTGTGCAGTTTTGAGTGAGTTTCTTAATCCTGAGTTCTAATTTTATTGCACTGTGGTCTATGAGACAGTTTGTTGTGCTTTCTGTCCTTTTACATTTGCTGAGGAGTGCTTTACTTCCAATTATGTGGTCAGTTGTAGAATAAGTGCAGTGTGGTGCTGAGAAGAATGTATATTCTGTTGATTTTGGGTGGAGAGTTCTGTAGATGTCTATTAGGTCTGCTTGTTGCAGAGCTGAGTTCAGGTCCTGGATATGCTTGTTAACCTTTTGTAGTTGATCTTTCTAATGTTGACAGTGGGGTGTTAAAGTCTCCCATTATTATTGTGTAGGAGTCTAAGTCTCTTTGTAGGTCTCCAAGGACTTGCTTTATGAATCTGGGTGCTCCTGTATTGGGTGCATATATCTTTAGGATAGTTAGCTCTTCTTGTTGAATTGACTCCTTTACCATCATGTAATGGCTTTCTTTGTCTCTTTGATCTTTGTTGGTTTAAAGTCTGTTTTATCAGAGACTAGGATTGCAACCCCTGCTTTTTTTTTTTTCTCTCCATTTGCTTGGTAAATCTTCCTCCATCTCTTTATTTTGAGTCTGTGTGCGTCTTTGCATATGAGATGGGTCTCCTGAATACAGCACACTGATGGGTCTTGACTCTTTATCCAATTTGCCAATCTGTGTCTTTTAATTGGGGCATTTAGCCTGTTTACATTTAAGGTTAATATTGCTATATATGAATTTGTTCCTGTCATTATGATGTTCGCTGGTTATTTTGCCCATTAATTGATGCAGTTTCTTCATAGCATCAGTGGTCTTTACAATTTGGCATGTTTTTGCAGTAGCTGGTACCAGTTGTTCCTTTCCATGTTTAGTTCCTCCTTCAGGAGCTCTTGTAAGGCAGGCCTGGTGGTGACAAAGTCTCTCAGCATTTGCTTGTCTGTAAAGGATTTTATTTCTCCTTCACTTATGAAGCTTAGTTTGGCTGGATATGAGATTCTGGGTTGAAAATTCTTCTTTAAGAATTTTGAATATTGGCCTCCACTTTCTTCTGGCTTGTAGGGTTTCTGCCGAGAGATCCACTGTTAGTCTGATGGCCTTCCGATTGTGATTAACTCGACCTTTCTCTATGGCTGCCCTTAACAGTTTTTCCTTCATTTCAACCTTGGTGAATCTGTCAATTATGTGTCTTGGGGTTGCTCTTCTCTTGGAGTATCTTTGTGGTGTTCTCTCTATTTCCTGAATTTGGATGTTGGCCTGCCTTCCTAGGTTAGGGAAGTTCTCCTGGATAATATCCTGCAGAGTGTTTTCCAACTTGGTTCCCTTCTCCCCATCACTTTCTACACCAATCAAACGTAGATTTGGTCTTTTCACATAGTCCCATATTTCTTGGAGGCTTTATTCATTTCTTTTCAGTCTTTTTTCTCTAACCTTCTCGCTTTATTTCATTAATATGATCTTCAGTGACTGATACCCTTTCTTCCACTTGATCGAATCAGCTATTGAAGCTTGTGCATATGTCATGACGTTCTTGTGCCATGATTTTCAGCTCCATCAGTTTATTTAATGTCTTCTCTACACTGTTTATTCTAGTTAGCCATTAGTCTAATCTTTTTTCAAGGTTATTAGCTTCCTTGCGATGGGTTTGAACATTCTCCTTTAACTCGGAGAAGTCTGTTATTACCGACCTTATGAAGCCTACTTCTGTCAACTCGTCAAAGTCATTCTCCTTCCAGCTTTTTTTCTGTTGCTGGCGAGGAGCTGCCATCCTTTGGAGGTGAAGAGGTGCTCTGATTTTAGAATTTTCAGCTTTTCTGCTCTGGTTCTCCTCATCTTTGTGGTTTTATCTACCTTCGTTCTTTGATGTTGGTGACCTACAGATGGGGTTTTGGTGTAGATGTCCTTTTTGTTGATGTTGATGCTATTCCTTTCTGTTTGTTTGTTTTCCTTCTAACAGATCCCTCAGCTGCAGGTCTGTTGGAGTTTGCTGGAGTTCCACTCCAGACCCTGGTTGCCTGTGTATCACCAGCAGAGGCTGCAGAACAACAAATACTGCAGAACAGCAAATATTGCTGCCTGATCTTCCTCTGGAAGCTTCGTCACAGCGGGGCAGCTGCCTATATGAGGTGTCTGTTGGCCCCTACTGGGAGGTATCTCCCAGTTAGGCTATACGGGGGTCAGGGACCCACTTGTGGAGGCAGTCTGTCTGTTCTCAGAGCTCAAATGCCGTGCTGGGAGGAACCACTGCTCTCTTCAGAGCTGTCAGATAGGGACGTTTATGTCTGCAGAAGTTGTCTGCTGCCTTTTATTCAGCTATGCCTTGCCCACAGAGGTGGAGTCTAGAGGCTGTAGGTGTTGTTGAGCTGTGGTGGGCTCTGCCCAGTTCGAGCTTCCCGGCCACTTTTTTTACCTACTCAAGCCTCAGCAATGGCAGACACCCTTCCCCAGCCAGGCTGCCGCCTGACAGATCGATCTCAGACTACTGCGCTAGCAGTGAGCAAGGCTCCGTGGGCGTGGGACCCGCCGAGCCAGGCACGGGAGAGAATCATCTTGTCAGCGGGTGCTAAGACCTTGGGAAAAGTGCAGTATTTGGGTGGGTAGTTTCCCATTTTTCCAGGTAGTCTGTCATGGCTTCCCTTGGCTAGGAAAGGGAAACCCCCGACTCCTTGCGCTTTGTGGGTGATGCAACGCCCCACCCTGCTTCAGCTTGCCCTCCATGGGCTGCACCCACTGTCCAACCATTCCCAATGAGATGAACCAGGTACCTCAGTTGGAAATACAGAAATTAGCCGTCTTCTGCGTCGATCATGCTGGGAGCTGCAGACAGGAGCTGTTCCTATTCGGCCATCTTGGCTACGCTGTTAACTTTTAGTAAACTTTACTTTTGTTGAAAACCTTGTAAGTTTGGGATTTTAATTATGTGCTAGGTGTAGAGCCCAGGACCTAGAAAGAAGTGCAGTTAAATGTTCTAGCATTTAACTCCACGTGTCGTAGGTTTTACCTAGCTGCAAAGCAGGCCAGTTGTCCAGCTAAGAGTTACAGTGACATTTTATAAAGCATTCAGGAGGCCTAATTACTTTTAAATTATACAACATTTCTTGTATAAATTCCCTTTTATAACATTTTTCATGACTTTCACAGACAATCCTTGACATGCCTCAACTTTCTGACTTGTAAACATCTCTTTCTTTAAACAACCAGTTAACTTAGGACAAGAATTTACCATATAAGATTCTTTTTCCATAACTTCTCCTTTCTTTAATGTCACAGATGATAACCATTCTTTCCCAAAGCAAACTTCCTTCATGTTTGTGGACTAGACTGCCTAAGCCACAAGATTAGAAGCTAAGATATTTTACTAAATAGTTTAAGATACAGCTATCTTCATTAAACCAATATTAATATTTCATTTATTAAAAAATTACACAAGGCTGGGTGCGGTGTCTCACGCCTGTAATGCCAGCACTTTGGGAGGCCAAGACGGGTGGGTTACCTGAGGTTGGGAGTTTGAGACTAGCCTGACCAACTTGGAGAAACCCCATCTCTACTAAAAATACAAAAAATTCCCCGGGCGTGGTGGCACATGCCTGTAATCCCAGCTACTTGGGAGGCAGAGGCAGGAGAATGGCTTGAACCCATGAGGCAGAGGTTGTGGTGAGCTGAGATTGTGCTATTGTACTTCAGCCTGGGCAACAAGAGCGAAACTCTGTCTTAAAAAAAAAAATGACACAAGCAAAGATGATTTTGTTTGGGCTGAGTTAGTTTTGCAGCCTCTATGCAAAATGTTGACACCTTACAGTATTTGGCCGAGAAAAGTATGAATTTGCCTGATTAACAAATGCAAACAAAAAGGTATGCTGGCAACTTTTAAGATACTTCTAACTTTAGTGTACCAGTAAGATTTAAAGATTAAGGTCACGTGAACTGAAAGGTCCCACAGCTTTTACTTTTCCCTTAAAAATATTTGATTTAAGTGCTTAGTTTTCTTAGGCCAATTAATTAGAGCTCTTTTAATAGACATTGCACAGACAACACATATATAGCCACACAGACAACCAGAAGAAGATTCAGTAGCTATAACGTTTTTTTTTTCTCTCTGCTAATTTCCCAATTGGATTATTGACCTTCAGGTGAGGCCCTTGAAGAACAGGACTAGGAAAACAGTTTCCAGGGTCTAATAAACAGGTATAGCTGGAAGACAAATACAAAGATTTTGAGAGGTACTTATTTACCTCTAATTCCACGGTTTCCATAAGGAAAACAGATTTTTCCCCAAAATGGGATTTGTGGTGCCTTTTCTCTTTTCCAAAGGAATCCCAGGGCACCAGAAGTCATTTTAGGGTTTTTTACATATGCACCAAGAGTTGCAAGACACAGTGAAGAAAAGTAATTGAGTTAACTGGGGGAAAACCTTTTCCAGGAAAATAAGATTGATGAAGAGAAAACTATAAAGACCTTTTGAATATACTCATAGTTTTGATCTGTGACAAGTCAGACATGGAGAAAGAGACATGAACATGAGCAGTGCCTTTAACTCCAGCCACTTCCCAGAGAGGGAGAATGGCAGAGGTGGTTTTTGAATGGGTAACAGGTGGAGGAGGAGGAGGAGTGGGGTTTGGGGCTGAAGGCTTGGAGGCAGGTAGGGCCACCAGGGTGGAGGGTTTGGACAGGCTAGGAGCAGATGCAGGGGGATAAGAATACAGAGAGGGTTCATCTGCAGGGTCAAAAGGAGTTTCGGAGGAAGGAGAGACCCGGAGAGGGTTTTTAATAAGAAGAAAGATTTTATAAGAGGTACAAGCTTGACACAGGTAGGGTTGGGATTTAAGGTAGAAGTAGAAGAAGGCCTGAATATAGAGAACCTCTTGCCATTTGCCATTCCTGGTCATAAAGTTGTGAAGTTCCTGAGAATTTGCAAGTTAAAGATGCCATTTTCGGACCATGGGCTGCCATTATCTAATGTGTTTTGGGGCCAGGCTGTGTTACAGTAAAAGACTAAACACTTAAGCCAACTTTGGCGAGGTCATGAAGGAGACAGCACAGTGGAGAGACCGTAGGAATGTGGAATTGTTTGGCACCCATGTGGACTGGTGAGAAGAAGCCGAGGGTGTCTGTTTTTGTTCTAGGCATCCCCAGACAAAAGACAGAAGTCCGGAATCGTCTTTCTGAAGAGGACAGTCATCAAGCTGAGAAGAAACTGGGCATCCCCAAGATTTCCTCTAGCTTAGTCCTGCTGGTCCTCTGAGGACCGGGATGGCTGACCTGACTTTTCCTGGGTACTGCAAGAAAGCCAGGGGACGGCAGATCTTACCAGTTGGCTGGATTAGTGTCCAATGTTGGATGTTCCGGTTGGATTTGGCAAAGGGCCTCCTGGACTGCAGCCGCACGAGGGAGAGAGAGAGAGGAAGAAAAAAAAAGGGAGGATGAGGGAAAAGTGAAGTGAGAGAAAAGATGGGGCATGTGGCCAGAGACCCTCAGGATCCAGGAATTAACTCAAGATGAGCTGCTGTTGCCCACTGCTTCCTGGGTTGCAAGAGAGCCTCTGCCCCCAGCACTCATCCCGGGTTTGGGCACCAAATGTAAGAGTTAAAGAAAGGAAAGAAACACAAAACGCGGCTGGCAGTTAAAGACAGGTTTATTTTAGACAAAACCTGAGAGGCACTCCTGGCCGATTTCGTTAAGAAGTGTTTCCTTTTACAGACTAAGAATATATATTGGTTTTAGGGCGAGGGGGCTTATCACAAGCTTGGAATATTTATGTGTGTGGAGAATTTTATGGCGGGGTTGGAATCTCTTTGGGAGGAGGGGAGGTTATCTTGGGGCAGACATCTTTCCGGCCCAGAGAGGGGTTTATTTTGAGGCTAGTATGTCTCTGATCTGGGAGGAGTTTGGAATGTTTCAGGTTGGTGATGTTGTTTGTGGTTTATGGTCATGCTGACCTTAGCCATTAGGGGGATGCCCTTTGGATTTAGGCAGTTTCTTATTAAGGTGAATTTTAGAATGAGGGGCTTGTTCAAGATGGTGATGTTCCTGCTCTGTCATCTGTGAAATTTATGACCCTCAATTTCACTGCCTGTAAAATGGGGACGGTACTAATACAGCAATGCCCAGCCCAGTGTTTGGTACATAAAGGAACTCAGTAAACATTATTGTGCTGCCTTTTTTCTCTTCTTCAGTGTTTTGTGAATCAAATGGAACAAAGTTTTATGACAACATTTTCTAAGTTTTAAAACTCCTTATAACTAAACTCTTTGTTTTTATTCTTAAGGTTGTAAGTTACTACACACTGCTATACGTCAAATTTTTTCCCCCTATTGGTTTTATACTCTCTTAAATTTGGTAATTCTGTTTTCAGGCACCTAATTATTAGTATTTTATATAGCCATTTAAGTCACTTGTAAAAAATCTATTTGCTGATAAAACCGATAGAAACTTGAAAGAAATAGTAATCTTTGTGCTATGTGTAGCACTGTTCTTTAAGTCATGGAAATTTGTAGTTTTCAAGTGGAGGCTATAATTAGGTGGAAGAAAAGGGAAGGACAGCTACAAGTTGGATAGGAAAAGTGTTACATTGCCAGTACAGCTCTAAGAAAGTAACAGCATGGCAATGGGAGTCCTCAAACCAAAGTTACCAAGTCAGAGGAGTTCAGTTTTTCCTGGGAAAAGGTCTCCATTAAGTATGCCTGCTGTTCTCAGTCATATAGGCTGGGAATCTTTGCCTGTCCCCAGCAAGAGAATGGATTTGATAGGTCAGCAGTTGGGACCATTGATAATGATGTTCCTTGCAGTGGGAAACCTGAGAGGCAGGTTTTCATACAAAGTTTCATTAAAACTTTCATACAGAGTTTCTTAAGGATACAGACTGTTTTATGCTGCTTTTATAGTTTCTGAAGAGCCTAGGTAGGTTAAATACATTTTTAAAATTTTAATGGAATTTTCAGGGAATTAACAAAGATTGATGTGGAAGAACTGTATTGAGTTTGCTGTTAAAATTATATATAGTTTTATTGCCTCCTTGATTGTTCCACTGAGAAAAAATGGAGGCACGATATTTGATATTTGTGGACTTGAATTTCTTCTTTCTGGCTTTCAGTGTCTTGAGTGGTTTGAGAGAAGGAGAAATAAAACTTGATATAAGGCATAATGTGCTTTTTAAGTTTTCTCACTTTTTTTGAGTTTACTGTTATTTTGTGTTTATACTGTTTCAAATTCCCATATATATCTGAGGTAAGGCCAAAAGCAGTATTGAATATCAGGAGTTAAAGTTACTCTTTTGACTAGTTTCACTAAAACCTTTCTATTTTTTTTTTTTTTTTTTTTGTGGGGAGTGGTCAGCTGCTTGATATATTTATTTATAACAACCTTATTGAGATATAATTAATGTGATGTATATTTACCCTTTTAAAGGATATAACTCATTGGTTTTAGTATAGTCACAGAGTTAGGCAACTATCACTACTATCTAATTCCAGAATATTTTCATCTCAAAATGAAACTGTGTACCCATTAGCAGTCACTCCCTATCCTTTCCTTCCCCCAGGCCCTGGAAACTACTGATCTACTACCTGTCTATGGATTTGCCCATCCTGGAATCACACAATGTACGATCTTTTGTGTCTGGCTTCTTTCACTTAGAATAGTATTTTTGAAGTTGATTCCTGTTGTAGCATGTCTCAGTACTTCATTCCTTTTATGGCTGAATAATATTCCATTGTATGGACATGCCACATATGGTTTATCTGTTCATCAGCTGATGAACATTTAGATTGTTTATACTTTTTGGCTGTTATGAATGATGCTACTATGAATATTTGTGTCAAGTTTTTGTGGGGAAATAGGTTTTCATTTCTCTTTAGTGTGTTCCTAGGAATGGAATCACAGGCCCATAAAGTGATTAAATGATTAACAGTTTGAAGAAATATTAACCTATTTTCTAAAGCAGCTGTACCTATTTTCTAAAGCAGCAATCCCCCAACAATGTATGAGCATTGCAATTTCTCTGCAACTTTGATAGCACTTGTTATTATCTAGTTTTTTATTATACCCATCCTCGTGGGTGTGAAGTGGTATCTCATTGACATATTAATTTGCATTTTCTGCTGTTCTATATCTTTTCATGTGCTTATTGGTGGTTTTTATGTCTTCTTGGGGAGAAATGTCTATTTGAACAGTTGTAGTTTTACAGAAAAGTGAGTGGAAAGTACAGAGAATTGCCATATATACACTCATTCCAACCCCATCTCTAGAGTTTCCAATATTACTGGTGCCTTGGTGTAGTACATTTGTGACAATCAATATACCATTATTTATACATTATTATTAACTAAAGTTTAGAGTTTGCCTTATGGTTCACTCTTTGTGTTGTACAGTCTGTGGGTTTTGACAATTGTATAGGGACATGTATCTACTATTAGAGTATCATACAAAATACTGCACTAAAAATTTCCTGAATAACACCTACTCATTTTTCCCTTCTTCAAGACACTTGATAACTGTTGATCTTTTTACTATTTCCATAGTTTTGCCTTTTCTTGGAATCATACAGTATATAGCCTTTTCAGATTAGCTTTTTTTCTCAGCAATATGCATTTAAGGTGCCTGCATAACTTTGTGATATGATAGCTCATATCTTTTTTTTTGAGTTGGAGCTTTGCTCTTGTGCCAAGGCTGGAGTGCAGTGGCACAATCTTAGCTCACTGCAACTTCCGCCTCCCAGGTTCAAGCGATTCTCCTGCCCCAGCCTCCCAAGTATTTGAGATTACAGGCGTGTACCACCACACCCAGCTAATTTTTGTATTTTTAGTAGAGACTGGGTTTCACCATGTTGGCCAGGCTGGTCTCGAACTCCTGACCTCAGGTGATCCACCTGCCTCGGCCTTCCAAAGTTCTGGGATTACAGGCTTCAGCCACCGTGCCCAGCCGATAGCTCATTTCTTTCTAGTGCTGAATAATATTTTATTTATGGATATATCACAATTTGTTCATCCATTTACCTGTTGCGGGACATCTTGGTTTGGGTAGCTGAAGTTTAGACAATTATGAATAAAGGTGCTGTAAACATTCATGTGCAGGTTTTTATGTGGTCATATTTTCAGTCCATTTGAGTAAATACCAGGTAGTACAATTGCTGTGGTAAGAGTAAGTTTAGTTTTGTAAACAAGTGCTAACCTGTCTTCTAAAGTGGCTGTGTAAAATAATTTCGTATTCCCACCAGCAATGAGTGAGTGTTCTTGTTGCTCCACATCCTCACCGTCCTTTGGTGATGTCAGTGTTTTGGATTTTAGCCATTCTAATAGGTGTGTAGTAGTAGTATGCCAGTGTATTAATTTGCAATTCCCTGATGACATATGATGTTGAACATCTTCTTATATGCTTTATTTTCCCATCTGTTTACCTCTTTTGATGAGGTATCTGTTCAGGTCTTGTCTTAGTCCATTGAAGTAGCTAAAATACCATAAACATGGGTGGGTTATAAGTAACAGAAATTTATTTCTTATGGTTATGGAGACTAGGGAAGTGTAAGATCACTGGCAGATTCAGTGTCTGGTGAGGGCTTGTTTTCTGGTTCATAGATAGTGCCTTCTTGCTGTGTCCTTCCGTGGGGGCATCTTTTATAAGGGTATTAATCTCAGAGTCCTGGGGCTTCTGGGGCATCTTTTATAAGGGTATTAATCTCAGAGTCCTCATAGCATGATCACCTCCCAACAGCCCTACCTCCTAATACCATCACATTGATGCTTAGGTTTCAGTGTATGAGTTTGATAGGCTAGTCTACTAACATTCAGACCATAGCAAGCCTTTTGTCCAATTTTAATTGAGTTGTTGGTTTTCTTATTGTTGAGTTTTAAGAATTCTTTGTATGTTTTGGGTAACAGTCATTTATCAGATACGTATTTTGCAAAGACTTTTCCTAGAGTGTGTGACTTTTCATTCATGTCTTCCTCAGAGCAGACATTTCTAATTTTAACGAAGTTCAACTTACCAAATTTTTTCTTTCATGGATGTGTTTTTTATGTTGTATTTTAAAAGTCACCACCAAACCCAAGGACACCTAGATTTTTTTCCTGTTATCTTCTAGGAGTTTAATAGCTTTTCATTTTACAGTTAAGTCTATGATCCATTTCAAGTTAATTTTTGTGAAAGGTATAAGGTCTATGCTTAGATTCATTTCTTTAATTGTGTCTGTCCAGTTTTTCCAGCACTACAGTTATTTCCCCTTACTTTCGGGGGTATGTTCCAAGACCCCCAGTGGATGCCTAAAACCATGAATAGTACCGAATCCTATATGTACCATTTTTTTCTTATACATGTGTTCTGTGATAAAATTTAATTTACAAATTAGGCACAGTAAGTGATTAAAACAAAATAATAAAATAGAACAATTATATAATTACAGTATACTGTAAAAAAGTTATATGAATGTGGATTATCTCCCTCTCTCTCAAAATATTTATTGTGCTGTAACCACCCTTCTTCTTGTGATGATGTGAGATGATAAAATGCCTACATGATGAGATAGTGAGGTGAGTGACATAGGCCTTGTGACATAGCCTTAGGCTACTACTGACCTTCTAACCATATGCCAGTAGGAGAATAATCTGCTGTGAATGATCCTAGATCAGTGAGCCATAATAATGTCCATGGTTAGACGTCAAGAGCAGACAATGCCGATGACTAACGGGCAGGTAGTATATACAGTGTGGATGTGCTGGACAAATAGAGGATTTATATTCCTAGTGGGATAGAGCAGGACAGCGTGAGATTTCATCACACTACTCAGAACAGTGTGCAATTTAAAATTTATGAATAGTTTATTACTGGAATTTTACATTTAATATTTTGGAACTGTGGTTGACTGTAGGTAACTGAAACTGTGGAAAGCGAAAGTGCGGGTAAGGAGAGACTAATGTAGTAGTAGTAGTAGTAATAATGCTTACTACTTAGGGTTAATATAATGATTAAATGTGGTAATGAATGTGAAATGCTTAATCCAATGACTGGCACAAAGTAAGGTCTCACTTAGTGGCAGCTTTTACGATTAGCAGTAGTTCCTCAATATTGGAAAGTGTAGAATTCTGAGGAGCCAGGCATCCACTGATCTTTTTCTAAATTATACCACAGACAAGCATCAGTCAAATTGGAAGCCTAGGAAAACTATTATTTAGACAAACAATTGTAACAAACGTGGCTCTTTTAACTTCTATAGAACTGTTTTTTGTTATTGTTTTTTAATAACAAAATATTATGGTACAAAACAATTGAAAGCTTCTAGTTTTTCATAGGTCCTACAATTGCAAAAAGGTATAATTGCTTAAAAAATCCATATCACAGAACAGTAAAAAGAAAAAAATAGGTGGGCGCGGTGGCTCACACCTGTAATTCCAGCGCTTTGGGAGGCCGAGGCAGGTGGATCACGAGGTCAGGAGATCGAGAACATCCCGGCTAACTTGGTGAAACCCCATCTCTACTAAAAATACAAAAAATTAGCTGGGCTTCGTGACAGGCACCTGTAGTCCCAGCTACTCGGGAGGCTGAGGCAGGAGGGTGGCGTGAACCTGGGAGGCGAAGCTTGCAGTGAGCCGAGATCGCACCACTGTACCCCAGGCTGGACTACAGAGCGAGACTCCGTCTCAAAAAAACAAACAAACAAACAAACAAAATAGATAAAAATTATCTTTTTTCCCCTCCCCTTAATTCTGTTTTTCATTATAGAATTTGTAGGTCCTTCTAAATCTTTTTCTGTGGATAGGAATCATAAGAAATGAAGCCCATCTTGATTTCTTATGATGCCTATCATATACCTTATTTGAATCTCATTTATTATGATGCCTATCTTATACCTTATTTGAATCTCATTGTGTTGTACCTTGAAATTTCTTACATAAAGTTTCTGTTAGAGGTAAAATGTTATTAGCTCTTACCTGTATAACAGCTATCTATATAGACACCTAAATTGGTTAATTATTGCTAAGAGAACTAAACATTTAGTAAAGTTGTTTTATAAAAGTAGTCTTAGACTACTAAGTGACTTGACCATAAGCCAGAAGGAGGGTCATCTCCTTTATTTCTTACAGTTCTGGAGGCTAGGAAGAAATTAGGGAACTTAGTTAAGAAAATAAGTTTAATTTTTAAAGAAATTAGGGAACTTTAATTGCCTTATAAAAATTTTATTGCAGGCCGGGCGCGGTGGCTCACGCCTGTAATCCCAGCACTTTGGGAGGCCGAGGCGGGCGGATCACGAGGTCAGGAGATCGAGACCATCCCGGCTAAAACGGTGAAACCCTGTCTCTACTAAAAATACAAAAAATTAGCCGGGCGTAGTGGCGGGCGCCTGTAGTCCCAGCTACTTGGGAGGCTGAGGCAGGAGAATGGCGTGAACCCGGGAGGCGGAGCTTGCAGTGAGCCGAGATCCCGCCACTGCACTCCAGCCTGGGCGACAGAGCGAGACTCCGTCTCAAAAAAAAAAAAAAAAAAAAAAAAAAAATTATTGCAAATAGTTTAAGTATCAATATGTTTTATATCAGACTTTTTAGGAAGAGATGTATACCCAAATATATAAGGCCAGTTACTAAAACTATGGAAGCTATAATGAAATTCTGTTAGCAAGCTGTGGGGCTTTTACTAATTCTGCCCTAAAACTCTTCCAGTCAAAAGCAATGATCAAATTATTACTAGAGCATAAGTAAATGTTTATGGTATAAATGAAACTGTACCTGTAGGAGTTTTAATACATTTAAAATTTAAAAATTCTACAAAATGGTTGGTTTCTTTTAAAAATTCTAGTTTTGTGATGTTTTAATCCAGAAATTGAATCTTGACTGAAGTTGGTCTTCCCATACTTGAAATTTATGTTTTAAAATTTGGATGGGGATGGGGAGAAACTATAAGTAAAACCTACAGCATTCTGAGGTCCAAAACTTCCTAGATTGCTTCAACTTCAATCCATTTGGGGAATTTTGGAGACATTTGTCATTTATATAAGAAAGTTAATGATTAAACTTTGAGAAGTCAGTATATCATGGAAACTTTTACCTTAATGATATTATTCTGAAAAGAATATAATCATACAGTGGAATCTATGCAGTTATTTTAAAAATATGCTTCTTAATGTGGGAGATATTCTAATTGTTTAAGAAAAGTCTACAAAACAGTGAAGTGATATTTTCATTTAGACAACAAAAAAGAATATAGCCTATCAGAGTATTTACAGAAATAGTTTTCATGATGCTCCAGAACAGTAAGTGATGATTGTTTTTGTTTTTTATTTTTTGTTTTTTTTGTTTGTTTGTTTGTTTTTTTGAAACGGAGTCTCACACTGTCGCCCGGGCTGGAGTGCAGTGGCGCGATCTCAGCTCACTGCAACCTCTACCTCCCAGATTCAAGCGATTCTCCTGCCTCAGCCTCCTGAGTAGCTGGGATTACAGGCATCTGCCACCATGCCCGGCTAATTTTTTTTTTTTTTTTTTTTTTTTAATTTTAGTAGAGACGGGGTTTCACTGTGTTGGCCAGGCTGGTCTCAAACTCCTGACCTTGTGATCCACCGGCCTTGGCCTCTCAAAGTGTTGGGATTACAGGCGTGAGCCACCGCGCCCGGCTGATCGTTTTTGTTTTTTATTCTCACCAGCAGGGTATCCCAAGGCTTGGTTTAGTCAGTCTCTTTAATTTTAGCTATTCTAATAGGTGTATAGTGGTATTTCATTGTAGTTTTAATTTGCATTTTTAAAATGACTAATAGTGTTGAATATCTTTTCGCATTTATTTGCCATCCGTATATTGTCTTTGGTGAAGTTTCTCTTCAAATCTTTTACCCATTTTAAAAGATTGAATTGTTTCCCCCGCCCCTTATCTGAGAAGGATACATTCCAAGACTCCCAGTGAATTCCAGAAACTGCAGATGGCACTAAAACCTGTATATACTGCATTTTTGTATACATACATACCTATAGTAAAGTTTATAAATCAACACAGTAAGAGATTAACAACAATAATATGACAGTGTCACTACTCTTGTGCTTTGGCACCATTATGATAAGTAACACAAGGGTTACTGGAACCCCTGCAGTTGATCTGCTAACTGTGAGAGGGCTGCTATGTGATGAATGGGCAGGTAACATGTTCAGTATGGACAAGCTAGACAAAGGGATGATTCATGACCTGGTAGGAGGGACTGGGATGGCATGAGATTTCACCACGCTACTCAGAACGATGGCAATTTAAAATTCATTCATTATTCCTGGAATTTTCCATTTATTATTTTTGGACTGTGGTTAACTGAAATTGTGGAAAATGTATCCACGGAAAATGAAACCGTGGATAAATGTTTAGACTACTCTACTTGTTGAAAAGACTATCCTTTCTCCATTGAAATTGCTTTGTTCCTTTGTGAAAGTTTAGTTGACCATATTTGTTTGCTAGTTCTGGGCCATCTGTTACTGTTCCAGTAATCTCTTCTTTCACCAGTACCATGCTGTCTTTATTCCTGTAGCTTTATAGAAAGCCTTGAAGTCAGGTACTGTCATTCGGCTGACTGTTGTTCAATACTGTGATGACTATTCTGAATCTTTTGCCTTTCCATATAAATTTTAGAATCAGTTTGTTGATATCTGCAATGTAACTTGCTGGGATTCTGATTGATACTGCATTGAATTTGCAGATCAAGTTGGGAAGAACTGGCATCTTAATATTGAGTGTTCTTATCCATGTACATGATGTAAGTTTCCATTTATTTAGACCTTCCTTGACTTTTTTGGTAACAGTTTTATAGTTTTCATCATATAGATTTTTTTTTTTTTTTGAGATGGAGTCTTGCTTTGTCACCCAGGCTGGAGTACGTTGGCGCAATCTCGGCTCACTGTAACCTCCGCCTCCTGGGTTCAAGCAATTCTCCTGGCTCAGTCTCCCAAGTAGCTGGGATTACAGGCGTGTGCCACCACACCTGGCTAATTTTTGTATTTTTAGTAGAAACGGGGTTTCACGGTGTTGGCCAGGTTTGTCTTGAACTCCTGACCTCAGGTGATCCACCCACCTCCGCCTCCCCAAGTGCTGGGATTACAGGCATGAGCCATCACTCCCGGCCTCATGATATAGATCTTGTACATATTTTGTTAGATTTATACCTAAGCATTTCATTTTTGCGGGTGCTTATTATGTTTTAATTTTAATGCCAATTGTTCCTGATATATGAGAATACAGTTGACTTTTGTACATTAATTTTGTATCCTGCAACTTTACTATAATTGCTTATTAGTTCTAACTGTTTATTTGTGGTTGATTCCTTGAGGTTTTCTTCACAGGCAGTAATGTTATTGGCGAGCAAAGACAGTTTTATTTTTTCTGTACCAATCTGTATACTTGCTATTCACATCCCTTATTTTTTTTTGGCATATTGCATCTTACACAATTTTGCTTTGTAGCATCTATTTTCTCACCATTAAATGTGATGTTAGCTGTAGAGTTTTTTATTGTACTTTATCAAGCTGAAGAAGTAAATTTGAATTTTACCAAATGCTTTTTCAGCATCTATATATATGATCAGTTTGTTTTTCTTCCTTAGCTTGTTGATGTGATGGATTACATTAATTGACAAATGTTAAACCAGTCTTGCATACCTGGAATAAATGTCACTTGCTCGTGATGTATAAGTATTTTTATACATTGTTGGATCAGTTTGCTAATGTTTTGTTGCAAATTTTTGAATCTGTGTTTGTAAGAGATTGGTCAGTAGTTTTCCTTTTTTATAATGTTTTTGTCCAGTTTTGGGTTAATTTCTTTGTGTGATGTAAAGAAGTGGTCCAGGCTGGGTGTGGTGGCTCACACTTGTAATCCCAGCACTTTGGCCAAGGCAGGTGGATCACTTGATGCCAGGAGTTTGAGACCACCCTGGGCAACATAGGGAGCCCCTATCTTTATGAAACATTAAAAAATAAAAAATGGGCTGGACGTGGTGGCTCACGCCTGTAATCCAGCACTTTGGGAGGCCCAGGTGGGAGGATCACAGGGTCAAGAGATGGAGACCATCCTGGCTAACACGGTGAAACCCCGTCCCTACTAAAAATACAAAAAATTAGCCGGGTGTGGTGGCACGTGCCTGTAATCCCAGCTACTCAGGAGGCTGAGGCAGGAGAATTGCTTGAATCCGGGAGGCAGAGGTTCTAGTGAGTGGAGATTGTGCCACTGCACTCCAGCCTGGGTGAGAGCGAGACTCTTTCAAGAAAGAAAGGAGAGAGAGAGAGAGAGAGAGAGAGAGAGAGAAAGAGAAAGAGAGAAAGGGAGGGAGGGAGAGAGGGAGAGAGAGAGAGAGAAAAGAAAGAGAAAGAAAAGAAAAGGAGGGGAGGGGAGGGGACGGGACGGGAGAAAGGAAAAGAAAAGAAGTGGTACAGCTTCAGTCCTTTACAGCTGAATATCCAGTTGTCCAAAGCTTCATTTGTTGAAAAATCTATTCTTTTGTTATAGAATTGTGTTGACAACCTTGTCAAAATCTGTTGGCTATAAACATTTTTGGACTCTGAATTCTCTTTCATTGATTGATAACATATGTCCTTATGCCAGTACCACACTGTCTTGATTACTTTGTCTTTGTAAAAAGATATGAAATATGAGTCCTCCAACTTCTTCTTTACAAGATTATTTTGACTATCTGAGTGCACACAAATTTCCATATGAATTTTAGGATTATCTTATCAATATCTTTTTTTTAAAAAAAAGATAGCTGGCCAGGCGCAGTGGCTCACGCCGGTAATCCCAGCACCTTGGGAGGCCGAGGCGGACATATCATGAGATCAGGAGTTTGAGACCAGCCTGGCCAACATAGTGAAACTCCGTCTCTACTAAAAATACAGAAATTAGCCAGGCATGGTGGCACACGCCTGTAGTCCCAGCTACTCAGAGGCTGAGGCAGGAGAATCGCTTGAACCCGGGAGGTGGAGGTTGCAGTGAGCTGAGTTCAGGCCACTGCACTCCAGCCTGGGCAACAGAGCAAGACTCCGTCTAAAAAAAAAAAAGGTAGCTGTAATTTCAACAGGATTGTAGTGGATCTGTAGATCAATTTTGGGAATATTGCCATCTTAACATTATTAAGTCTTCCAATCCATGATTATAGATTGTCTTTATTTATATCTTTCTATGAGATTTTAGAGTTTTCAATGTATAAGTCTTACATTCATTTGTTAAATTTATTCCTGAATGTTCTTTTTGATGTTATTATATTTGGATTTTTTTTCCTCTTAAGTTCTTTTGCAGTGTGTTCTTTGCTAGTACTTCATTATTTTGACATCTTTTCAGTATGTAATGTTAAACTCTGTCCTGAGTTTATTTTAATATTAAGATAGGTTACATTTTATAAAGATCACCCTGAGATAAAAAATCTATCTAGATAGGGAATGGTGGTGAAGTAATAGCTATTCCTGAACTCTAGGGTTTAATTTCTATTTTTCTGTAAATTATTGGAAAAGGACTTTGTTGTTAACCCCCAGCCAGTCTCTCTGATTCCTTAATGTGGTTGGCGATTATAATACCTGAAGGTACTTGTACTTGCCTGTGCCTCTTTTCCATCAGTACTAGGGTTTCTTATTTTCCTAATCCTCCCAAGTTACTGAATAGAGAGCCCTTTAAGAAATTGGAGAAGTCATTTTACCTCTCTAAATTTGTTTCTTCTTGGTAAGATGTAGGATGAAATATTTAATAATCATTTTAAGTTTTTTCATACTTAAGTGAGAGTGCTCACATAAATAGCTTCTTTAATCTGTAAAGAAATATTCAAATATTAGGGTTCCTTTCTCTTCAAATTAGAATTTTCCTTTCTTAGCTTGGGATAATCTATCAAGATTTATCTGAATAAGCTACTTCACCTCACCTTTCTGTTAAAAAACCTCCACTGAGTTTTTGCATTACAAGATCAAGTGTGAACTAAGGCTGGCCAACTCAGGTTGTATATACTGTGTGCAAAGGACTACATTGGATGTTGTGTAGGTTACAAGGAGACATATGAACAGTCTGTGCAATCAAGGAGTTTATAGTCTATGTGAAGTGTTAAGTGAATTGTCTAGTTTGGTGCCAGCTGTGGGAGTTCATGATTTATATGATAGACTATCTTCCTGTAGATTCCCCGGAAAATTGTGCTCACATGAAATCTTAGAGAACCTACAAGATTTATAAACATAGTAACTGTTTATGATAGATAACAACCAAACTGAATTTCTAGGGCTTTATTGAGGAGAGTGTTTATCTAGGCACTGACCATGTTACTACCCAACTCTTGGTAATGCCTTTAAAATTTTTTTAAATTATTTTTGGCAGACACTCTGTGTGAGGTACAGATTTTCAGTCCTTTGAACACAATAAATGAATGAAAATTGATCTGAAGAGAATATTAAAACATTTTCACTTGAATCTTCACAATCTACCAGTACTAGGGTTTCTTATTTCCTAGGTAGATGGAAAGTGTTTTCGATGAATTTGGACCAGAATTGGTACAAAAATCAAAGAATTCAAAATATTAAATTATTTTGTCTCTCTTTAAGATTGTTATAATTTGATTAAGTATTCTTTTTTAGTGTCATCAGAAAAATAAAGCATAGGCTGGGCATGGTGGCTGATGCCTGTAGTCCCAGCACTTTGGGAGGCCAAAGCGGGAGGATTGCTTGAGCTCAGGAGTTCAAGACTAGCCTGGGCAACCTAGTCTCTTTTATAGAGACCTTGTCTCTATAAAAATAAAAAAAAAAAATGGCTGGGCACGGTGGCTAACACCTGTAGTCTCAGCACTTCGGGAGGCTGAGGCAGGTGGATCATTTGAGGTCAGGAGTTCAAGACCAGCCTGGCCAACATGGTGAAACCCCGTCTCTACTAAAAAAAAAAAAAAAATACAAAAATTAGTCGGACTTGGTGGCAGGTGCCTGTAAGCCCAGCTACTTGGGAGGCTGAGGCAGGAGAATCACTTAAACCCAGGAGGTGGAGGTTGCAGTGAGCTGAGGTCACACCACTGCACTCCAGCCTGGGCAACAGAGCAAGACTTTCTGTCTCAAAAAAAAATTAAAAAAAAAAAAAAAAAAAGAAAACATAATATTACAAAAACCTATAATTCAATTATTTTGCTTTTGATTTGTTTGCTGTGTTAAAAATGAGCTTTTAGATCGGCCTTCCCTAGCTTTATTGAGATATAATTGGTATATTTAAAAACTGCATATAATTAATGTGTGCAATTTAATGCATTTGGACAAATATGTGTGCTCATCTTACCATCACCACAGCCAAGATAATAAACATATATCTATTGCCTCCAAAAGTTTCATTATGCCCCTTTCTTACTGTTTTTCATTTTTTTGAGAGGGTAGGTAAGAATATTTGACATGACATTTACCCTCTTAGCAAATTTTCAAAAGTTCACCTTGTTAATTATAGGCCCTATGTTGGAAAGCATATCTCTGTAACTTACTTATCTTGTATAACTAACTTTATACCGTTGAACAACAACTCTCCATATCTTCCTCCCCTGTCTCCTAGTAACCACCATTCTATTGTCTACTTATATAGGTTTGATTCCTTGTTATGAAAAATAATGCAGTATTTCTCCTTCTGTGACTAACTTATTTTGCTTAGCATAGCGTATTTTCCAGGTTCATCTGTGTTGTCACAAGTGGTAAGATTTCCTTCTTATTAAAAAAACTTGTAATATTTATTCTATTGTATGTATATACCACATTTTTCTTATCAATTCATCTGGGTTTTCCCATCTTTGCTATTGTGAATAATGCTGCAATGAATATGGGAGTGCAGGTATCTTTTTGAGACCCTAATTGCAATTCTTTTGGATGTTTACCCAGAAGTGGGATTGTTGGATCATATGGTCTTTTTGCATATGCCTGTTGGTCGTATGTATGTCTTCTTTGTCTATTCCAGTCCTTTGCTTATTTTTTATTCATCTCATTTTTTGCTGTTGAGTTATAGGAGTTTGTTATATTTTCTGAAATTAACTCCTTGTCAGACATTTGGTTTGCAAATATTTTCTTCCATTCCATAGGCTGCCTTCTTACTCTGTTGATGGTTTCTTTTGCTGTGTAGAAGCTTTTTAGTTTGATATAGTCCCACTTGTCTATTTTTGGCTTTTGTTGCCTGTTATCCAAGAAATTATTGACAAGAACAGTGTCAAGAAGGTTTTCTCTGATGATTTCTTCAAAGGGTTCTACGTTTTCAGATCTTATGTTTAAATCTTTAATCCATTTTAAGTTAATTTTTGTGTATGGTGTAAGATAAGGTTCCAATTTCATTCTTTTGGATATGGGTATCCAGGTTTTCCAACACCATTTATTGAAAAAACTGTCCTTTCTGCATTGTAAATTATTGGCACCTTTGTTGAAGATCCATTGACTTTATTTCTGGATTTTCTGCTCTGTTCCATTTGTCCATGTGTTTTTTTTCTTTTTCTTTCTTTTTTCTTTTTTTCTTTCTTTTTTTTTTTTTTTTTTTGTGGGGAAGAAGACAGTCTCTACTCTGTTGCCTAGGCTGGAGTGCCGTGGCATAATTTCAGCTCACTGCAATCTCTGCCTCCCAGGTTCAGGCGATCTCCCACCTCAGCCTTCCAAGTAGCTGGGATTCATATGTCTGTTTTTATATGCTTGTATCATACTGTTTTGATTACTGTAGTTTTATAAAATATTTTGAAATGAGGAGTGTGATGCCTCCAACATTGTCATACTTGCTCAAAATTGCTTTGAATATTTGAGGTCTTTTGTGATTCTATGTAAATTTTAAGATTAAAATAAATTATGTAAAAAATGTCTTTAGGATTTTGATAGGGGTTGTGCTGAATCTATAGATGGCTTTGGATAATATGGACATTTTAACAATATTAATTTAATCCATGAACACAGGATGTTTTTCCATCTATTTGTATCTGCCTTAATTTCTTTCATTAGCGTTTTATAATTTTTAGTGTACAAGTCTTTCACCTCCTTGGTTAAGTTAATTCCTAAGTATTCTGTTTGTTGCTGTTGTAAATGTGATTGCTTTCTTAAACTTTTTTTTGGATAGTTTGTTGTTGGTGTATAACAGGGGCCCCCAACCCTCAGGCTGCGGACCAGTGTGGTGCATGGCCTGTTAGGAACCAGGCCACACAGCAACAGATGAGCACCAGGCCAGTGAGCATTACTGCCTGAGCTCCACCTCCTGTCAGATCAGCAGCAGCATTAGATTCCCATAGGAACATGAACCCTATTGTGACATCCGCATGCGAGGGATTTAGGTTGCACACTCCTTATGAGGTAGAACAGTTTCATCCTGAAACCTTCCCACCAGCCCCTCACCGGTCCGTGGAAAAATAGTCTTCTATGGAACTGGTCCCTTGTGCCAAAAAGGTTGAGGACTGCTGGTATATAGAATTGCAACCGATTTTTTAAATGTTGATTTTGTGTCCTGCAACTTGACTGAATTTATTCTAACAGTTTTGTGTGTGTGCATGGTCTAGGATTTTCTACCTATTTCATATGCAAACAAATAATTTTCTTTTTTTTTTCCAATTTAGATGCCTTTTATTTCTTTTTCTTGCCTAATTACTCTGGCTAGGACTTACAGTACTATGTTGAATAGATGGCAAGAGTGGGCATTCTTGCCTAATTGTTCATAATCTTAGAGGAAAAGTTTTCTGTTTTTCACTGTTGTGTATGATGTGTTAGTTATAGGCTTTTTTTGTTTTTTTGTTTTTGTTTTTTTTTTTTTTTGAGACAGAGTTTCACTCTTGTTGCCCAGGCTGGAGTGCAATGGCACAATCTTGGCTCATTGCAACCTCTGCCTCCCAGGTTCAAGCGATTCTCCTGCCTCAGCCTCCTGAGTAGCTGGGATTACAGGTATGCACCACCACGCTTGGCTAATTTTGTATTTTTACTAGAGACAGGGTTTCTCCATGTTGGTCAGGCTGGTCTCGAACTCCCGACCTCAGGTGATCCACCTGCCTCAGCCTCCCAAAGTGCTGAGATTACAGGGGTGGGCCACCATGCCCAGCAGTTATGGGCTTTTCATATACACATGCTCCATGACCTAAAATGAAGTTACATCCAGATAAACTCATTGTAAGTTAAAAATGTCATTAAGTCAAAAATACATTTAATGCACCTCATCTGTAGTACATTATAGCTTAGCCTAGCTTACCTTAAACGTGCTCAGAACACCTATGTTGGCCTGCAGGTGGACAAAGTCATGTATCGCATAGCCTATTCTATAATAAAGTGTTGAATATCTCATGTAATTTATTGAATACTATATGGGTACTCATCATTAATGTACACAGCTGAAAACACCATTGTAAGGTTGAAAATTTTTGAGGTGAACCATCAAGTCAGTGACTGATTTTATAACTTTTATTTTGTTGAGGTAAGTTCCTTCTATATCTGATTTGTTGATGGTTTTTGTAATGAAAGGGGGGTGAATTTTGTCAAGTGCTTTTTCCTTTTTTTTTTTTTTTTTTGTTTGTGAGACAGAGTCTTGCTCTGTCACCCAGGCTGAGTGCAGTGGCCCAATCTCAGCTCACTGCAACTTCTGCCTTTTGGGTTCAAGCGATTCTTGTGCCTCAGCCTCCCGAGTAACTGGGACTATAGGTGTGTGCCACCACCCCTGGCTAATTTTTGTATTTTTAGTAGAGACGGAGTTTCACCATGTTGGCCAGGCTGGTCTTGAACTCCTGGCCTTAAGTGATCTGCCTGCCTTGGCCTCCCAAAGTGCTGGGATTACAGGTGTGAGCCACTGCGCCCAGCCTGTTTTTCTCATCACTTTTAATGCACCAACAATGAGGAAGAGATTAGTGCTGTTGTTATATATACACAATCTTTGGTGAGCCAGAGCTTGGCTGAAGAATGGTATTTTCAAGCCTGGCCCTGTGAGGATAGGGCTCTTGATCAGTTTTTAACCTTTGGAGAGATTAGCTGGAGAGGGATTAGAGAGAGTGGTACATCACAGCTCTATTCTCAGGAATGGGAAGTAGTCCTTTACATGTGTTTTGAGGGGTGGGGGCTCGTGACTTGGGAATAACTTGTTTTTCTAACTCCTTTATTTTTCTGACTGGTAGTGACACTTCTTACAATGAAATGTATTGATATGTATTAACGTATCTCTTTTTGTCAGTAGGGGTGTTATTTTATATCATCAGTGTAAATACATGTTCGACCATAGATTATTGAGTTGATATGGGCTGGGCATTGTTCTAGATTCTAGACATACAACAATAAACAAAACAGACAACAAAACTATGTCATTTTAAAGCTTATATTATAGTGGGGAGGGATGGACAATAATGAATAAATATGCAAAATAGATATAATGTATTAGATGATTGTTACTCTGGAGAAGATTGAGGTAATGAAGGGGTTTAAGGATTGCTGAGAGTAAATGTTGAGGTTGCAATTTTAAATAGTGTGAGAAAGTATGTAGCATTTGAGGAAATACCTGAAGTATGTGAGGGGGGCTGATATTCAGATATTTATGCAGTTGTAAAGCAAAGTAGAGAAATCCCACATGGGTAAAACTCTTTACCCACTTTCCCTCAATGATTACATCTTGCAAAATTATAGTACATTATCACAATTAGGATATTGGCATTGATAGAATCCACTGATTTTATTCAAATTTCCTCAGATTCTCTTGTACTACTTTGGAGAGCTGTATGTGTATATATTTCTTTCTATTTTTTTTTTATTACATGCATAGGTTTGTGTATAGACCATGATAGTAAAGATACAGAACATCACAAGTATCCTCTTACTGCCCTTTTATAACCACATTGACTTCTCTCCCTGCCATTACTCCACCCCTAACACCCAGTGTAACCCCTGGCAGTAACCACTAATCTGTTTACCATTTCCAAACTTTTTTTCTTTCAAGAAGGTTATAAAAATGGAATCATATCCAGTATGTAACCTTTTGGGCTAGCTTTTTTTTTTTTTTTTTTTTTTTGTCTCAGCATAGGTTTCTGGGGATGCAACCATGTTGTTGCATGGATCAATAATTGTTTCTTTTTTATTGCTGAGTAGTATTCCATGGTATGGATATACTACAGTTTGTTTATTCACCCAGTGAGTGACATCTGGGGGCTATTCTAAATAAAGCTGCTTTGAACATTCATATGCCGGTTTTAATGTGAACGTAAATTTCTATTTCTATAAAACATATGCCCAAGAGTGCAATTGCTGGGATCCTGGGTAAGTTTTGAAGGTTGAGCCAACAGGATTTCTTGACAGATTAATGTGAGGTCAAGCCGGGCGCAGTGTCTCATGCCTGTAATCCTAGCACTTTGGGAACAATAATTGTTATTGCTAATAATAGCACTTAGGGAGGCTGAGGTTGGAGGATCATTTGAGGTCACGAGTTCAAGACCAGCCTGGCCAACATGGTGAAACCCCATCTCTACTAAAAATACAAAAAAATTAGCTGGGCATGGTGGTACACGCGTGTAATCCCAGCTACTCAGGAGGCTGAGGCAGGAGAATCACTTGAACCTGGGAGACAGAGGTTGCAGTGAGCTGAGATCATGCCACTGCACTCCAGCCTGGGCGACAGAGTGAGGCTCTGTCTTTAAAAAAAAAAAAAAAAAAAAAAAAAGTCAGAGAGAAAGAGGAATCAAGACTTCATGGTTTTTGACCTGGGCAACTAGAGGAGTGGAATTGCCAACAGCTGACATGGGGAAAGCTATGGGTAGAGCATGTTTAAAGGAGATGAAAAATTTTACTTATAACATGTCAAGTTGATGTATATTAGACACAGAAAAATTGTCACATAAGCAGTTGGTTAAAAGATTTTGGAATTCACAGGGGTGGTCTGGTCTAGAGATATACAATTGGGAGTCTGATCAGCCTTTAAAGCCCTGAGACTGGAAGAGGTGATAGAGGCAGCTGAAAGAGGTGAGAGACTAAGTTCTGGCTACTTCAGTGTTTAAAAAATAGGGAGATTATGAAGAACTAGCAAAGAAAACTGCAAATTTGGCCAATGAGGAAGGATTAAAAAGCAAGATAATTTAGTGTCCTGGAAAGTAATTGGAGAAAACATTTCAAGGAGAGAGGGAGTCAACCAATCATTTTTGTGTAAACCTTAGTTGTAGCACAAAGGCATATTCTGCACAGTAACCAGAGGTTTTAGTTGTGTTGTATTCCAGGGGATATATAGGCTGATGCCCCCGTTTCTAGTTTCTCCTGAGTAAGGAGAATTTTCGAGTTTTAGTTTCTGTATTCAGAAAGCAAATGGTCTAAGAGACAAGTTGAATTCTACCTGTTAAGCTCCAACTTAACACTCTTTTCATGAAAAAAGTGAACACTCTTTTCATGAAAAAAGTGAACACTCTTTTCATTAAAAATCTTTTTAATCTTCCTAGTTGGAAGTATTCTTTCTGTTTTTAGAATTCTCCATCCTTTTTTTTTCTTCCAGGGTCGAGGGAGAGACAGGGTCTCACCCTGTTACCCAGGCTGAAGTGCAATGTCACAATCATAGCGCACTGTAGCCTTGACCTCCCTGGTTAAAGTGATCCTCCCACCTCAGTCTCCCGAGTAGCTAGGAACACAGGTGTGCATCACCATGCCCAGCTAATTTATTTTTATTTTTTGTAGAGATGCAATCTCCCTGTGTTGTCAGGCTGGTCTTGAACTCCTGGGCCCAAGTGATCCTCCTTCCTTAGCCTCCCAAAGTGCTGGGATTACAGGCATGAGCTGCCACACCCACCCACCCACCCACCCCTTTTTCGATAACTCTAGTGGCACTTAACATTTTCTGTTGTATGGCATCTGTGTTAGTCCATTCTCACACTGCTGTAAGGATACTCCTTGAGACGGGGTAATTTATAAAGGAAAGATGTTTAATTGGTTCACAGTTCCACATGGCTGGGGAGGCCTTAGGAAATTTACAGTCATGGCGAAAGGGAAAGAAAGCAGGCACCTTCTTCACAAGGTGGTGGGAGAGAGAGTCATCGTGCAGGAGAAACTAACATTTATAAAACCATCAAATCTTGTGAGAATTCACTCACTATTAGGAGAGCAGCATGGGGGAAACCATCTCTCCCAGTCACTTCCCTCCCTTGACACTTGGGGGGGTATAGGTCCTCGCCTCAGCACGTGGGGATTACAGTTCGAGATGAGATTTGGGTGGGGACGTGGAGCCAAACCGTATCAGTATCTTTATTTGCCTACTTGTATACTTGTCTTATTTTGAATTATAAGCTCTTTCAATACTGAAGTCCTCCTTTATTGTCATTGTATTTTCAAGCACATAGTAATAAATGGAATTGAGTTACATTTCATTGTGATAGAGCATGGAATCTGACACACCTGGTTTAAATCTTGCCTGTGCTGTTTGCTACCAAATTTCTTAACCTCTCTATGCCTACACCCGCTCTTAAGTGGGGATCATAATGTTGCTTACTTGATAGGTTTGTGGAGAGGATTGAAGTTGTGAAGATACAGCTCTTAACAGAGTGGTCAGCTCATAGTAAATTCTTTGTGTTCTGTAGTTGTTGGTGCCATCATTGCTATTGTTAATAATAATATGCTGTTGTGTTATTGGCTCTCAAAGATACAGGGTTAAAGGAATACACACTTAAGCTGGCATTGACTTACATGCTAGGGCTTCCGAAAACTAAGTATTCAAGAACCTGGTTTATATCTACTTTAGTAGTCATATTACCTGTCAGGATATAAAAGTCCGTTATTCCCTTAGTTCATGCAGGCATCCTTTGTGTTGTTTCTCTTCCATTTCCCTTTCTGTGCTGGGCAAGTAGTCTGTGTAACTGATTGGGAAAAGTAGCATACATGAGTCCTTTTTATTGTTTCTATAAAATTGGGGTTTTGTTACAGAACATGTTAAGCCTACCTAGGCAGTATGTTATTTTATAACTATAATTTAAAATTTTAACTTACACACTAATTATAGTTATGTAAAAGGAAAATATCATAAATTTCCAGAACATTAGTCCCTAAATCAATATAGAAAGTCCACTATGTATATGTACTAAGTACAAAATTGAGATTGACGGTAAGGAACTTTCCTTTCTTGCCTTGTGGTGCAGGGATTGGGAAACAGTGAACCAGCCACCTGTGTTTGTAAATAAAATTTATAACAAACAGCCACGTTAATTCTTACACATATTGTTGTAAACAGACAGCCACATTCATTCTTATAAATATTGTCTGACTGCTTTTCCCCTACAACTACAGAGTTGAATAAACCTGAAGAATTTAGTGTCTGGTCCTTTATAGAAAATGTTTATTTGCCCCTGTTCAAGGGTATTATTTTTGTGGCTCATCTCTTAGAGCTTTTCTCACTCTGTCTCTTGTATTGATTCCTTTTCTTCTGTCTGCTTAAATGATGATATTCTCCAGAATCTTTTCTTGAATAGCTCACCTTTCCTAAGGCTTACGTTACTCCACTGTCTAGGTTCTACTTTCTGACTAATTTCTTTTTAGTGTCCTTTATAGACTTTCTGCTGCTGGGGAGTTTGATCACTTTTTTTCTTATTTTATAGGTTGAGCATCTTGAAACCAAAAATCCAAAATTTGAAATGCTCTGAAATTTAAAACTTTTTGAGCACCAACACGATGTTTAAAGGGAGTGCTCATTGGAGCATTTTGAATTTTGGATTTTCAGATTAGGAAGGCTTAATGGGTAAAGATAATACTAAATCCAAAAAAAGTCTGAAGTCTGAAACACTTTTGGTCCCAAGCATTTCGGATAATGTGTATTCAACCTGTATAGGCAATAATATATACTCTCCTATGGCTTCTGAACCACCCACACCTCCTTGAGGATAAGAAGAACATACGGTATTGCTTTCTGGACCTTTTCATCTGCTTCAGTGTCCCTGAGTCGTTTCAAAATGAATGTGTCCCAAATTGAACTCACTTCTTTCTGCTTCCAAAACAGCTTCCCCGGCCACTGAACTGTACCGTGTTCATAGTCATGTGAGTGAGAAGCCTGATAGCTGTCACCTCCCTCCTTCTATTTACTAATTCAATAGCAGTAGGTGATCACTACTATTGTAGACCCATTTTCTTCCATTTGTTTTTCTCTGTTTTTACTAGTGTAGATCCTAGTTTTATCCGCCGCCACCTTTGTAACATTTTTTTTCATAGCAATCTTCCTAAAACAAATATCTTGTGTAAAACACATTAGTGGGCTGGGTGAGGTGGCTCACACCTGTAATCCCAGCACTTTGGGAGGCCGAGGTAGGCGGATCACCAGAGGTCAGGAGTTCGAGACCAGCCTGGCCAACATGGTGAAAACCCATCTCTACTAAAAATACAAAATTAGGCAGGCGTGGTGGCAGGCGCCTGTAATCTCAGCTATTCAGGAGGGTGAGGCAGGAGAATCGCTTGAACCCAGGAGGCGGAGGTTGCAGTGATTTGAGATCATGCCACTGCACTCCAGCTTGGGTGACAGAGTGAGACTCTGTCTCAAAACAACAACAACAACAACAAAAACAAAAGCAAAAAAAACCAATCAGTGGTTCTTTATGCCTTGTAATATTTAGCGCTGTATTTAAGACTTTCCACCTGACCCCATTCCAGAATTTTACAAATTAATAAGCAAATTTTTCTTAGCTCCTGTCCCCAAGTATCTATAGCACTTTTTAAATGAGCTCAACTTAATCACATTGTGTTATAGTTGTTGGTTTGCTCACCCATTAGACTGTAAAACATTTAAAGATTGTAAATTTTTGTATTCTCAGGGCCCCCAGTTCTGACACATAGTTGGCTTCAAAATATGATCATTACATGTTCTATGCATGGAACAAAATATCCATGTACCTCATAAATAGTAAAATATCATGTATCAATTAAAAATATACTTGTGCAAATGGGGTTAAGTTTTTTTGTGTTTTTTTTTTTTTTTAGCTGTTGGTTCTTTTAGGGCAACTGAATTTACTGTGAAATCAAAGATTTAGAGATGAATTAAATGCTTTTTGAGTCTTATGATGACTAAGGATGGATAATGCAACTTTGGATAACCTTCATTTTTTTTGCAGAAGGTGTACTTTGGGAAAATATTCTTTAAGCAAAACATTGGAAATGAGTCCTATTTTACTAGATTTTATGAAAGTAGAACTTTCTATCATGGGGGAAGATCTCCCAACAGAACAAACTTTGATGAAGAAGAAAAGATGATAACCACATGCTGCCCATCATACACCCACAATATTAAGCTTGCTGGTTGTTTCTTCACCTAAAAGTTTACTTTTCCTTTATTAAACTTTATGTAATGGTACAAAAATATAGCCTTCTGGAACTTTTTCAGTCTGTGCTTTTAGCTTCCAGAAGTTTTTCTTTCTCTTTTCTCTCTCTTTTTAAAGCATGAGATGTCAGATATTGTAAAAATGAATAAAAGCCTCCATGTCTACTCTAGAGGTGGATATATGTTAATGAGTATTGGTTAAAACAAAAGAATCAGTTTTCCTTTAAATGTGCCATTTAGACTTTTTAAATACTGATATTATGCTTATTCCATCTTGGGTAGTCATTTTGTTTTATAAATAAGTTGAGAATGATTAGTAAGAATCTTGTTTACATGTATTCTTTTGTCTTTTCTATTTGAAAAAAGATGCCTTTACAGGCAAGTCAGTTACCACAATTTAAAATTTCTAACTATGACCTTAAAGTAAGACATGCATTTTAACATTGCAGCCCGATGCACAGAAAAATAATTAACAAGTTTCATGAAAAAAACCCTTACTGTATGTAAAGTGATATTCTATTCCATTCTATTCTATTCTTATTCCTCCATTCTATTTTATGCTATGCTGTTCTGTTCTG
Source organism: Homo sapiens (assembly GCF_000001405.40). Taxonomy (NCBI): domain Eukaryota; kingdom Metazoa; phylum Chordata; class Mammalia; order Primates; family Hominidae; genus Homo; species Homo sapiens. The sequence goes on along the minus strand of NC_000003.12, from coordinate 119,954,317 downwards.
TTCTGTTTCTTTTCTATTCTATTCTATTCTATTCTATTCTATTCTATTCTATTCTATTCTATTCTATTCTATTCTATTCTATTCTATTCTATTCTCCTTCCACACTTCCTTCTCAGTGCTGATTGGCTGGTGCCCATAGTTTGGAAAATAACACCAAGTTGGAAAGTAGAAGAAATTACAGAAGCTGGGAAATTACTTTGTTAAAGACAAAGTAACCTGCTCTGAGAACTCTGAGAGTAATACAGAAAGATGTTCTTAAAACACTTATAGTATGTTGGTTGGGCAGGGTTTGTGAGTGTGTGTCTGTGTCTGTGTCTGTATAGTGACTATAATATCTGATTTCTATAAGCTACTTTTGAAAAGTATCCTTTTATATAACATCAATGAACTGTAGTTGTAAAAATAAAACCAAGAGAACATATAGTAAATTTCAAAATATTTGTAAGTGCTGCAGGGAGAGATTGGTGATGGCCTCGTTAAAAAGGTAAAAGTTAAATAGGAACTTAAAGGATGGGCTTAGAATGTGTGTAGGTTGGAGAGAGAGTCAGCACATTCCACTGATGGTAATGTGATGGTAAATGTAATAGAATTGGGAATATAATTGGTTTAGAATTGGGAATGAAACAATATATTCAGGAAGAGTGAGAAGTAGCATCTAGCGATAATATAGAATTCACATTGGTCATGAGTGGAAGACTAAACTGAAAAGGAGAGGCCAGATTATAAAGTGATTTAGACTTTATCTTGTAGGCAGTGGGTCTCTCTCTCTGTCTGTCTCTGCCAACATGTGCCGCTCCATCTCTCTTGGTTACTGTTTGTATTGTATATCATTTTTCATCCTTTTACTTTTAAGTTGTTTGTGTCTTTGAATCTAAAGTATTAATTCCTAGGGATAGATTATAGTTGCAGCTTTCTTTTTATATAGCCTTTTGATTGTATGCTTAGCTCTTTCACATTTTATGTAGTGTGTGATGTAGCTGGAATTACATGTGCCATTTTGCTCTTTGTTTTCTATATCTCTCATGTTATATTTGTTCTTCCGTTCTTCGTTACTATCTTCTGTGTTGAACAAATATTTTTTAGTGTATCGTCTTAAGTCTGCTGTTGATTTTTAACATTAAATTATTTTCTTAGTGGTTGCTCTAAGAATTACAGTTTACATTCCAATTTATCACCATTAACTTTAGGTTAATACTGACCTAATTTCTGTAAAATATAGCACTTGTGCTCCATTATAACTGTTTTCTCCCCCTCCTTTTTGCTGTTATTGCCTTATATATTACATTTATTTACGTTATAAACCCAACTGTTATCATATTCTGTCTTTTAATGAAATTAAGAGGAAATAAAAATATATCTATAGTCTTTTATATTTTCTCATTTATATTTAATATATCTGGTGGTCCTCACTTGTTTTTGTGAATTCCAGTTAACATGTGGTGTCATTTTCTTTTAGCTCAAGGTACTTGTTCAAGTATTTCAACTTATTCTCCATCTTTTTTTTTAAGTGTGAGGATGTCTTTATTCTTCCTTTCTTGCTTGAAGAATACTTTTGCAGTAAATAGAATTCTTAGTTGATAGTTTTTTTTAATTTTTTGTTACTGCCTTCTAGCTTCCGTTTTTTCCTGATGATTAGTCGGCTATTAATTGTATTGTTTTTCCCATGTATGTGATGAGTGATTTCTCTGTTGCTCCTCTCATGTTTTTTTTTTTGGTGGCTTCAAACTGTTTAAATGTGAAATGCTTAGATGTTGATCCCTGTGTTTATCATATTTTGGGTTCATTGATAATTTTTTTTTCTTTTCTTTCTTTTCTTTTTTTTTTTTTTTTGAGACAGAGTCTCTCTCTGTCAGCCAGGCTGGAGTGCAGTGGCACGATCTCGACTCACTGCAACCTCTGCCTCCCGGGCTCAAGCAATTCTCCTGCCTCCGCCTCCCGAGTCGCTGGGATTACAGGGGTGTGCCACCACACCCGGCTAATTTTTGTATTTTTAGTAGAGATGGGGTTTCACCATGTTGGCCAGGCTGGTCTTGAACTCCTGACCTCAGGTAATCCACCCGCCTCGGCCTCCCAAAGTGCTGGGATTATAGACGTGAGCCACCGTGCCTGGCCGGTTCATTGATCTTCATGGTTTGATAGATTAGTGGTTTTCAGCAAATTTGGGGAATGTTCAGCCATTATTTCTTCTAACATTTTTTTCTCCTTTCTCTTTTTCCAGTTCTGCTTTTACACATATGTTGATATGTGTGATGTTATCCCAGAAGTATCTGAGGCTCTGTTTATTTTTCTGCAGTATTTTTTCCCTCTTTGTTCTTTCTTTTGGACAATCTCTATTTCTTCAAGTTCACTGGGTTTTTTTTTTTAATGCCATCTCAAATATTTTCTTGAGGACATAGTGAATCTCATTTTTGTTATAATGTGTTTCAACTCTAGTTAATTCTCATGTTTTAAAAGTTAGCATTTCTTTATTGAGATTCTCTGTGTTGTGCAATTGTCATTTTTCTTTAATTTTTAAAATATGGTTTCCCTTAATTTTTTGAACTTAATTATAAATTATAATAGCTGCTTTGTATTCTTTATCTGCTAAATCCAACAGCTTTGCCCACCAGGAGTTAATTTCTGTTGACTGCTTTTTTTTAACCTGATTATAGGTCAACTTTTCCTGTAGTTTGCATGTCTCACAATGTTTTTTTCCAATTGAACATATTATATAATATATTGTAGCAATGCTAGGTTCTGAATTTTTTTGAGACAGATTCTGGCTTGTTTTCTAGGCTGGAGTGCACTGGCATGATCTCAGCTTACTGCAGGCTCCACCTCCTGGGTTCAAGCAGTTCTCCTGCTTCAGCCTCCCGAGTATCTGGGATTACAGGCATGCGCCACCAAGCCCGGCTAATTTTATATTTTTAGTAGAGACTGGGTTTCACCATGCTGGTCAGGCTGGTCTTGAACTCCTGTCCTCAGGTGATCTGCCCGCCTGAACCTCCCAAAGTGGTGGGATTACAGGCGTGAGCCACTGCACCCTGCCACTTTCAGCATTTTTTGATGATCCTATATGTGAGTTGGGAAGTATATTCAAAATTCTGACATTTTTCACATTAGCCTTGGCTTTTACTTTCTCCGGGGCTCTGTTGAGCCTCCCTCCACCCCCATATGTGCACTGCCTGTCAGACAGTTATGTGTGGGGAGCTAATTTAGGCCCTCTGTGCCTCTCTCATTTCCAGTATCCCCTTATTACATTTCTGGGTGTCCTTCTAGTCTGTCATTTTCTCTAACTGGGACTACATTCTCATTTTAGCAGAGCTATGGGCCTTTCCCCTTTCTGTCCTTCCAAATTTGCTATTTTTATTGCCAGTGCTACTAGGCATGGGTTTTTGCTCTCTATCCTAAATGACCATAGCCCTCTGGTTTTCACTGCCAACACTGCCCTGGGAAAACTGCCTCACTGATTGAGTTGGGTGGTTGTAGGGGGATGGTAGCATCGCTTGGCAAAGAAGGCCATTTTCCTCTACTGTTCTGTCATATCTAGCAGCTTTTCAAGAATAAATGCTTCTCAATTTGTTGTTGCCTTTGCTCAGTTTCCAGAGCCCTGAAGTGATTGTTTTCTTCAGTGTACTTCAGTTTTATAAGTATTGTGGGGGAGTAGATTTGCTACTGTCATCATTCTGCTGTACCTGGAAATCTCTCCTCAAACTTTCTAACCCCTTAGGACCCTGTGTCCCCTACACCCACTTTAATTCAATCTAGTCAGTTTTTTTCACCATTGTTCTACTGAAACCATTCTTGTAAGAGTCACCAACATCTTGCATTTTCATAGCAATTGTTATTTTCCTGTGTTTATCTAGCCATTATCCTTCTGCCTATTTCTTGAATATGCCAAGCCCACCACTGAGTTTTTACATTTGCAGTTCCCTGTAACCATCTTCCCTAGATCTTCACATGGTTCTTACCTTTATATCATCCAGGTTGATGTTCATATCTTAACCTCCTTCATAAGGTTTTCTCCGGCTTCCTTATGTAAAATGTAGATATTTCTAAAGTAACGCAATAGGAACAGAAGAGTAAACATAGATGAATATTTAGGTCCTTATACTTGCTTCACTTAATGCATCTTTCAGTAGCTTTTGACATAAATCATCACTCAGTTTTTCTAAAAATTTTTTAACGTGGCTTCTAAGATAACATTCTTTCTTATTTTTCTTCCTGCTTTATTAACTACTCCACTCTGTCCTCTATTTTTCATTTCATGAATTTTTTTTCTGTATGAACTTCTTCCGTAGGTGATATCATTAGGTACCCTTGCTTTAAATCTTCTTTATCTAGATGACTCCCAAATGCATTTTTCCAGCCTTAGCTTCTACCCTGACCTCACATGAATGTCGTATAAGGATTTCAAACTTAATAGATAAAAACTTAATAGGTTAAAAAAAACTTAATAGATAAAAAACGAAACTCTTGATCTACTTTTTCCTTCAAATTTATTCTCTTAAATTTTTAGAATGCTTTTTTTTTTTTTTTTTTTTTGAGACGGAGTCTTGCTCTGTTGCCCAGTGCTGTGGCGTGATCACAGCTCACTGCAGCCTCCACCTCCTGGGTTCAAATGATAGAATGCTTTTCTGAAAGGTAAATCTGATTGTATCACTTTCCTGGTCAAAACCTCCATTAGCTTCCCTTTACATTTAGAGTGAAATTCAGTTTCTTACCATGTTTGATGAAGGTTTATATGATCTTGTGCCTGCCTGCCTCTCTGAACATAACTCCTACCTCTCTGAACTTAACTCCCACCTTTCTCTCCTTACTCAGAATGATGCAGCCGTATTATCTTTCTGGCTATTTCTTGAATATGCCAAGCCCACCACTACTAGGTTTTTACATTTGCAGTTCCCTATAACCACAGTGCTGTTTCCTCAGATCTTCACATGGTTCTTACCTTCATATCATTCAGGCTTGTGTTCATATCTTACCTGTTTCATGAGATTTTCTCTAACTTCCTTATCTAAAATAAGACATTTTTAAAGCAACACAATAGGAAGAGTAAATGTAGATGAATACTTAGATCCTTGTTCTTGCTTCACTTATGCATTCTTTTTGATCAAAAGTATTATGCACAATCTTATCAACTTCTGTTATCTGGGAATTTAATACTCTGTTACCTTGGTTAGTGAGTCTGGAAAAATAAATAACTTATTTTAACATAGTTGGCTATGTTAAAAAAATCAGTCTTAATAGCTGTATGTTATGAGAGGAATGAGTATTGATTTACTAGCAGTTCTCCCTCAAAGCCAGCTACCTAAATGTGAATTAACAAAGTATAGAGGCTGGGCGCTGTGGCTCACGCCTGTAATCCCAGCACTTTGGGAGGCTGAGGCAGGTGGATTGTCTGAGGTCAGGAGTTCGAGACCAGCCTGGCCAACATGGTGAAACCCTGTCTCTACTAAAAATATTAAAATAATTAGCTGGGCGTGGTGGCAGGCGCCTGTAATCCCAGCTACTCAGGAGGCTGAGGCAGGAGAATCGCTTGAACCCAGGAGGCAAAGGTTGCAATGAGCCGAGATCACGCCATTGCACTCCAGCCTGGGTAACAAGAGTGAAACTCTGTCTCAAACAAACAAACAAAAAAACAAAGTATAGAAATACTTCCAGAAATAGCTTCAATTTGGAATGGAAATGGACACAATTTTGAAGTTGGTAGTTTTCTATGTTCCTCTCTCTGTACTAGTCAACACTTAAGAGTCTTTTGTTAGTTATTTGTTAAAGTAATTGTACTGTACTTTCTGACTTATTTTCTGTTTACTTTCGGACTTTCTGTTTCCGTTACTTTTACTAACAAGTAATGGAATGAAAGATTGATATCTTATAAAAGGATTTTAAATACCATTGTACACATAAGCCCAACTCCGAAAGGTCAGTTTAAAGGAACATTCACTTCTGCTCTCATCTTCTAAGAACTAGAAGCCATCCTACCCTTCCTATTCTAGGATAGCTATCTTTATCTGGTTCTTTGGTCCCAACGCATCCTCATCCCCATCCTTCTTGGCCTCTTTTCTGACCGTAACACCATTTCCTTTCCAGATTCTCAGGTGTATACTTTATGTTTTCTAGCTCTTCTAAATCATTACTTTAACTAAAGCTTTATTTTTTTGGCTAGAAAGCTGGCATTTTGGTATTGCTTCTGTGTGTTATGTAATTTGTCCTTCATTAAGTGGATTTCTGTCAGTCAAGTATATTGTTGGACTATAATAACCTCTTTGTTAATGTACAGTCTAGTCAGATTTACTGCTGCGAAGTCTGTGGTATTAAGAAATCATCATATTATTTAGTGATTTCTTTTTTTGAAGAATGAACATAACTTTGAAACTTCCCAAAGGGAAAATAGTTTTGTGTGGTCTACAAATCTATCAGGACTGTATAATTTCTTTTCTTTTCTTTCTTTTTTTTTTTTTTTGAGATGGAGTTTCGCTCTGCATTCACTTTTTCTAAAACTTAGCAACTGAGCTCTTTTCATGGAGTTGATGCTCAGTTTTTTTTTTCACTGCATCTTAGAAAACAATAAGGTCAAGCTATTTGTGGTAAAGTAACAGTTCTTACAGTTTTGAATTCATGGGAGACTGTTGTTTTTGTGAAATATACAAATGAATTGCTAGAAAGATGAAATTTTTAAAAATATAAAATATGGATCCTAATTCTTATTACCATATTCTTAGATATCAATTTATTCTCTCATTGTTATAAAAGCTCTAAACACTCTCAATTTCTGTATTTGTCTTATTGGAGAGCAGTAACAGATAGTTCATGGACTAGTAACAAATATTTTGCAGATCAGAACCAGTCTACAGATCACACTTTTTAGTAGCATATCTATAGCTTGCTAATTTTAGTGCTTAATGTTATTTCAGAAGCATCTTGTTCAATATGATGAATAGCTGTTATCCTTTAAAAATATATTTTTATGTGTTTCCTTTTCAGAATCGAGAGCTCCAGATCATGAGAAAGCTAGATCACTGTAACATAGTCCGATTGCGTTATTTCTTCTACTCCAGTGGTGAGAAGGTAGGTTTGACACAAAGTGTGTACTGAATATTGTGATAAATTTGTTATTTTTCTAGAAATTAATCTCCCCACCGCTCATAGACAGTTTTGCTAATGGAATGGAAAAATTCCGAAACACTTGCCCCAGCAATACTCAGCCCAAGGTATGGTCATTGATATCATTAGTTATATCAGGAAAGCATTAGTAAGATAAAGGGAATGCACTTTTAAGAATTTTCTTCTTTGTTAAAGTATGTCTTCACTTCTCAAGAAAATCTATATACTTTTTTTTTTTTTAAAGACATCTATGTTCCTTATGTGCTTACGCAGCCCTCTGATAGTTTACCTATTTATTGCAGGGAGGAAAATTAAGTCATTTTGTTAAGTGAAGTTGATAAGAGGTAAAGAGGTAGCAAGAGGACTGATAGGAACAGAATGAGAGTTAAACATTTGGAAGCAAGTTGAGCCATCCTTGGCCAGTGAAAAAGTTGGAAAAGATGTAATATTGCAGAGCTTACTTTAAGTGATCCCTATGTCTGACCACATTGAATTCTGCGAAACCAAAGGATAAAGAAGACTTTGTGCTGTTAATAACTCCTTCCAACCTCTTTCTCTTCAGAAGACACAATAATCAATGAAGTTGGAGCAAAGAAAATAAATTTCTTCTGTTTTTCCTTGGTGTCTTTATTTTTCTGCCTGTCGCTATCCTTTCTTTCTTTTCACTGGTTTGGAGTGCATACGCAGGGCAGGTAACAAATCACTTGATTCTTTTGGCTAAATAAATATGACTTTGGATAACTTCAGTTGGTATTTTGGACTTCAGATTTCATGCATATAATATCTAATGTTCTTAGATCCATAATACTTGATTCCTAGCTCAGTGTTCTTGTTACTTTATGTAACTGTTTTTTAGTATAACAGTTTTTAGCCATTTTCTATTAAGCTTTTTTTTTACAGCAAATATTGCCTGACAACATTTTCTATTAAACTTTATTTAGATTATTTCCATAGAAAGTCTTTTTACATTACAGTGCCTATTATATAGGAAGATGTCAATGTATTAAGCCCGAATTTTGATATAAATACCTACAGTCATATAATTGTTGTGTATATACACATGTATTACACAATACGTTTTAACAACTATAGTTAGCAAATTGGCCCTTTATTGACACTTGCTTTTCAGTTGCTTTTTTTTTTTTTCAGTTTAAATGATACCTCTGGTTTACTAGGGATTGTGAACCCTCATAAGTATTAGAGCTTTTTAAAACCTACCAAATGGCCTGTTATTATCTTTATTCTGATCTGTTTTGGCATGTGTTTGCTTTTTCCTGTCTCTTCCTAAGTAAAATTGTACAGCCTCTGTTAGGTTCACAAGTACACTCTTTGTAATGAAATTTTGCATCTTCATTTTGTTGTTGTTGTTGTTGTTACTAGATACATCATGATACTCCTGGGTAAGAATTATTTGTTCCATAAACTGCTGGATTACAATAGATTCATTTGAAAAAAGGCCTCCTCCCAGAGTTCTTAAACATTTTCTCTTTGATTACTTACTTTAATGTATATAGCATTCCTTATATGCTAGGCACTGTTTTAATGCTTTATAAATATTAACTCATTTAACTCTTAAGAAGTTGAAGAGCAGAAAAGAAAGACTATCAAACCGTTTGAATGCAAGGCATCTGATGGCTTACTTGTCTGGTTTTGGTTTGGTGGAAAGCTCCTGTCATAGTCAGCTCTTGCCCTGACTTAATCCTGCATTGGGGGTGACAACTGACTGCCTCTTATCTGTATGCCCCAGAGGATAATTTCCTCTCTGCTGCTGTTCTCAGTTTCTTACTTATCTTAAAGGTTCTTACAGATAAAGAGCAATTAGAAGTCATTAACAGAGATTAACCTCTATTATAAAAAGTAATAGACCTAATATTTTCTTTATGTCAGAACTTTCTCTTGAGCTTTGTAAATTTTCCAAAAATTTTTTTAAAAAAAGATACCTCCTAATTTTGGGATAGCTTCATTAAAAACAAAAAGGAAGAAGAGAAGAAAAGTTGTGATATATTGCTGAAAATAATGGTCCTTCTTTGTCAATAAAGGAAATTTTTCTAAGATGTGCAGAAATACATAGGTTCAAGACTTCCCGTAATCTCCCAGCCACCAAAGAGAGAATTTCTTTTTGCCCCATTCATGATCTCCACTTCTGAATTGTTCTGGCAGGACTAAGATATCCTTCAGGAGATCAAGTAGTAAACTATTTCTTCCCATAGGAGAAGATGGATTCTTTTCTAGGGTTGAGTGCTCAGGTTAGTTATTTTCAGTTCTGACTTTCTTGGAATAGGTTACTGAGAGTATCCACTGCTGTTTAGAAAGGAACCTAAATGTCTGTGAAATTCTTGCAAATCCTTGAAGATGATTTATCTTGGAATGTGGCAGTCCTATATTTGGTAGGCATTTTTCTAGCAGAAGCATTATGTATTGCTTATGTATATTATATATGAGAAGAGTTTTGGAGGAGGAAATAATAAATTAATCATTTGAGATGCTTATGACACATGCAAGTAGAGATTCCCAGTAGATGGATAGATGTGTGACTTCGTAGATGGTGGTGGTGGCTCTAGGTGGAGAAGTGACATTGACAAAGTAGGATAAAGAGGGCGTGTAGCCATGTGGAGCTTGGTGGGGAGGAGACATGGAGTGCTGTTTGAGGCCAGGACAGTGAAAAATCAGCGGTTTGGCAATATTTATTGCCTTCTTTTTCTAGAATTTGTCAGGAGGTGACCAGTCTTCATTTGAAAGAACTGCAAGGAAACCAGTGCCTTTAGGTGAGATTCAGGTTTTCTCTAGAGCAAAACGGTAAAAAGAACCCTGCATGAAGAAATTGAGGTCATTAGAAATTTTCTTCTTGAGGTTTCAGTTTTCTTTTTGAGGTTTCTTTTGACGTTTAGGTGAGATCCAGGTTTTCTCTAGGGTAAGACAGTAAAAAGAAACCCTCCATGAAGAGATTGAGGTTATTAGAAATTTTCTTTTTGAGGTTTTTGAGAGAATGTTATGGGAGGGAGATCAGTGATAAGAACATGAGCCTACAGGAAGTTTGAGGAGGCAATTAGGGAGATTAGTTGAGGACATTGTGAAGATGAGAAAGAATAACTCATTGTTTCAGGATTAGAGAGATTAAAGGCTTGGTTAGGTTCTAGAATAGATGACTTAAAATGCATTTGGGAATTTAAAAAAATTCTCTCATTCTCTATAACATCTCTGACTTTCTTTCCCTCTTTTTTTTCTATCAGTCTCTTTCTCTAGCCCTTTTTTCGCCTTTGTCTTTAGTCTTCACCTTTCTGGATTCCTCAACCTTTCACTGTAGGCTCCAAGTCTCTATCTTTCTGTCTCTGGGCTTTTGTCCCCCCTCTCTTGGTCTGTGTCACCCCCTTTTTGGATTTCTTTTCCCTCCATATAACTCTTTCTCTTTTCTCTGTCTCTTTCTTTCTTGTCTCTCTCTTCTCCCCCACACCCTTTTTCTCTCTGTCTCTCTCCCTCTCTTATTTCCTTTTTATGGGTCTCCATCAACCTCTTTCTCTGGGTTTCTATACCTGTCTTTCAATGGGATTTTACCCATCCCACTCTCTTTCTGATTGCTTCTAAATCTGTATATGGGTTCTCATCTGTCTTAAATCTTCTTCGTTGTCTCTCTTAGTGTCTCTTCTCTCTGGGCCTCTATTACTCCCTTTTTGGAAAATGTTAAGGAAAACAACTAAATTATTCACTACTACTGTCCTGACCTTTGACTTCAGTTCTGTGTATCTTATTCCATACGTACATGTTTATATAGGTATATGCATAATTATTTATGATCTCATAAAGATTTTTTTCTCTTGCCTCATAATATGTATAGGCATTTTGGTTATCTAATATTCCATTGTTATACTATATAATATTTTATCTATTCCCACATTGTTATTTTTAATTTTAGAATTGTAGCTAAGCTACCCTGTGGCCTTGTCATAATTTCTGTCTGTAAGTACTTTTGCAGCTCTGGGAGAATTAAAGTAGGATTTCTGTAATAACAGGCATGTTTTACATTTCATTGACCACAGTTTGACTGAATGATATGTCTATTTTGGTAACCTTCTTTTTATTGTATTCTGCCTTTTGCATTTTAAAGACTTTCTTTAGGGATAGTGGATAATCAGCTTTTATCCTGTAACAGGGGAAAGGGGTAGCCAATGTAACTAGAAGAAAGAGGAATTAAGTTAGGACAGAGATTAGAGATGTGTACTAATTAGCCTTAGTTTTCTGGTTGGAATTATTAATGTTTGCTGTAGTAACTAGAGCATCATGTAGTCAATTCGTATACTCTATGTTACCCAGTAGTAACTAACTATGATTTAGTTTAGAGTAAGTAGTACCTCCTCTCTTACCTTCCCATTAGAGAAAAATGAGATATTTGAGTGTTTTGAAACCCTGGGCTTATAGTTTTGTGAGTTGCAAGTATCTTACAGAATAGTCTTTCTCTTTTTTTAATATTTGGCAGTAGAAACTTTCTACATCCCCAATGAAATTTTCTGAAGACCTCTGATAGAACATATGAAAAGCAGAGTTGCCCTAGTTGAAGCTAAGGTGTGGGATCAGATGATTTTGCCTTTTCTGAGTTATAGCTTACCCCAAAGAACTCTAGGACTCTGAAGATCATATGATAAAAACCATGTTATGAGCTGGGTGTGGTGGCTCACGCCTGTAATCCCAGCATTTTGGGAGGCCGTGGCGGTTGAATCGAGACCAGCTTGGCCAACGTAGTGAAACCCCATCTCTACTAAAAATACAAAAAATTATCTGGGTGTGGTGGTGGGTGCCTGTAATCCCAGCTACTCGAGAGGCTGAGGCAGGAGAATCGCTTGAACCCAGGAGGAGGAGGTTGCAGTGAGCCGAGATTGCCCCATTGTACTCCAGCCTGGGCAACAACAGTGAAACTCCGTCTCAAAAAATAAAAAATAAAAATAAAAACTGTGTTATGTCTTCACAAGATCCTTAAATTTTATTTCAATCAATTAATAGTTTTCTGTAAGAAAAACTTCTCTAAGTAACTTTTCATTTAAAAGTTTTTTTCCTTGTGGTTCATAGATTACTTTAATAATAAAGCGAAAAACCTCTGCCTTCTACTTTGTGAGAGACTGTTCAAATAACAAAGATGACAGTTGATTTTATTTCTCATGCCACCTTTGTTCTATTGATAGTAATGGGGGCCTGTATCCAGAAGGGGAGGATTGTACCACTGCATCTGGGATCAGGGAGCAGAATGCTGTGCTTAATTTTGCTGGTCTACCACTAGCTCTGGAGAGGAAAGGGTAGGGGTGACATATATGCCAAGGATTCATTCTGAAAAGTAAAGAGCACTGGCTTTGTAGCTAGAAATATTTGAGTTTGCATTCCATTTCTGCCACTTGATAGTAGTATGACTCTGGGCAAGATATTTACTTTTATAAGCCTCCTCCCCGCCATCTGCACAGTAGGGGTTTTGTAAGGAACAAATGTAATAAGGTTATCACGTGCTCATTATAGTACCTGGCATATAAATTAACACTTAATAAACATTAATTTACTATTTTACCTATTATTGTGTTTATTAATAGCAAATATATATTGCGCTTTTTATATGTCAAACATTGTCCTGAGCTGTTTACATATTTTATAACTCACTTAAACCTCATAGCAACCAATTAAAGAATGAGTTTTATAGAAGCACTATTTTATAGAAGAAACTGATACAACAGCCGTTAAGTAAGTTACCATACAACTACTAAATGGCAATGTTGGGCGTCAGCTCCAAGTAGTCTGACTCCAGAGTCTGTATAGTATGCTATAGTGTTTAGCATAGGACGTACATTCCTCCAGAAGCAGTGTGCTAGAAATAGAACATTAAAAAATATCTTAGTAAATTATCAAACAAGGGGAGATTATAATATTAATAGTAGTATTACGCCAGTCAAGGTGGTTTACGCCTGTAATCCCAGCACTTTTGAGAGGCCGAGGCGGGTGAATCTCCTGGGGTCAGGAATTTGAGACCAGCCTGGCTAACATGGTGAAACCCCATTTCTACTAAAAATAAAAAAAATTAGCCAGGTGTGATGGCAAGTGCCTGTAATCCCAGCTACTCAGGAGGCTGAGGCAGGAGAATCGCTTGAACCCAGGAGGCAGAGGTTGCAGTGAGCCGAGATCGAGCCATTGCACTCCAGCTTGGGCAACAAGAGCGAAGCTCCATCTCAAAAAAAAAAAAAAAAAATTAGTAGTAATAGTTGCAGTACTAGAAGTAGTGGTATTGATAATAATAGCTAAAAGGTATGAGATACTATATGCCAGGCATTAATCTAAACACATTACTTATATTTACTCATTTAATCTTCACAACGGTTCTATGAAGAGGAGATGGAGAGAAGTTAAGTGACGTGACCTGCCCATAGAGTGATTTAAACCAGTATTTTAAATTTCTAGTTTGCAGGAAGTATGTGACTCTTCTAAAATAAAGATTGTGCATTTTTTCGAGGGAGCTAGCTTGGGTGTTTTATTAGGTTTTCAAAGAAATCTCTGACCCCCAAAAGATAAAACAGAACCATCAAGCCATTCACCCAAGAGCCAAGGAGATATAATTATAGCAAGCTATGTAAATATTTATAAATATTTATTAGAAATGTTTTGATGAGATTTGAGCCCCCACAGTCTAGCTCTGGATTCCATTAACCTTCCCTAATACCACCACTCTTAATTTCAGTATATGTTTTTCTTTTAATAAAGAACTTTTATCAGAGGTTTCTAAAACTTGTATGTATGTATGTATATGTACTCATTTCTAATTCAGTTTTAACTTTTTCGAGAGCAGGTATGTGTGCATATGGTTATATTAAGGGATGAAAGAAAGAAAGAAAAGGCCAAGAACAGTTCCTTCTTAATTTTGAAGCAGTATAGTATAAAGAATCAATTTGAGTATGAATGGTGACTCTGCTGTTCATGTGTCTGGCCATGAGGACTGGCTATGTGTCCTCAAGCAAATTGCTTAATTTTTCTCCTTATCGCTAAAATGAGGGTAATATATGTATGTATAATATATATACTTGTGTTTTATATATATTTTTATATATATACTTGTGTTATATACACCATGTGTATACACACACACACACACACACACAAACACACACACACACTTTTGTTACTGTGAAAATTGTGGCCATGTAAGTAAAATGTTTATAGTATCATGTATTAGTTTTTCTTTCATTACCTCTAACCATTAGTTCTTGGTGTTCCCTAGGGTTTTATTCTCCATTTTTCTTTACTTTCATACTTATCCTGGGCCATATTCTCAATCCTTGTGACTTCAGTGACTCTCTAATGTTTATCTTCAGTTGAGGTCTCCCTGATGAACTCTAGAGCCTCAAATTTTAGTACCAACCAGAAATCTCTACCTGGAAGCCTGAGCCGTCAACATTTAGCATGTTAGAATTTACGACTCCCCTTATCCTTGCTATATATCAATTATTAAAATAAGAAACCTGGATGTTATGCTAGACCTTTTTGTTGACTTATTTGAATCTGTTCTTTCTATTTCACTGATAATGCTGCCTTAGTTCAGGCCCACATTATTTCTTATCTAAACTCTTGGTGATTTCTCTTCTTCTAGTACATACCTTTACTTCCTCCCCACCCCTAGCCTAAACAGTATTTTAAAACAGGGATAAATCATAGATTATTCTAAACAATTAGAAGAGACAATATGGGTCATTGTCTTAAGAATTTATTGTCTGGGTTTACCAAAAGCTTTATATGATCAATTAGCATTGGAGATGTTGGAGATGGGAGTTGTGACCATCCCTAATATAACATGGCAGCAGGCAATCCTTCTGATTGTATCACTTCTTCAGTTACCTAAAAGGTAAATTCCAGATTTCTTAGCATGACATACAAGGTCTTTGAACATCTATATCGTGACCTTACTTGACTCATCTCTCCTTTCTCACAGGCTATCTATGTTCTAGCCTTGCCCAAAGTATGTGCAATTGTCAGAATATGTTGTATTATCCCTGTTAATGCAAATACCTTCTGGAATGCTTCTTTCCTACCCTCCACCCCTGCTCTATTTTTGTTGAGTTCTTTTTCATTGTATTGTCTCTGCTCAAAAGTAGCTCCATCTGATATCTCACTATTTTCTCTCCCCCCAGCCCCCCTTTTAGCCCCAAAAGCTTCTCTCTCCTTGGAATATCTTGCACATACCTCTTTCATGACATTTTTCTTGTATTTTAATTATTTTTTTTTTAACTAGATCTTTTTACTAGGTTGTGTAATTCTCAGCAGCATGGTGAGATTTTATTAATTTTGTTTCTTTAATGCTTAGCCCAGTGCCTGAGACAATGTGAAGTTGGCTATGTAGATTTATTGAAAGCCTTCTAGATAGTCGTAGAAAACTGAGAGCTAAAATAGGCTCAGCCCAGATATTAACTTTTGTTTTTTGAAGTATATTAAGATTTATTATAGGTATTACAATAACTATTTCTATAGATTGTGTTATTGTAAAGGAATTATTTTCTTAATTTTACTTTTGGGATATTCATTGCTGAATATCAATATATAATTGTATAGAATTCAAGAGCATTAATTACGTATATGATATAATGCAGCTATCACTGTTATTTTTAAAACATTTTCCGTTTTATCACGAAATGGAATTGGAGTTTATCAGATGCCCTTTTGGTGATAATTGAAATGATCGTGTGGGGTTTTTTCCATCATTTTATTAACATGATATATTACATTGATTTTCTTATGTTGAACCACTGTTGTATTCCTGAGATAAAGGATTATACCCCAATCTTGGTCATGGGGTATAATCCTTTTAATATGCTATTAGATTTCATATTCTAGTATTTTCATGAGGATTTTTGCGTTTATATTTATAAGGGATATTGGTTGGTAATTTTTCTTTTTTGTGATGTGTTTATCTGGCTTTGGTATAGGGTAATGCTTGCCTTGTAGAATGAGGTAAGAAGTGCTCCTTCCTTTTCTATTTTTTTTAGAAGAGTCTTAGAAAGATTATTGTTAATTTCTTCTTTAGTAAACTGGCAGAAGTTACCACTGAAATCATCAGGTCCTGGACTTTACTTTGTTGGGAGGTTTTTTTCTTTATTACTAATTAAATCTCTACTTGTGTGTATGTTTGTTAAGATCGTCTGTTTCATTTTGAGTCAGTTTGATAATCTGTGTATTTGTAGGAATTTGCCCATTTCATCCAGGTTGTCTAATATGTTAACATACGATTATTTGTAGTATGCTGTTTTCATCCTTTTTGTCTCTGTGAGGTTAGTAGTAATGGCCCCACTTTCATTTCTGATTTTAATTCTTTTTCTTTTTATTTGTCAGTCTATCCCTACATCTAAACTCTTTTAAGGGTTTGTCAGTTTTGTTGATTGAAAAGAAAAAAAACTTTTAGTTTTGTTGATTCTGTTTTTTTTCTGTTCTCTGTTTTATTCATCTCTATTCATATATTTCTTATTTCCTTCCTTCTGTTAGCTTTGGGTTCAGTTTCTTCTTTGTAGTTCTCCGGTTGTAGAGTTAGATTAATGATTTGAGATCTTCTTTCTTAATGTAAGCATTTACAGCTGTAAATTTCCTTCTGAGCACTGTCTTTGCTGCATCCCGTAAGTCTTGGTATTATGTCTTAACTATGTAAAAATTTTTCTTGTTTAAGAGTATTATCTTAGTCAGTTTAGTGCTGCTATAAAGGAATACCTGAGGCCAAGTAATTTGTAAAGGAAAGAGGTTTATGTGGCTCACAATTCTGCTAGCTAGAAAGTGAAAGTCTCAGGCTGCCTCCACTTGTGGTGGAAGGTGAAGGGGAGCCAACATATGCAGTGGTTACGTGGCCAGATAGCAGAGAGGTGTCAGGCTCTTTTTACCAACCAGTTGTAGTGGGAGGGAACTCATAGAATGAGAACACATTCATTACCAAGAGGAAGGCACAATTCCATTCATGAGGGATCCACCTCTGTGGTCCAAATACCTTCCATTAGACCCCATCTCCAACACTGAGGATCAAGTTTTACCATGAGGTTTAGGGGGACAAACAGTCCAAACTATAGCAAGTGTGTTGTCTGTTATCTTCTTTAAACCATTGGTTGTCTACAGTGAATTGTTCAATTTCCACACATTTGTGAATTTTCTGGTTTCCCTTCATTACTAATTTTTAGTTTCATTTCATTGTGGTCAGAAAAGATATTTCATATGATTTCAGTCTTTTAAAATTTATTAACATTGTTTTGTGGCCTAATATATGGTCTATCCTGCATAGACCTATGCTCAGGTGCAAAATAATGTGTTCTCTGCTATTTGGGGGTGGCTGTATTCTGTATATGTATGTTGGGTCCAGTTGGTTTTTAGTGTTGTTCAAGTTATCTGTTTCCTTATTGATCTGTCTTGATGTTCTGTTCATTATTGAGAGTGGTATATTGAAGTCTCCAACTATTGTACAGCTGCCCATTTCTCCCTTCTATTCTGTTAGTCTTTGTTTCATGTATTGGGGGCTGTGTTGATTGGTGCATTTGTGTATATAATTGTTATAGCTCCTTGATGACTTGATTTTTTTAATCAACATACGATACCCAAGGCTAGGTGCATTGGCTCACACCTGTAATCCCAGCACTTTGGGAGGCCAAGGCAGGTGGATCACCTGAGGTCAGGAGTTCGAGACCAGCCTGGCCAACATGGCAAAACCCCATCTCTACTAAAAAATACAAAAATTAGCCAGGTATGGTGGTGTGCGCCTGTAATCCCAGCTACTCAGGAGGCCGAGGCAGGAGAATCACTTGAACCTGGGAGGCAGAGGTTGAAGTGAGCTGAGATCCTACCACTGCACTCCAGCCTGGGTGACAGAGCGAGACTTTGTCTCAAAAAAAAAATATATATATATATATATTTTTTATATATATTTATATTTTTATATATATTTATGTTATTTATATATATAACCTGAAGCCTTTTATTTTTTTCTTCTGGACACCGTTCTGGCTAGAGTCTCTAGTACAGAAGAGATAAATGCAGATAAATGCTTACTAGAAGAGATAAATGCAGACATTCTTGTTCTTGCTCCTGATTTTAGTGGCAAAGCATTCAGTCTTTCATCTTCAAGTGTGATGTTAGTCTTGGGTTTTTCATAGATATAGTGTTATCAGTTGAGGAAGTTCTCTTCTATTTCCAGCTTGTTGAAGCATTTTTATGAAAGGGTGTTGGATTTTGGCAAGTGCTTTTTCTCTATTGATTATGTGGTTTTTGTTTTTATTAAAATGGTGTTTTATATAAGTTGATTTTTGAATGTTAAACCTACCTTACATTTCTGAGATTAATCTCACTTGGGTCATAGTGTGTAATCATTTTTATATGTTGCTAAACAGTACTTTGTTAAGAGTTTTTGCATCTATATTCATAAGGGATATCGATCAGTAGTTTTATTTTGTTTTTGTTTTCCTTGTCATGTCTTTGGTTTTAGTATTGGGTAATACTGGCTTCATAGAATGACATTGAGAAGTATTCCCTCTGCTTCTGTTTTTTGAAAGAGTCTGTGAAGAATTGGTTTTAATACCAATTAATAGGAACTATTTAGATAAACAGTGTAGAACTGATGTATGCCAAGGAGTACAGAGTATTTTAAAGACTTGGTGATGTTTAATAGCACAGTGTGTGTAGAGGAGATACAAGTAGTTTGAAATTGCTGGTATATAAAGTTGGGGTAGTGGGGATTGTAGTGGAGATGAGGCTAGGAAAGTAAAAGTGGGTTCATATATGATTAGGTCAAGGTCAGCCTCCTAGTATAAAAATAATTTTGTTGTCGTTGTTCTTTTTCAATTAGATGAAAACCCCAAATTACAGAAATGGTACCTTGATCAGGTTGACAATATGCAATTCTCCCCTCTTTTCCTCTCTCTTTATCTTACTATATTATGAAAATTACTGATAGAAGTGAATTTTATTCAGTGAAATAAAGTGATTACCTATCTAAGTTCGCTTGGTCTATCTTCCTTAAAGTTTTATGTTGATGTCTTATTAAAGTGGTTTATTGATTATCTGGATGAAACTTGACTGATGAAATGCTAACATTTTCAATGGAGTATGACCTAGGAAGTGAATATATAAGTAATAATAAAGCTCTTGAGTTTGAATTATCAGGACCTCCTCATAAAGTATAAATGTTACTGACAGCAAATGAGGTGGTAATTATCATCTGCTCAAAAATAATCTAGGAGTTTCTTTTGAATATCAGTTGTCATCTGTTTTTATGTTATTTTAATATTTCAGCAAAACTAAAATGTTATTACATGCATACTATATAAAAAATTGAAGTAATACAGAATGGAGTAAATTAAAATGAAATATTTTTTACCCTAATCCCTAAATTCCCTAATCCCACTCTTAACAGATATAAATTTCTTATATGCATGTATGAGCACATATATTATATGTAAATTAGTAATAACATATGTATTTTGGAACATGTTCCCTTTTTACCAACAATACAGTAATAGGGCTTTTATGTCTATATGGACAGACCCTGCAAAGTTTCCCCTATTGTTAAGATATTAATATGGTACATTTGTTACAGTTAGTTAATTATTATAGTTTATTCAGATGTCCTTGGTTTTTGTCTAAGGTCTTTTGTTTATGATCCCATTTGAGATACCACATTACATTTACAAAGTATAAGAAAGAATACCACATTGAGGATCCCTCATTACAACATAATGAGATGTTAGTGGTCTTATCTTACTTACCTGCATGGCAGTTTCTTAGACTTTCCTTGGTTTTGATGATCTCGACAGTTTTTTGGAGTACTGGTCAGATGTTTTGTAGGATGCCTCACTATTGGAGTTTGTCTGCTTTTTTAATGATAAAACTGGGGTTACACGTTTTTGGCAAGAAGACAACAGAGAGGTAAAGTGTCATTTTCATCACATCATATCAAGGACATATACTGTCGACATGCTTTATGAGTGCTGTTAACTGACTTTCAACACCTGACTGATGTAGTGTTTAGTTTTCTTGACTGTAAAATTACTCTTTTCCCCACTCTTTCCATACTTTATTCCTTGGAAGGAAGTCACTATGCAGAGACTACACCTAAGGTGGGAATTATGCCCCTATACTTCTTTTCCTTAATGGTGGAGTAGCTACACAAATTATTTCAATTTATTTTGCGTAAGAGACATGTCTCTTTTCCCCCATGTATTAATCTATTTAGTCATTTATTTCTATCAGTGTGGATTTGTGGATATTTATTTTATTGGCCACATTGTCCCAGGTTTGGCCACTGGGAGTTCTGTCAACTACCTCCTGTGCTTCTTGTTTGTTTTTTTGTTTTATTTATTATTATGGTTATTATTTTTAAGAAGGAGTCTCGCTCTGCCTATCAGGCTGGAGTGCAGTGGCTTGATCTCTGCTCACTGCAACCTCTGCCTCCCAGGCTCAAGTGATTCTCCTGCCTTGGCCTCCCAAATAGCTGGGATTACAGGCGTCTGCCACCATGCCTGGCTAATTTTTTTATTTTCACAAGAGACGGGGTTTCACCATGTTGGCCAGGCTTGGCTCGAACTCCTGACCTCAGGTGATCCACCCACCTCGGCCTCCCAAAGTGCTGGGATTACAGGCGTGAGCCACCGCGCTTGGCGGCTCCTGTGCTTCTTTAACATACTATCATGTGGGCTTTTTGTTTTATTTTAAAGCATGTTTTTGTTTTCTGGCATTATAAGATAATGGCATGCAGATGTGTTTTTAATTTCTTGCTCTTCACAAATTTTATGCATGCACGAGCGTGTACACACACAGAATTGTTTTCATAGATGTAATCCCTAAAGTGTCATTGCTGAGTCTATTTGGGGGGGCTCTATGTCTTCACTTCTGAATTAATAACCCATTGCCTGCCCAATAGATTGCATGAGTTTGGACTTTCACAAGAATTGTTGTAGTTCATATTGGATGGTGATCTATTTCAATACTTAGTTTTCTCAGACTGAATTTTCTTTTCTAGTTTGATAGATGAAAAATTGTGGCTTATTGCTATCTTTATTACATTTCTTTAATTATGAGTGAGGCTGAGCATTTTTCTACAGTTTTGTTGGCCATTTTTATGACCATCTGTTAATGCGTATTTCCATATTTCCTTTCTTGTTTTTGTTTGTTTGTTTTGCAGGGGTTGGGGTGGGCAACGGCATGATTTCGATCACTGCAACCTCCACCTCCGGGGTTCAAGCAATTCTCCTGCCTCAGCCTCCAGGGTAGCTAAGATTACAGGTGTCTGCCACCAAATCCAGCTAATTTTTGTATTTTCAGTAGAGGCAGGGTTTCATCATGTTGGCCAAGCTGGTCTCAAACACCTGAACTCAGCCTCAGCCTCCCAAAGTGCTGGGATTACAAGCGTGAGCCACCGTACCCAGCCTATATTTCCATGTTTTCTGTTTGAATACTGGTTTTTTCTTGTTGACTTCCAAGTACTATTTGTGTTTTAAAGAAAAACAAATCAGGCTTTTATCATGTGTAGCAGAAGTTTATTTATTTGTTTATTTGCCAAATTGTCATGGTTTTTTTTTACTGGGTTTGTGTGAGTTTTTTTTCTTAAGGTAGTATAGATGTTTTACAGTTCTGTGTAATCAAATTGGCATTATTTTTCTCCATGGCTTAGCTCTTTTGTCTTCCAAGATTTGCAGAAATACCCATGTTTTCTTCTGGCACATTTATTATTTTTCTAAAAAAAAAAAAAAACCCTTTGGTAATTTTGGTGTTTATTTTGTTTTAAGGTGTGAGATAGGGATGAAATTTGCCTTAATCGTTGTATGCTAGGTGCCTACCCTTTCCCATTTCCTTCCCACAGCCTCTCAAGCAAAAAGGTATTCTCTTACCTAATCCACACACTCTTTACTATTAGTACTATATTCTCATCTCTAGCCAGCCTGGCGTACCCATCAGAGAAAAGATAGCTATTTTGGAGATTTTTGCCAGTTGGAATGCCCAGTCCAATTCTGATGAGAATCCTGGGTTACTGTGATGCTGCATTTGATGTCTTATTGCGGGGATCTCTAATATGTTGTATTGCATTACATCAGATTTTTAAAATTATATCATGATTCTATTAAAAATGTAACCTCAAGTCATTTTATTTCCTTGACCTCAGAAGTTATCTGGAGATAACACATCATACTAATGTGTTTTCCAAAGGTAGGATGGAGTTATCTCAGCTGTTGTTGAGTTGTTGTTACATGTGATCAAAATTTTATCACTTAAATTTCTTACTCAGTGTGTGGTTTTAATGTGGAGTTCATAGAAAAATGGTTATCAGTGATTAGAGAATAGTTTATTAATAAAATTAATAACTAGGAAAACTGAGTCATAGAGAGAAATACTCCCTAAATTATACATTATGTAATTTTTTTGGAAGTTTCTAAGTAGATCCACTTTGTATAATAGCAGATTCCTTTCAAAGGACTTCTGGCATTGACTCTTTTGCCAGTTTTTTGGAAACCTAGTATCAGTTATTTGAGGTTAGCAGACTCAGCGTTTTCAGCTCCTGCCTCCCAAATGATACTGTGTGTTCTATTTAGGTTTTTTAAATTTTTATTTTATTTTTTTATTTCTTTTTGTTTTGTTTTGTTTTTTTGAGACAGTCTTGCTCTGTCACCTAGGCTGGAGTGCAGTGGCACAGTCTTGACTACTGCAACCTCCGCCTCCTGGGTTGAAGCGATTCTCATGCCTCAGCCTCCTGAGTAGCTGGGACTACAGGTGCATGCCACCACGCCTGGCTAACTTTTGTATTTTTGGTAGAGACAGGGTTTCGCCATGTTGCCCAGGCTGGTGTTAAACTTCCGGGCTCAAGAGATCCACCCACTTCGGCCTCCCAAGGTGCTGGGACTGCTGGCGTGAGCCACTGTGCCCGGCCTATTTAGTTTTTAAAGTTTACAATTTGTGAGTATTCTAGCATTGTGTCTGAGAATCCAAAGGAGATAGATTACATTAAGGAAATAGCAAACCTGAGATGTTTCAGAAAATTACGAGTGCTAGAAATGCTGAATCCTGGTCTTCTCAAAATATTAGCATCTTTAGCCTTCTTAATTATGTTGTGCAAGAAGCTTCAAACAAAACCGTACTTTGGAACTGCAAAAATACTACTGTTTTCCCTACATATGGTGTTTCCTAGGGATGGGCACTGTCCCCTCGGGGTTATTCCCTGTGGCTATTTATTTTACATTAGAACATTTGTAAATTTAACAAGAGCATTTTTTGGTGCCTTCATATTTCTCATAGTGTAGTAAATTAGATTGTTCAGCCTATAGCAGACATGCTTTCATTAGCCTTCCTTTGATGTATTCTGCTGTGTTAATATTATGAATAAAATATGTGGCCAATAAAGGGATATCACTACTTGCAATGCAGCATGAGCTATACAAAGTAGAGTGGAATTATCTTCATTGATTTGAACACAATACTTTTGTAGCCTAATGTTGCATGATGTTTTTTATTGGTTGCATCTCAGTGTTTTTTCTTTTTGAGTTCTGTTCAATTACACTTCTTTAATTTCCAGATGTATTACTGTCAAGTTTGATCTGGAGTTCCTCTGTTCTCTCATTCTCAATAATACATTGACACTTTGATTTTAGTCATAGGGCCTTTGTTAAATTTCATATTGCAGGTTTGGTCTATCATACCAGCCCAAGTTCTTTAAATTTTTATTCAATGTTTCATTTTAAGCCATTCTTCTAGGTCTGTGTCAATCTTAGGTGGCTGTGTTGAAATCAGAGGTTATAAATTGACAGCCAAATCTATCCCATGATGTGTTTTATTTGACAAGCACATTTTTTTTTTTAAACTAGAATGCTTGTAGTTAGTTAAGTTTTGTACTGTGTGATTTACCAACTGTTGCCCCTTATTGCGTTACACAATTTGGCTTCACACTTTTACATATGTTGCTTAGCTGTTGATGGCATTTGCAACCTGTAATAAATGAAATCATTTATAAAAATATTGAGACAAGGGAAGGACAGTTTATAGTCCTGTAACTAGAAATCTCTGTTGAACTTGGCATTCATCTTTTAATCTTACATATAATTTAAATATATAAAATTAAATAAATGTGTGTGTGCATGCGCACGTGTGTGTGTGTGTGTGTGTGTGTGTGTGTGTGTGTGTGTGTGTAGGAGACAGAATCTCACTGTGTCGTCCAGGCTGGGTTGCAGTGGTGCCATCACGGCTCACTAGCCTTGACTTTTCGGGCTCAAGTGATCCTCCCACCTTAGCCTCCCGAGTCGCTGTGACCACAGGCGTGTGCTGCCAGGCCTGGCTAATTATTATTATTATTTTTTTTTTTTTTTTTTGAGGCAGAGTTTCGCTCTTGTTGCCCAGACTGGGGTGCAATGGCGTGATCTCAGCTCAGAGCAACCTCTGCCTCCTGGTTCAAGCCATTCTCCTGCCTCAGCGTCCAGAGTAGCTGGGATTACAGGCATGCGCCACCATGCCTGGCTAATTTTGTATTTTTAGTAGAGACGGGATTTCTCCATGTTGGTCAGGCTGGTCTCGAACTCCAGACCTCAGGTGATCCGCCCACCTCGGCCTGCCAAAGTGCTGGGATTACAGGCGTGAGCCACCATGCCTGGCCAATTTTTTGTTTTTTTGTAGAAATGGTGCCTCCCTGTGTTGCCCAGGCTGGTTGTGAACTCCTGGACTCAAGTGATCCTTCTGCCTTGGCCTCCTACAGTGCTGGGATTATAGGCATGAGCCACTGCGCCTGGTTCAGCCTTTATATTCTTAACTGTTAGTATGATTGTTTAGCAAATGAAGTAAATTGGAATGTAGTGGTATACACATCTCCAGGTTGTTCATAATTGTATAATGATTAATTTTGTAAAATGGATCATTAAAATCAAGAAACTTTGTGATTGAGTAATAGTTAAAAAAATGGTTTTGACATCTGTGTTAATGACCTTTCTAATACCTGAGACTCACCATTCTTTGAATTCTATTTAATACAGCAATCCTTTTCACACCAATTGAGCATTCTGTTAATTTGTTCTCTTTATTAGACCTCATTTACAATGGGAACTGATTGTTTCTGAATATTGATCTCTGCATTTTTTTCTTTTAGCCTTCAGCATTACTCTTGTTACCCCTAGTTTTGCATATCATCTTATCTCTTACTTTACAAGAAATAGGATCATCACACATAACTCATTCAGCTTACATTTCTTTCCTTTTCCCTAATACCTAATCACTTATTAGATTTAAAGAAAAAAAGATAACTAATTTTTTAAGGATGAAAATAGCTAAAACTCGAGTCTTTATTGTGTGTTAGGTAATGTATTTAAAGAATTTCACATTGATGATTTCTTATAATATCATGACAGTTCTTTAAAATAGATACTGTCATTAGCTCTATATTGCAGATGAGGAAACTGATGCTTAGAGAGGTTAAATAACTTGCTCATAGTTACATAACTCCTAGTAACAGAATTGGGACTTCTATATAGTTTTATGTGACTCATGCTAATCTTACTTCTTAATTACTATGCTATATAGTTTGTCTTTGTCCTTGTTTCTTCCTTCTCCTGATTTTCTAGAATCTTGCTTCTTATCCCTTTTCCCTCTTTTTTTTTTTTTTTTTTTTTTTATTTTTTTGATATGGAGTCTCGCTCTATCTCCCAGGCTGGAGTGCAGTGGTGTGATCTCAGCTTACTGCAACCTCTGCCTCCTGGGTTCAAGCGATTCTTCTGCCTCAGCCTCCCAAGTAGCTAGGACTACAGGCACCTGCCACCATGCCCGGCTAATTTTTTGTATTTTTAGTAGAGACGGGGTTTCACCGTGTTAGCCAGGATGGTCTCGATCTCCTGACCTCATGATCCGCCCGCCTCTGCCTCCCAAAGTGCTGGGATTACAGGCGTGAGCCACCAAGCCCGGCCTTTCCTCCTTTTTTATAACTTTATTCTACCTATGTCTACTTAGCTTACAAATAAATTTGGGTCTCTTTTAGCCAGTAAAAAGTGCAAACAAAAGCCCAGCAACAATGTTTCTTTGACTTTTGCTCCCCTTGAGTTACCAACTCCCAGTTCTCTCCTTACTTCATCACCAGAGACTTTGTGAGAATAAACTGAATTAACTACCTCCTATTCCTCATCTGCCACCTGCTCACTTGTGAACCCAATAAAGCTTGATTGCTACTGGCACCATGGTCTGAAACCTCTTTTTCCAAGAGCATCACTGAACCAAGATACACCAAGATATTGGGTATAGATCGAATAACCTCTTTTTAGTCCTCATCTCGTCTGCTATTGAAATGCTTCACAGTTTCACCTCTCACCCTTATAGAAATTTCCACTTTGAATTGTCGATGCTAATCTTTCCTTGCTTTCTTTTGCCTCTTAGTTTTTTCTTCATGTTTGCTAAGTCCCCTGTGTTGTCTGCTTCTTAAATTTAGTGTTTTTCAGGATTCCATACTCAGTCCTTTCCTTACTCTCCAACTCTGGGTGGTCTTCTTAGGTGAACAAGTCTATTCTCATGGCTTCAGCTATTGCCTGAATCTCAAGCTGTACTCCACTCTTGCTTCCTGAGTTTTGCCTTGACCTCTGTTTGCAACCACCTATGTAATATAACTACTCAAAGTGTTCTGAGATTCATTAAGTAAAAGTTCAAATAATTTTTCCTTCAAACCTTTCTACTGTTTTTGCTTTCTGTGTCTCATCACCTATTTGGTTGCCCAAGCTTAAAGACAGTTAAATTAATCCCAATCTCTTTGTTTCTTGGATTCTCTATTAGTCTCATGTTCAACTAGCCGGTATACCTACCCTGCCTTCCCGCTGCTTTAAAAAAAGTCCCTATTGCCTTATGCCCTGATTCAGCCTTTGGACTCTTGTAGAAGGTTTCCAGCTGCTCACCCTGCATTCATTCTCACTTTCCCAAGTCTCCTCTCCATACCCATTTTCCATAATACTGTTTGAGTTAAAACAGACATGTCAGTTTGTAATCTAATTTTTTTCTTCAAGCTTTATTGATATAATTGAAAAATAAAAATGTATATATTTACAGTGTACATGATTTTTATATGTGTATACATTGTGAAATATGTAATACTACATTTTTTAAAATGCCCATTGCCCTTACACTTAATTTAGTCAGCAAATATTTACTGAGTACCTACTGTGTGCTAGGCACTATTCTACATGGAGATAGAGCAGTGAATAAAACAGACAAAAGCCTTTGCCATCATGGAGCCTTGTCTAGTCAGAGGAAGCGGATAAAATAAAATAAACTATGTGGTTATACAATGGTAAGAGTCATTTATAAAGTGGGGAAGGCAGATGGGGAATGTGAAGGTGGAGGAATGGGTTGTAATTTTAAATGGAATGATTAAGGAAAGCCATACTAAGAAGGTAACACTTTTACCAAAGATTTTGAAGGAGTTGAGACAAATGAGCTTTGAGCATGTCTTGGGGGAGAACATTCTAGGTTAAAGAATTAGAAGCCCTGAAGTACAGAATCCCTGAATCTGAAAATGTACCATATGTGTTCAAGAAATAGCAGGGAAGTAGCTTGGCTAGAGAAAAGTAAGCAGTGAGGACAGCAGTGGAGTAGAAGAATAGAGGACAGAAATAATGAGATGGGTGTGTAGTACCTTATAGACCAATGAGGTAGAGTAGAAGAGATACAGTCTAACTTGACTTGATTTTAGTTGATAGTAGACTGGAAAGGAATAAGGGTAGAAGCAGACCATTTAGGAAGATATTACAGTAATCCACGTGAAAGGTGATAGTAGCTTGGACGAGGGTTCTACCAGTGAAGATGATGAGTGGTTGGATCCAGATAAATTTTAAAGATGGAACCATTCATATTTCCTGGCATTTGGATATGAGGGTGTATGTGTGGGTATAGGGGTGTGTGTGTGTGTGTGTGTGTGTGTGGAAGTGTAAGAGAGAAGGGGCTGGGAGTTGATTAAGGATGATTCTAAGGTTTTCAGCCAGAGCAATACCAGATACACAGTTGGATATACTAGTGTGGAGTTAAGGGCAGAGGTCTAGTATATGTGTATGTATTTATATATAATCAGTGTATAGTTGTATTGAGTCATTAGACTGGATGAGATTATCAAGGGGGAGTGAGTTTAAAGAACAGAAGAGATCTGAGGACTAAGTCCAGGGATCTTCCAATTTTTAAGAGATCAAGGAGAATAGGAGGAAGCAGAAATGGAGAAAAGAAGAGTTGTCTGTAGGGTAGGATGAAAACCAAAAAAGTATAGTGTCCTATGAAGTGAAGAAGGTGCTTCAATGAAAGGAACGTGATTGACTTTTCCAAATGGTAGTGCCAAGTCAAATAGATGAGAAGGGTAACATGATGACTGAAAATTGGCTTTGGATTCAGCAACAAGGAGATTGTTCATCTGGAATAATTTTGGCATAGTGGTAGTGAAATTCTGTTGGAGAAAGTTTTAGAATAGGAGGAGAGAGGAACTGGAGAAAGCCAGCTTAAGGAGAGGAGGCAGAAATATGGTGGTGATTAGTGTGGTTAGAGATAGTTTTTTTTTTTTAAGATGGGAGAAATAATAGCAAGTTTATGTGCTGATTGTAATGTTTCCACACGGAATAATTAATGCAGAAAGACAAAAAAAATTCTGGAGCAATGACCTTGAGTACAGGACCATTTTTGTTTTTGCTTTAACATGTAGTGATGTTTGCCTTAGGAAGGAGCTGGGTTAGCTTATCTCTAGTTACAGAAGTAAAATAAGAGTATATGGAGATAGATGCTGGTAGGTTAGTGCTTGTAGTGATGCAAGCAAGGTCATCTGTTGAGGCTGAGGTTAGAGAAGGAGTGTTAGAGGTTGAAGAGGAGGAAAGAAGAAATTAAGTGGTCTGGAAAAGTGAATGGACCAGGAAAGTGTATAATTATTGCTGGACAAATTGATTTTGAGACAAGGTGTGGCTCTGTCACCCAGACTGGAGTGCATGGCATGATCTTGGCTTATTGCAACCTTTGCCTCCCAGGCTGAAGCCATTCTCCCACCTCCTTCTCCCAAGTAACTGGGACTACAGGTGCACACCACCACGCCTGGCTAATTTTTGTATTTTTTGTAGAGATGGGGTTTTGCCATGTTGCCCAGGCTGGTCTCAAACTCATGAACTCAAGCGATCTGCCTGCCTCAGCCTCCCAAAATGCTGGGATTACAGGCGTAAGCCACCACGCCTGGCTAACAAATTAAATTTTGATGATGACTTGAACATGACACCAGTCAGCATAATTAGAGGTTTCTTTGCAGCCATGTTGAGCTCTTTGGTCGTAGACATGGACTGGGCAGAAAGCTGAACTCAACCAGGGTTGTGGAAAAACCACAAGCTTTTTCTTAGATATTTTTGGCTTTGTGGGCTATCTAGTCTCTGTCACAATTACTCAGTTCTGTCACTGTAGTCCAAAAGCAGCCATAGACAATACTTAACTGAATAGGCATAGCTCTGTTCCATTAAAAGTTTATTTTTAAAAACAGGCAGCAGACTATTCCTGTTGTTTGTTAACTCTCGTGTTAGAGAGGATAATGATGGACCGTGGAATTTAAGCAGGCTAAGAAGGGAAGAGAGGAGAACATAAGTGCGTGAAGTGTAGAGAGAAGGTAGTAGGGTCAATGGCATGATGTTTCACTATTTCCTAATCTCTGCTCTACTCTTACATGACCTTATGTTTTGAATATAGTTTTCTCTCTCTGCGTGAAATGCTTCTTTTATACACAGTTTAGATGTCATCTCTTTTATACTTTTATTTCCTCTGCTGTGGCCACTGATAATATGGAAAATGCTCAGTAAATGCTGAAAATTGAAATTCTCCACTTCAGTTTGATAGGTAAGATTATTTCAAATTGGGAGATTGTGAAAGTTTGTTTATCCACAGTATTTCTCACTCAGTAGCCAAGCCTATGCTTGAACATGGTGATTCTCAACTTTGTTTTCTGCTTCAATTTACCTGATACTGGCCACATGAACAAGGTAAGGGCAGTGCCCTGCTCTTCCTTCCTACTTGGTGCTTAAGTTAGAATGCCTTTCTTTTTCTCCACTGGTGTTGTTGAGTTGGTGTCTTTATGCTGCAGAGCATGGATATTTAAGCATAGGACCTGTAATGAGCTTGTGAGTATGGTAACACGTTGCCTTATAGGTTATTTTTTAAATTTCAGTTAATTATAGAAGACAAGTGATTGTTCTATCAGTTATATACTATCAGGTAACTATAAGATCTTTTTGTGTGTGTGTAGGTTAGAGACATTTTGGACTGTTTAGTCTGACTTTTCATATTGTAGTTGAAGAAACTGAAGCCTAGAGATGCAAGTGACTTGCACACACCAACTAGCAGAGCTAGGGCTAGAAATCCATGTTTCTTAGTTTCAGATTCAGTACTCTCCCTGCCACCACGATACTTATCTTAATAGGATATGAGGACATTGATTATCAGCCTAGAAAATATTATATTTTATGACAGGTGATATCCTCTAAAATCATGGTAACCAAAATAATCGTTTAAATGTAATTGGGAATCTTAACAATATTGAAATGACTATTTTTTCCCCATTGAATTATTAGTAAAAAGGTGTGGTTGACTTGTTTTATTATTATGGTTATATTCTGAAGTAATTTTATATAATTAAAAGTGACACATTAATCTTTAAAAATCCGAATAAGTAAATATCTAGAGAATTTACTCTAATTTGAATATTTAAAGACCAGTTTCTAATCTGTTTTGTTTTTTGTTTTTTTAAATAAACTCTTTCAGAAAGATGAGGTCTATCTTAATCTGGTGCTGGACTATGTTCCGGAAACAGTATACAGAGTTGCCAGACACTATAGTCGAGCCAAACAGACGCTCCCTGTGATTTATGTCAAGGTATGTAAAAACATAACAATTTTCCATTTTAGAAAACATTTTTTATGAACCAAGGAGAGCCTCTTTTATGTTTTAACTATATTATTGTATTTAATACTCAGGGAGAAAAACTGTAAAGTAGGTATTGTTGGAACTTTGTTAAATCCTTTTACAGTTTTAAAATGTGAATTGTGCACCTTTTGAAGTTTTATAACTCAGATAGTAAAGATATTCTGGTAAATTACAGTGAATATTTTTCACAGACATTTATAGATTTTATTTCTGCTAGCCACAGTACATTTTAATTTAACTTCTGATATCTTTATTGTGCCACAAACCAAAATAGGAGCGTATCATATAAAATTGTAAAATATAGTTATAAATATGTTCAAATTCATTTGTTCACAGATGCCATTTATATATTTTTTAGCATCTGTAGCTGCAGCTTAAACTGTTGGCAATTTTAAATATGCATTGGGTGTTGTTTATTTTTTGGTATCTAATATCAATGCCATCTTGTTTATTTCCTAGAACTCATGGCAGAATGGCTAGGTATTTATCTAGCATAATTTGTATTAAAGTTGTGGTTAGTTATTAGTAACAAATTATTTTATTAACTATGGCATTGTGAAAACTAGTAGTTAAGTTTGAAAGTTCACATATCTAAATACAATTTTTAAATTTAACCCTTTATGGAAATAACTGTAGAAAATAAAATGTCATTGACTCTGAATGTCTTATGGTTAGAGTTTTTGAAGTCTTGTTAAAAATTTAAGCTTCACAATAATAAAAGGGTTATCAAAGTAGAACCATTAATAATAGAAGTTCTTTGGATGGATTTTGCATAAGCTAATAATAATAATAATAATAATAGAAGTTCTTCAAGCACTTTTGTTAGCTAGATTACTTTGGCAAGGAGTCATATATATATATAGTATATATAATATACACTATATATTGTATATATAATATATAAACTATATATACTATAGTGTATATTACATATTTATATATAAACTATACTATATGTAGTGTATATCATATATTTATATATAAAGTATATATATACTTTATGTATAGATAAGGATGTTCTTTTTTATTATTTTTCCCTCCTCCCTTCCTTCCTTCCTTCCTTCCTTCCTTCCTTCCTTCCTTCCTTCCTTCCCTCCTTCCTTCCTTCCTTCCCTCCTTCCCTACCTACCTACCTACCTACCTACCTAACCTACCTCCTTACCTACCTACCTCCTTCCTTCCTTCCTTCCTTCATTTCACTCTGTTGCCCAGGCTGGAGTGCAGTGGCACAATCTCGGCTCACTGCAACCTCCACCCTCTGGGTTCAAGCGATTCTCCTGCCTCAGCCTCCCAAGTAGCTGGGATTACAGGCACACGCGACCATGCCCAGCTAATTTTTGTGTTTTTAGTGGAGA
This sequence comes from Homo sapiens, assembly GCF_000001405.40. Taxonomy (NCBI): domain Eukaryota; kingdom Metazoa; phylum Chordata; class Mammalia; order Primates; family Hominidae; genus Homo; species Homo sapiens. The sequence goes on along the minus strand of NC_000003.12, from coordinate 119,921,966 downwards.
TGTGGTTTCATCATGTTGGCTGGGCTGGTCTTGAACTCCTGACCTCAATTGATCCACCAGCTGGGACTCCCCAAGTACTGAGATTACAGGCGCAAGCCACCACGCCTGGCCAGGATATTATTTTTTAAAATGTAATTAAATTACCATTGTCATACCTATGAAAATAAATGGTATTTCATTAGTGTCATTAGATACCCAGTTTATATTTGCCTATGACATAATTTTTTTAAGTTTATATTTTTGAATTGGCATTCAGTTAAGGTTTATATACTGTGATTGGCTGATGTGCCTCTAATGTTTCTTTTAATCCATAGGTTCTCTTTTTCTCTCTCTTGAACTTTGTTGCTAAAGAAACCGGATCATTTGACCTATACTTTCTTGGTCTGGATTTTGCTGAATTTCTGTAGTGTAATTAGTATGTTCTTTGGTCATCTATATTTCCTGCAAATTGGTGGTTAGATAACTGATAATTAAATATATTTTTGGTAGGAGTCAGGACCACTTCATTTGTAGTATTGAGTGCTTTCTGAAGGAAGAACATAATGTCTTTCTTTTCCTGACGTTAGTAGCCATTGATGATCACTGCCTAAATTCATTAATTCATTAAAGGTTACAAAATGTTGATAGTCTACTGTTATTATTCCTTCTTAATTTATAAGCTGGAATAGTTTCATAAAGAGAGATTTTCCCATATCAACTATTTGTGCCCTGAGATATAGTTTATATAAAAAGACAGGAAATGTATTTGATCCCTTTTCTTTATTTACGAAAATTTATAATAGTCTATTCCATAGCATCCTCCATAGGTACCAATGAATGAGGTGTTTTGTTGTTTTAAAGTATCTTATGTGAGTCTTAATAATATTTGACCGTTTCCTTGCTTTCTAACATGACAAAGTATTCCAAGTTCATCTTACACATTTCTTCCTCAGACTTAGAATCAACCTTTTCTTCAAGAAGACCTTGTTCTTTTAGTGGGAGGTGGTATTTAGAGACCACAGTCTGGATGCTAGAGGTGCTAATTGTCACGGGATTGGTTATTGTTTCTGGGTCTTTTTAGCGAACAGAGCTAGGAAATATGTGGGTAATTTTCTCAGATGTAATGCATCTTCTTTTTTTCCAAAAATAAATACACCATGAGTTCATACTGATACTTTCAAATAAAATCGATGAGTTTTTACTTAACTGTAATAATCTTATATTTGTATTTCCTTTCTCTTACATTGAAAATTTCATTTCTCAATGATAGTAGTATAATTAATAACTTATTCTACCCAGCACCCTACATAACCATCTTAGAATAACAATTCCAACACTAGGACCACCAGCTAAAAATAATTTAAGATCTAAGCACAGCTCAGTTTTACCCATTAGATCCCATTAGGGATGAACAATCAAATTTCTCTGTTCTAAAGAAACACTGAGGTCAGGCACATTGGCTCATGCCTGTAATCCAGCATTTTGGGAGGCTGATGTGTGCAGATCACCAGAGGTCGTCAGGAGTTCAAGACCAGCCTGGCCAACATGGCGAGACCCCACCTCTACTAAAAAATATAAAAATTGGCTGGGCATCCTGGAGCACACCTGTAATCCTAGCTACTCAGGAGGCTGAGGTAGGAGAATCACTTGTACCTGAGAAGCAGAGGTTGCAGTAAGCCAAGATCATGCCACTGCACTTCAGCCTGGGTGACAGAGCAAGACTTCATCTCAAAAAAATTGAATAATTCCTCTCTGTGTGATGATGTTCCATTAAGCATTTGTTTGTTTCAGTTTACTTTTATTATAGATTGTGGTTTTCTAAATTTTCAAATAAAATTTACTTTAAAATTCATATAAAATATTTATACATAGTTCAAAGCAAGATTGACAAAACAAGGTATGTTCAAAGAAGTTCAGCTTTTATCTCTGTTCCCTCTGCTCTGTTCCTTTCCTCTACCAGTGTTAAGTATTTTTTAAGTGTTCATAATTTATCCTACCATTTTTAAAATAAGCAAACATGCAGTTATTCTTACTCTTTTTATATAAATGGTTACATAAGGTACACATTTTTCTCTTTTTTTTCAGTTAAAAATATGTCCTAGAGATCAGTCCATATTTTCGTGTGTGTGTGTGTGTGTGTCACCTTCTTTATGGCTACCATATTACTTCATCATGTGGCTGTATTCTAGTTAATTCACCCAGTGACCAATAATGCACATATTGTTTTCCTCTTGTTTTTTGTTGTGGTTTTTTTGGTTTTTGCTATAGTGAACAACCCTGTGCACTTACGGTATTTTTGCCAGCAAATAGTTGAGCTAGATATCTGGCATCCTGTATTTTAAAAAAGAAAATAAAATTATTGTACATACTGAAGTTGGCATACAGAGAGAAATCTAGCACTCCTTTCTTTCTCCCCCTTGTGGGAAAAGGGATGATTTTTCTTTTTTTTTTTTTTCTTTTTTTTTTTTCTTATGTAACCACAGCGCTTTCAGAGGCCAGATCTATTGGCTCTGGGCATTATTCTTTGGGGACATCGATCCCTTTTATCTGAAAAGATAAAAACAGTGTCTGGAATTGATGAGTTATGAGTTGATCTCCTTCACGTAGTCATTCTACATAGTTTTATTGTAATCCTATTGTATGAAAAATGTTAGATTGTGAGAGCGATATAAAAGTAGTAAATGCAAGTAACTCTTGCCTTCATGAACCTCATCATCTGATAAGGACTTGTTTGGCATACATGTTACCAGAATGGCAACTGCATTTCTTTATAATTGCCTTTCACTTTTTCTGGGAGAGTTGAGTATTTTCTATGAGTAATACACAGGTTAAAAACTGAGCACCTTTGCTTTTCTGATGAGTATATTTCAGAACTTAAGTAGGTTTTAAAATGCAACTCTAAAACAGATGACTGGCAAATCATTGTTGTGAACTTAATTTTTTTTTAATTGAAAATACATGTTTAAGGACAGGGTCTGATCACACAAGAGAGTTGGATGCATTTTTTGAATCATGAACAAAATTGTTATTACTTGTTTTAACATGTATTCTATTGTTTTATTATTTTATTACTTCAGATATTATGGCACAGAGAAGAGGGCATTGGATTTGAGTTAAATATAACTAACTGTTCAAATTGTGCTCAACTGCAAAATACATTCCTTTCTGTGATATTTTGTCCTGTAACTGAAGCATAGTAATTGTTTTATGGAAATGTTAACAGTTTTGTACCAACTTTGAATAAAATGAAAAATAAAAAAAATTGTTTTCATTGAACCTCAATATCTTCTGTAAAAACAGGGATAATGTGTATCTCAGAGTGGTTGCAAGAATTAACTAAACAAATAGGCAAATAGGCAGAAATGCTTTTCTTGGTTTGGCACTTAGTATATGTTAAATCTGTTATATTTTAAAGTGTGTTAATTATATTTGAGTTTCTAAGAATTAATCATTCTAGTCTTTTATTTAGCCACCAAACTGCTTTTTTTTTGTTTTGTTTTGTTTTTGTTTTTTTGAGAGAGAGAGAATTCCGCTCTGTGGCCCAGGCTGGAGTGCAGTGGTGCATTCTGGGTTCACTGCAACCTCTATCTCCCGGGTCCAAGCAATTCTCCTGCCCCAGCCTTCCGAGCTGGGATTACAGGCGTGCACCACCAAGACCGGCTAATTTTTTGCATTTTAGTAGAGACGGGGTTTCACCATGTTGCCCCCAGGGTGGTCTCGAACTCCTGAGCTCAGGCAACCCGCCTGCCTTGGTCTCCCAAAGTGCTAGGGTTATAGGTGTGAGCCACCGCGCCCGGCCTCCACCAAGCTATTTAATGATTATATTTTACACCTTTATTTAATAAAATATGGCAAAATACATAAATAGTAATTGAAAGAGAAGCACTTACTCAAACCACTACAGAATATTGTGTGTGTGTGATATTGAGCAAGTTGCTTAATCTCTCTGGGCCTCAGTTATTTTATATTTAAAATGGTAATAATATTAGTACTTATTACATAAGGTTATTATAAGGAGTAAGTGAAATAATACACATAAAGCAGTTAGAACAGTGCCCAGCCCATGATAAGTTGTTTTTCTGTTCTTGTTTTTGCTATCATTCTAGTCTAGAAAGCCTCTCAGCTTTCTTATAAATACACTTTTACAAAGTGAAATAACAACAAATATATAATATTGCATATTTCATTCTTTATCTTGACTTTTCTAGATAAACTTTTCAAAACAATGAAGATAGAGTAGATCTTTCAGATGAAAGAATACAGTAAAAAGACATCTTAAAATTAACCTCATTTAAACGATTAAGCTTTTTTTTTTTAAAAAAAAAAAAGAAAACTCGTTTTCACTGATTCTTGCAGACCTAGACATCAATACCCTGACACAGTAAAATCTCTTTTTTTAGTAAATTTATGCCTATGAACTCAGTTTCTTATGGGAGGTTATCTTTTTAGTGGTAATGAATTAAACTCCTACAGTAAGCTTTAGGACTTAGAAATGGATTCTGTGAATGATGGTACAATAATAGAACTATGAAGTTTTTAAAAAATGTTACATGGATACCTAAATGCCTTAATTTTAACTTTGTTGGCAAAATGCTGACCTTATAAAAGATCTTATCTGTACAGTTTACATCTTGCTTCATTTTAAAGAAAACATAAACTTTTCCAGCTAATAGTTCACATTAACTTCAAGGATGTACTAAAATTCAGCTGTCTGCAGTTTTCACCATGCTTCTTAGAATGAAAGTAGGTTTCATGTTAACTTTAATTAACCTAAGCCTTAGCAGTAGCTTTTAAAGATGGTGCCATATGTCAATGCTTCATTAGACTTTTAAGTATCTTTTTTTTTAATTGTTTTTTTACCAAGATATTTATTATCTTTGGTTTGACTCATTTCAAAAATTCTGTCCATGGTGTAACTTTGGGGTAGAGGTCAGAAGGTAAACAGCCAGAAAAGTTTAAAAGTGAATCAGAACACTGACCTTGAGATAAACAGAAGGTTTAAATTATACTCTCTTCGTCCATGAAGTTTCTCTCTCCTCCAGTCAAGAGTCTGATTCTTTACTCCATGCAGACCCAGTTTCTCAGTGTATCTTTTTGGTAAGAAAACTGAGAAAGTCTTCTCTTTTGAAAGATGATGTCAATAGTCAGGCATCTGTTTTTGAATGTCATTTTGAATTATACTTTTTCTGAAGGATATTAACAGGAAGAATGGTGATGCTACTAACAGGGTTATTGATGTCTTGATAGAGCAGTGATTACAGATTTTCTCAGTCCACATGAGTTTTCCTAGACCACTGTATCAATCACCTTGGAGGCTGACATCTCAGAAGAATATTCTAAAGATCACACTTTGGAAATACGTTTACATTCAGCAGCATGCTCTACTAGAAAGAACTATAAACTTAAAAATCAGGAGACCTGGTTTCTGGCCCAAAGTTACTGATTATTCATGATTTGGGGTGCCTCTCTGAGCTTTTCATTTGTGTTTTAAATAAAAGCCCATCTTAGCAGGCTTGTAATGTGAGATGTTAGTAAAATTAAAAGTTATAAAGCACATTGTAAAATTTTCTTCTTTTGAGTTATTAAAGAATGAAGCGAATAGTACATATGGTTAATGACAGTTTAGCTAATTCATATAGAAATAGCTAATTAATACAGAAGTGACACAAAACTTGTGAAAGGAAGATTGAGTGCCAGTAATCCATAGCATTTCACCTGTTCTTTTCTGAGAATCTGTTACTTTATTGACTGCTTAAGGATTCTGATTTGTTTAGAATAGGAAGTATTTAATTAATTTCTACTATCTATTCCAGTTGTATATGTATCAGCTGTTCCGAAGTTTAGCCTATATCCATTCCTTTGGAATCTGCCATCGGGATATTAAACCGCAGAACCTCTTGTTGGATCCTGATACTGCTGTATTAAAACTCTGTGACTTTGGAAGGTAAGCTACTGTCCCTCTCCCTGCCCCTTCCCTTTTCCCCTCCTCCCCCTACTATCTTCTTTTAAATATATTCCTTTTGCAATATCAGCCTAAACACAGTAATTCTTATTCAAGAAGTATAAACTAGTGCAGCTGTGAGAGTAGTTTTGTTAGTTTCTGTCAAAATTATAAATGTATATACTCCTTCATTTAACAGTTTAACTTTTAGGAATTATTTCCTTAGGAATACATATTTACAATACAGTGTATATATAGGGATTTTTATTATAGCATTGTTTATAAGCATCCATTAGTAGGAAAATGGCTAAATAAATTACGGTACATGCAGAGTAATACATGCAACCATGAAAAAGAATGAGGCAACTCTCTGTGAACTGAAAGGGAATGATGTCTAGGAAACATTAAATGAAGAAAGCAAGATCAAGAGTATATGTATTGTATGCCACCTTTTATGTTTTAAAAACATACAGAATGTGACTATATATATATATATGTACACACACACATATATACACAAGTACATGTGTGGCTTATTTCTGAAATGGTACGTAATCCATAATATTTGATTGCCTGAGAAAGGATCTTTGGGAATATAATGTAGTTGGGAAACTCACTTTTTCATTGATTGTATTTTAGTATTGTTTGAATTTACATTAGGTATATATACTCCTTTTTCAGTAAGAACTAAATTTTTTCAAAATATTGATTATTATACATTCCTGTGTATCTTTTTAACTTCACAATTAACCTCAATTCAGGGATGAGATAAAAAACAATGCAGTGTTTTCTTCATTTTCCTCTATAATTTAACCTTTTATTCCACCCTTTTTCCTGCAAATTTCATCAAACTTTCTGCTTTTAAAAGCTCATTTCTTGGTAATATACTGTGAATTTGTAATACAACTTTATTCTTTCCATTTTCAGTTTTCAGTACTTTGTGCCTCTCTGATCTAACCTTTTAACATGTAGTCAAGCCTACATTCCCATGTAACTCAGGCAGTTACCCCGCTACTTCCTCACTGGTGTAATCACCTAATCTCTCTCCTCATGGTCCCTAAGACATCTTTACATAATTTGGATTCTCTCCAATTTAATTTTTTCACCCTTGTTACAGATTCTTTTCACCATAGCTCTATAGATAACATATTGCCCCACACTTGTTAATACCTGTGTTCCTATCCCTTTGTAATACTTTTACATCAATTCACAGTTTAAATTTGGGGTTTAACATAGGATATGTTTTCCACAGGCTTCTCTTGAGACAGATCCTTTAAAAAATAAGTAAATCTGTTCTGTCATGAGTTAATTTTTCTTAGTCTCACAATGTGTCCTCTTTCAGACTGTCCTCATTTTACTGTTTTCTAATTTCAGATGACCTATCACTTTGCAGGCCATGACTCTGTTCCCTGAACTATTTTTAAAAAGGGTGAAAGATAGTAAAACTCTTACCTGGTGTTTGAAACAAAGCACTACTACTTGTCTATAGGAAAAACTGCCCAAATCAGATATGTTTTATTGTTAATGGGGTGTCTTCACCATTGAGAGTGACTGACTTGGTAGGGACAGACTGAGACACCAAGGTTAGAAGAGCTTCTGTTCTCATATAGTGTCAAAACACTTGGTACAGCCCATTCTCTTGGGACATAAAATAGCTTTATTCTGATAAATTTGGAAGAGGGATTTCGCTTGTTTGATAGCTCATTTTTATAAACCCTCTGATTTTTTTGTTTTTAACAAAATTGGTTTGGTCAGATGGAGTTTGGGAAACACTTTGGACTGTACATTATCAGATTGGTAATTTGAACAAAATACTATTACTTTCTTCTTATTTTTTTACTAGATGAAAAGGGGCCAAAAAGTAGCTAAAGAACTAGTTGGGCTATTTAGGAACAAAAAGCTAGATGTGATCACAATATTGGGAAGTAGTTAAAACCAGTCTCCTCTGTAAGAGAGGCTGCTCCGTTTTTGTAGCTCCATCAGGTAGTGAAAAAACTTCAGGCTACAAAGCTTGGGTATTAACGTTTTGTCTCGTAATGAATTTTCTGAACATAATTAGCATCTATCTTGTTAATTAAAAAGCATCCTTTAGAAGATATAACAGTCTCCTATCAATTATGCTGAAAACTAAATGTCATAATTTTCATGCAGCCTAAAAACAGGGATTAGTATTTATTAATTTATGAAATGGTTATTGTATGTCAGTACTTGGGGAGAGGGTTAAAAAACAAACTTCAAAACTAGTGATGAAGGAAAAAGAAGTTAAGGTTAGAGTCATCATTGACTAGAAATAAATGGAAGAAAAGAAATCCCAGTCATTGAAATCCTTGTGACTACTTTCATCTGTCTTTACCCTGGTTTTCCAGTACCTTTACTTTTTTTTTTTGGCACTTACTGTTTTACTGTTTTGATTTTGTTGCATTTTGTCCCTTTATTTATCTTTATTATTAATGTATGTCAGAATGGCTGGCTTCTACAGCAGTTTATTTTATTCTGTCTTTGGATTATCTTGGGCGACATCTCAAAAGAAATTAATTGTAATTTATTATACTTCATATTTAAAATACATGCAATGAAGTATTTTAGTAGGAAAATTGGAATAAGAAAACATGCAATTATACTTACTATAGCAGAGTTAGAATTTATAGGCAGTGAATCATTTCTGCCCTGAAGTTGAAGGGCCTGTTTATAATTTATTGGGTAATAAATGTTTATGTGGTTAATAAATTGACCAAGATATGGAAAAATAGATTGAGTCTATAAGCCTTGAAATATTCGCCGTGAGTCAGAAGTCAAAATGCAAGACAGTGGCCAGTTTCTCACCCTTTTTAAAGAAATACATTGGGTGAGGAGTATTCATTCTTAGAATCCATTGTCATGCTTTTTGGTGGGGGAGGTACCTCTTTTCTGCCCTTGCTTCTTTGTATTTTAGAGGTGGAATTTGGGGAACAGAGGATCAGAAGAAATTCAACACTTATCCTTTTTTGCTTTTGGTGCCTTCTTAGGTGACAAACGCTTTCTTTAAAAATTGCTATTCTTTTTTGCAGAGCAAGGTGATAAAATTGTAAATTTCTTTTATTAGAGATAGTTACAGTTTACATTTTCTTTTTCATATATGATTCAAATGATGTGAATCTTATAAAATCATTTGATACTGTGAAAGGATAGCAGTCTAAGTTCTTTAAGGTTTAGATTTAAAGAATTTCTGCTTTTTATTTTTATTTTTTTTCTGTTAGTGCAAAGCAGCTGGTCCGAGGAGAACCCAATGTTTCGTATATCTGTTCTCGGTACTATAGGGCACCAGAGTTGATCTTTGGAGCCACTGATTATACCTCTAGTATAGGTAAGTACAAATCTGAATATAATGCTCATAATTATTAATTGCTTCTTGATTTTGGTAATTTAGTACTACTAATCTGTACTTTTATTTCCATGGAAAGATGGATATATCCCATAATGTTTTTTTTCTTAAAGCTTGAGATGCAAACATGTATAGGCATACCTCATTTTATTATACTTTCCAGGCACTGCTTTTTTTTTTTTAACCTCTCAAAGGTTTGTGTCAACCCTGAGTCAAGCAAGTCTGCCCACACTAGTTTTATAAGAGCATGTGCTCACTTCATGTCTTTGTGTCATCATGTCTTTGTGTCACATTTTGGTAATTATTGCAACATTTCAAACATTCTCATTGTATCTGCTATGGTGATCTATGATCAGTGGTCTTTGATGTTACTATTGTAATTGTTTTGGTTTGCCACAAACCACAACAATATAAGACAGCAAACTTAATCGATCGGTGTTGTGTATGTTATGAATATTCCACCAGCTGGCCATTCCCCATCTCTCTTCCTATCCTCAGGCCTCCCTATTCCCTGAGAGACAACAATATTGAAATTAGGCCAATTAATAACTCTGCAGTTGCCTCTAAGTGTTCAAGTGAAAGGTACATTTTTCACTTTTAATCAAAAGCTAGAAATGATTAAGCTGAGCAAGGAAGGCATATCGAAATTGTGCCACACAGTTAGCCAAGTTGTGACCAGAAAGGAAAAGTTCTTAAAGGAAATTAAAGTGCTACTCCAATGAACAGATGAATGATAAGAAAGTGAAACAGCCTTATTGCTGTTACAGGGAAAGTTTTAGTGGTTTGGATAGATCAAACCAACCACAACATTCACTTGAGCCAAAGCCTAACCCAGCAAGGCCTGAACTCCCTTCAATTCTGTGAAGACAGAGAGGTGAGGAAGCTACACAAGAAAAATCTGAAGGTAGCAGAGGTTATTTCATGAGGATTAAGGGTAAAAAGCTGCACCATGCCATAAAAGTGCAAGGCAAGCAGCAAGTGCTGATGTAGAAGCTGCAGCAAGTTATCCAGAAGATCTAACTAAGATCATCGATGAAGGTGGCTACATTAAACATCAGAGTTTTAATGGAGACCAAATAGCCTTCTACTGAATTGGAAGAAGATACCGTTTAGGACTTTCATCTCTAGATTTTCTAGAGATGGAAGACTTCTTCTAGAGAGGAGAAGTGTCATTGCCTGGCTTCAAAGCTTCTAAGGACAGGTTGACTCTCTTGTGAGGGCCTAATGTAGCTGGTGACTTTTAAGTGCAAGCCACTGCTCATTTACCATTCCAGAAATCCTAGGGCCCTTAAGAATGATGCTGAATGTATTCTGCCTGTGCTGCATAAATGGAGCAACAATGAGTGGATGATAGCACATCTGTTTATAGCATGGTTCACTGAATATTTGAAGCCCACTGCTGAGACCTACTACTCCAGAGAAGAGTATTTCTTTCAAAATATTACTGCTTATGGACAGTGCAACTGGTCACCCAAAGGTTGAGAAATACATTTGTAAGGCTATAGCTGCCCTAGATAGTGATTAGTCTGATGGATCTGGGCAAAGTCAATTTTAAATCTTCTGGAAAGGATTCACCATTCTAGGTGTCACTAAGAACATTTGTGACTCAATCACATGAACAACATTTTGGAAGAAGTTGATTCCAAGCCTCATGGGTGACCTTGAGGCATTCTAGACTTCAGTGAAGGAAGTCTCTGCAGATGTTGTGGAACTAGCAAGAGAACTAGAATTAGAAGTGGAGCCTGAAGATGTGACTGAACTGCTGCAATCTCATGATGAAACATAAACAAGTTGCTTCTTTTATGGATGAGCAAAGAAAGTGGTTTCTTGAGGTGGAATCTACTAGTGGTTAAGACGCTGTGAATATTGTTGAAATGACAACAAAGGATTTAGAATATTACATAATTGTAGTTGATAAAGCAGCAGCAGGGGTTGAGAGGACTGACTCCCATTTTGAAAGTGGTTCTAATGTGGGTAAAATGCTATCAAAGAGCATCTCCTACTAGAGAAAAATCTTTCATGAAGGGAAGAGTCAGTTGATGTGGCAAACTTCATTGTCACTTTAAGAAATTACTCCAGCCACATCGTATAGCCTTCAGCAACTGCCACCCTGATCAGTCAGCAGCCATCGACATCAAGGCAAGACCCTCTGCCAGCAAAAAGATTACAACTCACTGAAGGCTTAGATGATCATTAGCATTTTTTTTTAGTAATAAAGTGTGTTTAAGTTAATGTATTACATTTATGTTTTTATACAATTCTATTATACAAGTAATAGACTACAGTATAGAGTGAACATACCTTTTATATGCACTGGGATACCAGAAAATTGGTGAGACTTGCTTTATTGTGTCTTATTGTTATGGTCTGGAACCAGTTCTGCAACATCTCTGACGTATGCCTGTATAGAATTTTTCAAATTCTACTTTTTAGAATTTAAGGTATACCTACTATTCTATTTTTCTTCCTTGGACTGTTAGAATCATAAAGCTAATAGCTTTTACCTTAAGAATTTAAATTAATTCTAAGTAACTTTTTTTTACTTTCTTATTTAAAATCCTCCTGAAATACTTCTGAGCATGATTATACTAGTTGGATAATTTATTAATTAATGTTATTTCATTAAGTTAATAATGAAAGTGATAGTATGGCCATATTGCTAACATTTCCTTCATGCCATCTCCATTATTTAATATAAAATCAGCTTAAATCACTAGTAGTTTTGCTAGATGCACTGATTCTGCAGAAGTATGCACCCAAGATGTTTAGTCATAGAAGGAACTGAATAGAGACCATTAGCTTTAATCATCATTGACCTTCTCAAGTCTTCACCCCAGATGTTTAGTGATAGGAGGAACTGAATAGAGACCATTAGCTTTAATCATCATTGACCTTCTCAAGTCTTCACCCCAGATGTTTAGTGATAGGAGGAACTGAATAGAGACCATTAGCTTTAATCATCATTGACCTTCTCAAGTCTTCACCCAAGATGTTTAGTGATAGAAGGAACTGAATAGAGACCATTAGCTTTAATCATCATTGACCTTCTCAAGTCGTCACCCAAGATGTTTAGTGATAGAAGGAACTGAATAGAGACCATTAGCTTTAATCATTATTGACCTTCTCTTTTACTACATCTTAGCCCACTAGCCAGGAGTGAACAGAGAGAGCATGATCAGCTGGACATGAATAGGAAGCTAACAAACAAGGAGCAACTTTAAGCTGGATGTGCAAGTGGAAACCAAAATTATTTTACTCTTACATATTGTTTCTGAAGAGAATTCCTTTAGTCCAGAAACAAACAAAAGCATGCAAATAATAAACCAAAAACATCCCCACAGTAACAGAAAACCAAAACAAACAAAAAACAGACCTGGCCTGGTGCAGTGGCTCACACCTGTAATCCCAGCACTTTGGGAGGCTGAGGTGGGCAGATCACTTGAACTCAGGAGTTCGAGACCAGCCTGGGCAACATGGTGAAAACCTGTCACTACCAAAAATTAGCCGGGCGTGGTGACATGCCCCTGTAGTCCCCGCTACTTGGGAGGATGAGGTGGGAGGATGGCTTGAGGCCAGGAGGCAGAGGTTGCAGTGAGCTGAGACTCCACCACTGCACTCCAGCTCGGTGACAGAATGAGACCCCCCCTCTCAAAACAACAACAGCAACAACAAAAAATAGAACAGACCTTGTGACAGTTTTTTTGTCTTTTTGATATAAATAGAAATTCTCTGATACAAGCAAACACCCTAATCAGAAACACATTATCATTTTTTATTTTGCCAAATGGCAAAATGCCAAAGCACATTTTGATTTCTGCCAAGAGGCCAGCAGTTTTACCCACCATTTCCTTTGTACCCTCAGTACAAATGTTAACCCAGTGAAGGTGTATTCTTATGAAAAGAGTTTTGCCCTCTGGGACATCTAGAAATGTCTAGAGGACCCAGGTGCAAAGAGTACAAAGTGTCCTCTGTAGACCACACTTTGACATCTGCTTTACCAGAGGGTAGAGAGCATAATAATGTGTATATGTATGTGTATGTAATTCTCAGAGTCTTAGTATGGCTGTGGTACATGGCATATATGAATGGACAGATGAAAAATAGTACAAAGAATATTTTGCTTGTGGTCGACCTGGGTTTGAGTGTCAGGTCACTTGAAGTAAAGTGGAGATTACTGACAGTTCTTTTCTGAGTGGCTGTGAGGCTTAAATAAAATGTTAGTGAAAATACTGTAGAAATGAAAGGTGGTATTCTTTTGTGGCATTTTTAGACTTGACTCTCCCCAAGAGCAAATTTCAGCCCCTTGTCTTTGGGTATGTCATTGGATTTTCCAGCTGCTTTACATTTTATTCAAATATATGATACTGATTATCTGTATATAAGATACTGGTGTGAGCTGTGCCAGAAACACCTAAAATAAAGGCAGTTTGATTGTTCTCAAAAAGTTAACACATCATCTCACACATTAAGGAACAGTTATATAAACAGGAGTCTTTTGAACCCTAGCAAGCCTAGGTTTGGCTTCCCATTATAAACTTAGGATACTTGCCTCTTAAGACTGTAATGTTTTTAAACAGACCCTCCCAAAAAGTATACTAATATTGTTACATTTTTAAATGTTTTTAACAGTAATGTTTGAAATGAAAGAGTAACTGTTTCTGACAAGATTATTGTCATATTTAGATACAGCCAGAGGTAAAGCTGATGTCTCTGATTATATTATCTTACTGACAAATGGCAGAATGAGAACAAAAGGCTTCCTTAGAACAAGGAATTGAACTTACAGACAGACCCTTGAAGAAGCTGTTATTCTGTGACAGTGAGACAGTTATTCAAGAGAGTGGTGTTTTGATTGGGAATTGAGAATGATTCCAGGCCTAGCTCTACTATTCAGTACCTTTACCTTGGGCAAGTCGTTTAACTTTATCATGTCTTAATTTCCTTATCTATGAAATAAGTGTGTTAAACTAGATGGTCTTGAAAGATCACTTTAACATGAACCCGAGTTAAATATGAAACAAAATGCTATTCTGGCTTTAACCCCAACTAACTAAAATTCAGTGTGCCAAAGCACTATTTCTATTTTTCCGGTACCTTCTATTTAGTTGAAGTTTTATTCTATCTGGAGAATTTCATCCATTTGTCCTTTGAAGTAAGAGCAGAAGAGATTTTAGTGTCCTCCAGAAAGTGATTGATAAGTACCTTGTTTTTACTAACTTGACTGATGTAACATGAATTGAGGGCTGCTAGTATAGTTGTCACCTGAATCTTTTGAGTGTCAGTCTTCTGTGATAACTTCTAGGCAAGAGTATTCCTTGATGTTTTACTTTTTGTCTTCCATATTTGTAGCTAAATCTTACCTAAGAAAGTGTTTCCTATTGTTTTTTATGAAGGCATAATTATTCCCTTACAATTTTTTCAGCCTTGTATCTGAGATGAATCATTCCGTATTAGAGAGGAAAAAAGTTGAGTGCATATTACCTTCCATCTTATTAACTAGGTAAAGGGATGTTTTAAAACTTAGATTAAAATAAGCATTTACATAAATAAGGAGATACATCTTTTCCGCTTGACTATAACAGTTAGTATTACTATTGGCTTTGAGTAAAGATTCCCTAACAAGTTTTCATATGTGCTTAATTTAGCAATTTCCTAATATATTAAATAGGACTCTTGGTCTATATTTGCAGAATAGATGTCTTGGTTATTAAGTTAGGACTGGACAAAATCAACTCGAGTTTGTTAAATGATACTATGTCATTTTTCTAGGTCAATAAAAAGTAGTCACTGGAGCAACGATTTCCAGTCTCTCTTGATAGTACATCTCACCACATCAGACCTTTAAAATTTTTTGTTGTCAACCATTTACTGTTCCTTCTTCTCCTTCCGTACTGGTAGGTGGTAAAGTCCAGCAATGATTCATATTCGTCTCCCTAAAGCACTTGAGTGTTGGTACATTAAAAACCTAGGAATCTCAGAAATCTGGAAGCTAAAAAGCAGCCTTTTCTTGTAGGAAGTCTTAATAGCGGGCTTTAAAATAGAGTGACCGTACGGTTTATCTTCTAATCCGATAATACTTTTGAGAGAGAAAGAGGTGTTACTAATAATTATCCCAGGACAACATATAAACCATAACTATCCTGGGTAAACCAGGATGTATACTTTAAAGTATTTTTAAAGTGTATTAATTGAGTTAATTTTTAGAGTTTTCTCTCCGGATTGAGGTTTTCATTTTGACTTAAAAGTGGATTATTTTTATAATTTATGAAGTAAAATGTATTCCTCCATCATTGCTATTCCATTTTATTTAAAAATGATATATTTAAGCACATTTTTCTGTCAGTCATCGTAGAACATAAAAATCAACCATTTAAAGTCTTAAAAGTGTTCCTCAGAATTTGCACTGACTTAAAGCCCAGTGTCTGGGAGAGATTGAACCTTTCCTTGCTGCTCCTCTGTAAGTACCTACTAATATGCAGACGTTGTGTCACTTTGACTTATTTTTAAGTAAGATAAATAGATAGTCCTGCCATAGCTTTGGTACTGTAATCCTCTGTCTAGTTATTTGAAGACTTGAATACCTGAAATTTGATAATAATAGACTTTACCCTTTATTAGAATATTCTTATTGGTCTGGTTTCCTCTTTGGTAAGTTTAACATTTAATTAAAAAGTACATTAAGGAAGTTTGATGACTTTTTCTCTGTTTTGGATTGTATAATCTTTTCCTGTGATATTTACTCTGTGATCAAAGTAAAATTAGAAAACGTATACAAACACTTTTCAGCTCAAGCTATGAAGTATTAATAAGGCTTCGTTTTCTTTTCTCTTTAGATGTATGGTCTGCTGGCTGTGTGTTGGCTGAGCTGTTACTAGGACAACCAATATTTCCAGGGGATAGTGGTGTGGATCAGTTGGTAGAAATAATCAAGGTGAGAAGGTTGAATCAGAATATTTGAACTGGAAGGAATTTTTGTGCTACTTTAATAATATATATCACACATGTACACATACGAGAAACTTAAAAAATGGAGGAAGCAATCCAAGGTCACGTAGCAAGTTCAGCTATAAAGTGGGTATAAGAACGCCCCCCCAGCCTTTTGGTTTTTATTTGAGTTACTCTTCTCTTGTATGATCCTAGAAAAGCTATTATGTATATCTGATGCAAGAAAGGTATATATCTGTTATTTAAAGTACTTAAAAGCAAAATTAGACTATAAGCTCACTAAAATGTATGTAAGCTGAATAAAAGCAGAAGCTGTGTCTGCTTTTGCTCACTGTATACTCCCTGCTCCTAATACTCTGTGGAGCACATAGGAGATACTTGTATTTGGTCACTATTTATATTTATTCAGTATTTATAAAATGAAAGAATGAATGCCTACCTGTCTGGCTAGATCATTGATAGAAACAAAATTTTGACTTATGGATTTAATATAATTTTATTTATTGGGTCTATATGAATTTAATATAATTTTATTTATTTTAAATTTTATTTAAAGCTGAATAAAGATATGTCTGGTTTTGCTCAGACACAGCTTCTGCTTTCATTCAGCTTTGCATACATACACCTTTATTAACAAATATTTAAATATTATCTTAGAATATATGTTTTCTTTTAAGAACAGTAGAGCTGAGATTTTAATTGAGTTTTTAAATGTAATTTTTTTAAGTTTTAAATATTTGAGATCTTAAAGGAAGTCCCTTTACTTAAAAAAAAAAAAAAAACCTAGTGTCTAGATTTATATCACTAGATTGTTTCATTCTAAGGTTTCAGTTTGGACAAAGCAACAACACCTACTGTCTCTGGGGCTTTGTTTGTGATATCCCAAATTTTGCATAGAATTGTAAAATTGAAAAATCTCCTTAGAGGTCATGTTGTCCAATGTACAATAAAATAACCTTTTAGTTACATTCCTAACAAATGGTTTTCTAGTATTTTCTTGAACACTTCCAGCATCAGATTACTACTTAGGGATGCAGCTTATTCTGTATTGGACAGCTTGAATTTAGTTTTTATTGTACTGAGCTGTAACTCCTCAGTAGCTTCTACCAGTTGAACATAGGACTGTGATCAAGTTCTTTTCAAATCCTTGTACTTCATTCTATAAAAATAGGAATTTTAAAAATCAAAGGTGGTTTTGCTAGATGTCAGTGTGTGCAAGTATGGTTGAAAAGACTAGTGTGTAATAAGCGATCTTCTTTATTATCCATATAATTTCTTACAATTTGCAGCTTAGACCACTGTGGTATTTGCATCTTCTTTTTGGTACCATTTTTGAGTTTCCTATCTAATCTTTTACACTTGTTAACAGAACTATTTTCTTTTTCATTTCTGTGCTACACTTAGATGTAAATTTGAATAGTTTGCTTTCTTTATTTTCTAAAAGCCTACCCCATCATGTAAATTAATGCTTGAATACGGAGCTTGGCCAACTTTTTCTGTAAAGGACTAGATAAAATATTTTAGGCTTTGTGGGCCAAAAGGCAAAATCGAGGATATCATATAGGTACTTCAGTAACAAAAGAGAAAACACATTTTCACAAATTTTTTTATTGATGAAGTTAGAGGTATAATAATTGAGTCTTTTTTTTATTTTTATTTTTAAATACAGCTCTACTAACCAGAAGAATTGAGTTCTTTTTGGGGAAATATAACCTTTCTCTTAATTGATGTTCAAAGTTAGTACTTTCTAATCATCAAATTGATGGCAAATCTGTTAATTCTTAGCTTATGGGCTTCACACAGACAATGGGCTGTAGTTTCCTGGTCTCTGCTCTTACACAACCATTCAGCATTTCTCCTGTCCCTAGGCTTTTATTTGACGTACTTGAGCTCACCATCACCATGCTACAATTCTGTGGGCATATTAGCTATTCTATTTGTCATATATGTTTAGCTCATTACAATTGTATCATTTCTCTACTGATTATATTTTAGAATTTTGTGGCGATTTGTCATTAATTTTAATTCATACATAATGCAAGTAGAATTTCTGAGGAAGCTAAGTGAGCATCTGTGATAATTCCCTATCTCATGCTTGCCGTAATACCTTATAAATCTTTAAGTCTAGAGCTTGTTTGTACAACTTTTTGTTAGTCCTTGTAATTCATTTTCTGCTAATACTATTTTATGCTACCTGCTATTAATATATTTTGTTACTGATAATTTCAGACTTCATTTTCATTAAGTGCTTATTTTTTCCAAAATGGTCCGTGATCAATATGTAGTAGCAGGCCAACTCTGAAATAAAACACTCATCATTTATGTGCTATGCTGTCATCTTGCATTTATACTTAAGAAATGTACTTATCACCTTACTATAGTAAGTAAGTTCCAAAATCACTGCTTATAGAAAGTTTTGATAATGATATAAGATAAGAGAACTGTAAGTATTTCCAAGCATCCAGGGCATTTTGGGATATCTGGTTTCTAGGTGCCTTCTATGTTCTTGACCGTGGCTGCCCAGGATAGATGGAATTACCAGTAGTAGTTTACCATCCATTTATTGACTGGAAGTTACCACACATTGCACGGAGGCTCTAGGCTTTGTATTTTGTGCAAGTGTGTATATGTTTAGTATAGTTCTAAGTCTTATTGCATGAAGGTTAATAAACTTCATAAGAGTGTTGTGTGTGTGTGTTTAATGTAGCCCCAAATCTTACTGGTCCGGCCAGGGGCCGTAGTTCACGCCTGTAACCCCAGCACTTTGGGAGGCCGAGGTGGGTGGATTGCTTGAGCCCAGGAGTTTGAGACTAGCCTAGGGAACATGGCGAAACCCAGTCTCTACAAAAAATAGAAAAATTAGCCAGGCATAGTGGCACATGCCTGTAGCCCCAGCTACTTGGGAGCCTGAAGTGGGAGGGTAGCTTCAGCCCGGGAGACAAATGTTGCAGTAAGCCAAGATTATGCCCCTGTACTCCACCTGTGTGACAGAGCGAGACTGTGTCAACGAGTCCATCAATAAAATAATAAATAATAAATATCACAGCCAAGCGTGGTGGCTAACACCTGTAATCCCAACACTTTGGGAGGCCGAGGTGCGCAGATCACTTGAGGTCAAGAGTTCAAGACCAGCCTGACCAACATGGTGAAACCCTGTCTCTACTAAAAATATAAAAACTAGCCAGGTGCCATGGCGCACACCTGTAGTCCTGGGTACTCCAGAGGCTGAGGCAGGAGAATTGCTTGAACCTGGGAAGCAGATGTTGCAGTAAGCCAAGTACCACTGCACTCTAGCCTGGGCGGCAGAGTCAGACTCTGTCACAAATAAATAAATAAATAATAAATATCAAATCTTTTTCTTTCTCCTTCCTTCCTGCTTGCCTCCCTCCCTCCCTCCTTCCTATTATTGCTAACATCTGTTCTTCAAATGTTAAATATATATGAGGTTTCATTTGAATAAAAATTCCTAAGAAATGCTGATCTAGCTATTCTAGTTTTCCTGATTTAAGTTGGAAAAGAGAAGTTATATGTGTTTGTTTTCAAAGTTAAATGTTATTAAGACGTTCTGTATTTTAAACAAATACTTTCATGTACTGATAAACATGACTTTAAGAATAGATTTGAAATTTTCTTAAAGGTGGTCTCATAAATGCCCAGTTCAGTTCTCACGTTTTTTAAGGTAATAGTCATGCACCCTTAGTGCTTATGATAAGTAGGGAACTCGTATTAAACTGTTCTTTTCTGCTTTCTTTTCATTTTCTTTCTAGAAAACCTCATAAGAGAGTATCTGGGGGAAACTAACCCTGGAAAAATGGATAACTCTTCTCTGAATTTAAGTTTAAGCAAAAAAAAGAAAGTGGATAATCATATAATAAGCTTTATGAAGTTTTTTTATGTGGTAGACTTGCCTCATTATTTTATAAACTTTTGCCTCATTATTTTATAAACTTTCTGAGCAGGGACTTTTTTTTATTCTTATGTTTTAATATCTGAGGGCACCAAAATAATTTTCAATTAAGGTTTGTATTGAATTAACTTGTTAAACCATTGTCCATTCATGAATTTGAAATAAGCTGGGAATTAATAAGAAAAGTTAATGTGGTTGTTGTGTATGTTGTTTATTGACTCAGATGTCCATGCCAGTAATTTACAGCATGAGTAAAACAGTTTAATTAAACGAACTGTATCTCATTCTAGCTAACATTTTTAATTTTCCTCACTGCCCTCTAATAAGGTTTTTGTAAAATATTTAGAATAAAATCCAAATACATTATCTTTAGAATAAGTTAAAAGTATAAGAACAGATTTGAAAGTCATGGAAAATCATTTCTAAGCATGAAAAACACAAGTATTTAACTTTCTGAAGTTAATTTCATGCATAGAATTGTCAGATCAGCATTTCATTATGCCATTTGACCTCTACATATCAAAAATGCTTGGATTTTCACGGCATTTGTAAAAAGACAAATTCCATTAGGGGCTTCTCAGACAATGTGCTTTTTTTCCTTTAAATTCTTCCTTAATATAAAAACCTCAAGAAATATATGATATAGTTCCAGATACATGGGAAAAAATAAAATATTTTTGGAAAATCTCTACCAGGAATTTTGCCAAATGTAATGTTCACTGACATACAACATTGTCCTTTGGCACCTCTGCAGTTGGCCATAGCAGTGGAGCTTTGTAGAAGAGAGTCCTGTGCAGGCTTGTATAATGCTGGTGAAGGTGATAATTTTTAATGACAGTTACTTTTTTTATAACTACATAGTCTTAGATTTTATATGCTCAATGCAGAAGACTGAGAAAGCACAGACAAATAGACAAAAATCACTTACTGTTCTAGCACATCATGAAAAATACTTCTATAAATATTTTCATATACTATATTTTCTTTTTATTTAAATAAAAATACCATCTTACTGCTTTGTAGACTTTTAAAAACTGAACAATTAAGTATATTTTTTAATGACTACATAGATTCCACTGCATGATTGTATTTTGAATTACATAATTGATGCTGAAAATAACAGCATTAAGGTAAAGTGATACAGCATTGTGTTTCAAAAAGTTTACATGATGTATTGGTTTTCGTAAGTTTGATTATTAACTTTCTTACATAAATGACAGGTGTCCCCCAGAAATTCCATATAAGCAATCTAGGAAGTTTTGGACCTGGGAAAGCTGTAAGTTTTACTAATAATTTCTCCCCTCTACTCTTCAAACTTTAAAACATAAATTTCAAATAAGGTAAGATGAATTTCAGTCCAGAGTTTAATTTCTGGATTAAACTATCACAAAACTAACAATTTAAAAATAAACCAACCATTTGTAGAATTTTTTAATTTTAAATATTAAAATTCCTACAGAGATAGTTTCATTTATATCATAAACATTTACTTATGCTATAGTAATAATTTGACTATTGCTTTTGAATAGAAGAGTTTTAGGACAGAATTAGTCAATGCTACACCTCTTGATAATAGAATTTCAGTATAGCTTTCATAGTTTTTGTAACTGGCCTTTAGAATTTGGGTATATCTTCTCTAAAAAGCTTGACATTAAATATATTGATACTTAAATTATTTGCAATAATAAAATTATTTTATAAGGCAATTAAATTTTCTTAATTTCTTTTGTAATACAGCTTTACTAAACTACTGTTTAGTTTTCTCTTAACATTAATTAACCAACCTAGATATCTATGTAGATAGCTTTTACACAGGGAAGAGCTAGTAATTTCAGTTATCTGTAACTGAAATTTTATGTAAGAAATTTGAAAGTACAACACAGATGCAAATAAACTTTTGATTGTGCTATGGGAGCCAAGTAGATGGGCGGGCTTCATTTCTTATGATGCCTATCCGTAGAAAAAGATTTAGAAGGACCTACAAATTCTACAATGGAGAATAGAATTAAGGGAAGGGGAAAAGGAGAGAATTTTTATTTTTTGCTTTTTACTACTATGTGATGTTGATTTTTTCTAAGAAATCATATCTTTTTACAGTTGCAGGACTTATGAAAAAGTAGTTGCTTTCAATTTTTTGTTTTTGTTAGTAAACAAAAACAGTTCTACAGAAGTTGAGAGTTACATTTTTGTTACAAATGTTTGTCTAAATAATTGTTTTCCTAGGCTTTCAATTTGATGCTTGTTTGTGGTATAATTTAGACAAAAAGATCAGTGGATCCCTGGCTCCTCAGAGTTCTACGTTTTCCAATATTGGGAAATGACTGCTCATCATAAAAGCTGCCACTCAGTGAGACCTTACTTTGTGCCAGGCACTGGGTTAAGCACTTTACATTCATTACCACACTTAATTATTATATTAACCCTAAGAAGTAAGCATCACTACTACTACTATTACTGTTACTACAGTAGTCTCCTGATATCCACAGGTATCACTTTCTACTGTTTTAGTTACCCAGAGCCAACCACAGTTCAGAAACATTAAGTGGAAAATTTTAGTAATAAACAATTTATGAGTTTTAAATTGCATGCTGTTCTGAGTAGTATGCTGAAATCTCATGCTGTCCTGCTTCATTCCTCCTGGGACGTGAATCCTCCCTTTGTCCAGTATATCCATGCTGTATACACTACCTGCCCGTTAGTCATCGACATCATTTGCTCCTGACATCCAGCCATGGACATTATTATGGCTCACTGATCCAGGATCATTCCAAGCAGATGATCCTCCTCCTGGTGTACAGTCAGAAGATCATTAGTAGACTAAGGCTATGTCACAAGGCCTGTGTAATTCACCTCACTTCATCTTACCACATAGGCATTTTATCATCTCACATCATCACAACAAGAAGGATAAGTGTAGTACAAGAAAATATTTTGAGAGAGAGACTACATTCACAGAACTTTACAGTATATCATTTTAATTGTTGTTGCTTTTAATCTCTTACTGTGCCTAATTTATAAATTAAACTTTATCATAGGTATGTATGTATAGGAAAAACATAGTATATAGTTTGGTACTACGTATGTTTTCAGGCATCCACTGGGAGTCTTGGAACATATCCTCCACAGTTAAGGGGAAACTACTGTATTACCGTATATACAGGAAGAGTAGGGTGGTGGAAAAACCATCTGATTCATCTGTAGCTCAATTTATAGCCTCTATTCATGGAATTTTGTACCTTCGGGAAAAACTATATGATCCTTAATGTCAACTTGATACCCAGAACCCATTGAGTTGTGTTTATTACTTATTATATGTATATTGTAAAAATTTGTGTCTACCAGCAAATTAGTGATGCAACCCCTAAATCTTACAGTAGTGAAATCAATTTGAGGTATCTTTAGGTTTAATTCTGTTTCAACCATTGTAATGGTCAGTTCCTTTGCTTTGCTTTCAATTACACATGGTCCCCACAATTCCTTTGCTTTGCTTTCAGTTACAGACAGTCCCCGACTTAGGATGGCTTAATGATTTTTTGACTTTCCAATACTGGGAAAGCAGCACAGATTCAGTGGAAACTGTATTTTGAGTACCTGTACAACCATTCTGTTTTTCATTTTTAAGACAATATTTAATAGGTTACATGAGATGTTTGACACTTTATCATGAAATAGTCTTTGTGTTTGATTATTTTGCCCAACTGTAGGCTAATGTAATTGTGCTGAGCACATTTAAGGGTAGTCTAGGCTGAGCTGTGATTTCAGTAGATTGGACATATTGTTTGCATTTTCAGCTTAGGATATTTTCAGCTTACTATGTATGGGTTTGCCATGATATGACCCCATTTTAAATCAAGGAGCTTCTGTACAGTTCAACCTTATTTTCACCATCTTCATTTAGCAAATATTTTGGATTTTAATTATCCCTGTCCTGTCCTATAGTTTGTTCAGTGCCCATGTGTACCTACACTCTTGTTTCCTGACTTAACATTTTCATTGTCAGACAATCTTTCTTTTTCTTTTTCTTTTTTTTTTTTTTTTTTGAGACAGAGTCTTGCTCTGTCACCCAGGCTGGAAGTTCAGTGGCGCTGTCTTGACTGACTGATTGTGTTAGTTGGTACTTAATTTGTTCTTGTATTATCAGTTAAATTTTTTCATTTATTGCTGATCAGAGCAGCAGCTCTTAATAGTTTTTAAATCATGGACTACTTTGAAAATCTATTAGTAATAGTGGACACTTCCCCCCAGAAAAATGAATAAATACCAAACAGTTTGTATGCAACTTTAGGTGATTCTTGGCCTTCCCGTAGCTCTCCCAAGAACTCCAGGGTAAACATCTTTCCCCTATTATAGTACAAGGAAATAAGACTACAGTTAATAATAACCACCTGTAGAAAGTGGGTATTACACATACGATATGATGCCAACATTTTTAAAATAAGAAAAACGGAGGCATTAAAAGAATTATTCTAATGCAATAACTGCTCAACATTAGTATAATGTTTTCCATAGACCAAAAGAAACATTAATTTTAACTAATATTATGAAATTGTATTTGGTCTACAGTAACTTACCCATACTTAGTTAAATCCCTGTATACTTAAAAGTATGTGTGCCTAGGCATGGAAAAATAACTCCTGGCGATGTAGCTCAGTTTGTCTTTTGACTTGCAGATAATGGCATCCATTTGAAATCGTTACTTTTCCCAGAATATGCAGTGTAGTTATTTACTAATTTGCCAGTGATGTTTTATTTATACAAAGAAACTTTTTTCCAGACAAACTGAAGTTTCATGACATTGTCACTTCAAAACTAATTTATTTATAGTTGTATTTTAGGACCTGAGTCAAAGGACCATCCATATGATTACTTTTCCTGGGATATAATACCCTGTAGTCATCAACTGCAGATTCTTGTGCAGGGTTGCCTTTTGAGTTATTTTGTGTGTTGACCTAATTTCAGGGCCTCAATTTAATACATTTTCTTTGGAGAAATCTATAAAGTATATGAAGGGGCAGGTGAGAGATGGGACAGGGACAGAAATCTGTCAGGTTGATAGCATGCATATGCTAGACCCCTGACTTCAGGATCTATGTTTTACTAAGGAATTCTTGCTTCCTTTTTTGCAATAAAAGGTTAAAATGTTTGACACCAATGATTCTTAATAGTTGGCTAGTAGGAAAAGTATAAGAAACTAGCAATCTTGTAGAAAGGGGCATTTCTAGTTTTTAAAAGTATACTGAATGCTATTTCATATTTATAAAGCAATATTTTATTGTTTATTTGATGTATAAGATATTAAGACAGTATGAAGGAAATCTTGGCTTGTGATGCTACAAAGAACTATAGTGTTAGTGATTCTCGAAGGAAAGTAAAACTGGTTGATGTGTATACAGATTTTTACATGTATTTTTTTTTAATCCAAGAGATTCATATACCCCCCTTTCTATTTTATACTGCTTCCTTGAGAATACCACTTTAGCTGAAATTCACCTAGAAAAAAAGGTCTTTTGACTCCTATGAATATGTATCAACCAAAAATGAATTTTTCACTTTATGTTCAATAGTTTACGTAATCAAAACTTTTTGGCGGGGAGGAAGATGATTTGTTTCCAAGTATAAATTTTTATTTAGTAAGAAAAGAATGAAGTCCAAAACAGTCTTGAAAAAGAATAAAGTTGGAGGAGCCACTTTTTTTTTTTTTTTTTTGAGACAGAGTCTCGCTCTGTCACCCAGGCTGGAGTGCAGTGGTACAATCATGGCTTACTGTAGCCTGCACCTTCTTGGCTCAAGCTGTCCTCCCACCTTAGCCTCCTGAGTATCTGGGACTACAGGCACACACCACCATGCCTGGCAAATTTTTGTATTCTTTGTTATAGATAGGTTTTCACCATGTTGCCCAGGCTGATCTCAAACTCCTGGGCTCAAGAAGTGATCCACCTACCTTGGCCTCCCGAAGTGCTGGGATTACAGGCATGATCCACCACGCCCAGCCACACTTCTTGTTTTCAAAACTTACTACACAACTGCAGTAATCAAGACAATGTATTACTGGCGTGAATGTAGCCATACAGATCAATTAAGTAGAATGGAGAGTCTAGAAATAAACCTTTATATTTATTGTCAATTGATTTTTGACAAGGATTCCAAGATAATTCAATGGGGAAACAATAGTCTTTTTGACAAATGGTGCTTGGACAACTGGATCCATATGCAAAAGAATGAAGTTGGACCCCCACCTCACACCATATACAAAAATTATATAGCTTGTGGAGAAAAGGGAATCCTTGTACACTGTTGTTAGGAATGTAAATTAGTACAACCATTATGGAAAACTATATGGAGGTTCCTCAAAAACTGAAAATAAAATTACAGTATGATCCAGCAGTTCCACTTCTAGGTAATCTATCCTGAAGACTTGAAGTCAGTATGTCAAAGAGATATCTGTACTCTCAAGTTCTGTTCATAAAAGCCAAGATATGGAAACAACGTAAGTACCTATCAGTGGATGAACGGAAGGAAAAATATGGTATATATATATCCACTACAGTGGAATACTACTTAGCCTTAAGAAAGAAGGAAATTCTGTCGTTTGTGACAACATGGGTGAACCTGGAGGACATTATGCTAAGTAGAGTAAGTCAGGCATAGAAAGAGAAATATTGCATGGTCTTACTAATATGTGGATTCTGAAACGATTGAATTCCAGAAGGAGAGAGAAGAATAGTGTTTACCAGAAGGTGGAGAGGATGGGAAATGTTGGTCAAAGGGTACAAAATTATAGTTAGACAGGAGGAACAAATGATAAGTATTTAATGTAATCGGTATGTTAATTAGTCTGATTCTGTTATTCCACATTGTATACCCATAATATCACTGTTTACCTCAAAACTATATACACTTATAATTCGTCAATTAATTAAAAACAAATGAATTCAGAATGAATCAAAGACCTAAATGTTAGAGCCAAAACGATAAAACTCTTAGAAGGAAACAGATATAAATCTTTGTGAACTTCAATTAGTCAATATTTTCATACATGTAACACAAAAAGCACACATTATAAAAGAAAATAGAAGTAAATTGGACTTTGTCAAATTTAAAAACTTGTGCTTTAGAAGACAGCATCAAGAAACTTAAAAGACAATTGGAGAAAATTTTTACAAATTATGTCTGGTAAGGGATTTGTATCTACAGTATGTAAGGAATTCTTACAACTCAATAATAAAAAGAAAGCCCACTTGAAAAATGGACAAAGAATCGGCATAGACACTTCTCTAAAGAAGATACACAAATGGCCAGTAAGCATACAAAAAGATGCTCAACATCATTATTCATCAAGGAAATGCAAGTCAGTACCATAATGAATACTATTATCACACTCTCCATAATGACTAAAATAAAAAGACAGTAACTAATGTTGGTGAGGATATGGGGAAACTGGAACCTTCATGCATTGCTGGTGTGGTTGTAAAATGATGCAAACCTTGAACAAGTTTGGCACTTCCTCAAACTATTAAACATTGAGTTATATGACCCAGCAATTCAGCTTGTAGGTATATATCCTAATAACTGAAAACTTACATCCACACAAAACATGTACGCAAAGTTTATAGCAATGTTATATAGCCAAAAAAGGAACAAATAAAATTTCTAGCAACTGATGAATAGATAAGAAAATGTCACACACGAAAGGCCACATATTATATAATTCCATTCTATTTATATTAAATGTCCAGAAGAGACAGATTGTGGAGACAAAAAGATTAGTGGTTCTGGGGAGCTGGGGGAAATGAGAATGATGGCTCATGGATACAGGCTTTCATTTTGAGGTAATGAACATGTTCTAAAATTAGACAGCAGTGATGATTGCACACCTCTGTAAATGTAGTAAAAATCACTCAGTTGTATAAGGGGTGGGTTTCATGATACATGAAGTACAGTAAAGCTTTTTTTTTTTTTTAAGGCAAAAGTGAGCACATCTATCTGTAAAAGAATGTCTTTGTCATTTCCACTGCATCTTAAGGAAGGCAATAAACCCTGACTATAGTTTTGCAAAGGACTCTAAAGGGTTTCTCAGAGTTGTACCATCCACCCCGATTGCCCCCTAAAAGGGAAGGAGAGCTGATCAACTTGAGTTAAATGACAGGCAAGAAAGAGTGAATGAAATAGAGTATAGGCACACGGGGGGACCCTCCTTTAGTAGTTCATTCTGTCTAGTTTAAATAAATACTTTACCCAAATTGTTTACTTGTGCTCAAATAATGTGACAGCTTGCTGCTCTGAAAAATGATGAAAATCACTGAAGTTCTTAATGGGGCTTTAAGACTCATATTGCTGCAGCTATACCTTTTTGCTCTTTGCCTTTTGGAAATTAGAAGGAAACCCTGAGAGAGAAATATTGCACCCCAAGAAAATGGTTGCTTATACCAACTTGTAATCATATAGTATAGGGGAGAGGTATAAACTGGGTAAAATCTGCATTATTGAGCTTATTACTTTAGCTACCTACAACTAGTAGATTTAAAAAGTAAAACCTGCTGGGTGCGGTGGTTCATGCAGTAAATCCTAGCACTTTGGGAGGCTGAGATGGGTGGATCACTTGAGGCCAGGAGCTCAAGACCAACAGGAGGAAGCTTCATCTCTATTAAAAATATAAAAATTAGCTGGGTGTGGTGGAGCACACCTGTAATCCCAGCTACTCAGGAGGCTGAGGCACAAGAATCACTTGAACCTGGGAGGTAGAGGTTGCAGTGAGCCAAGATTGCACCACCGCACACCAACCAGGCTGACAGAGCAAGACTCTGTCTCAAAAAATAAATAGTAAAATCTGTAAATTGTAGGAAAATGCCAGAGGAGATGACATTTCATATCAGTCCTCTATAAGTGAAAATGATAGTGATTCTATTGTCATTAGACTGATATTTTGAAACAGAATACATGTTTTCTATTTAGAAAAATTTGTCCTTTTGAGGATATAGCAGCCAATCTAACACAACCCAACACTCCAAATTCCATATGCAGAAAATAAATGAAGATGTTTAGGTATTCAACCATTTATACAATGATTATGTTGTGTTATATAATTTCATTTTTAAAACCTTTATTGAATTCATTATCTATAAGCCTAGCCATACATCCCTTTAGTCTTTCAAGGTGCATACCACATTAACTACATGCGTTAATTTAGTGAACAGTTTTTACTAGGTGCTGGGCAAGAACTTAGAGGTTTCTTGCCTTCAGGGGCTTCAGAGACTGATGGATGGGAGGAGAGGAACTGAGGGCAATAGGGCAAGCCCAGTATTATTCCAGATGTCTGAGCAGAATACAAAGGCAGAAGCATTTCACTCAGAGTAGTGCTGTCTGGAAAGCCTTCTTAGGAGAGCTAACCATTGAGCTGAATATTGAAACATGAAAAAGTATTTACCAGA
This sequence comes from Homo sapiens, assembly GCF_000001405.40. Taxonomy (NCBI): domain Eukaryota; kingdom Metazoa; phylum Chordata; class Mammalia; order Primates; family Hominidae; genus Homo; species Homo sapiens. Next base: position 119,892,405 of record NC_000003.12, on the reverse strand, counting down.
TAGGGAGCGGAAGGGAGTGGATAAATATTTAGTAAAACTAGGTTTGGTGTGTTTCTTTATGGTTGTCGCTTAAGGTTCTGCCTGGTGGGGTTGATAGAATATGAGTTTACCAGGAAGGAGAAGACTGGAGCTGTTGACAGTGGCCAGATCACATTAGCTTGTAAGCAGTTGGAAGCAATTGCAGGATTTTAAGCGGAGTAGCGACATTTCTAATAGGTTTTCTTTTACTTCGCTCTTAAAGGCTACACATGCACCTCTATTGCTGAAGTTTGGCGACCTCTGGTGTTGAACTATAAAATAAACAACGTTGTGGAAGAAATACTAGCGTTTCAGAGCTTGTCAGTTGCTTTTTGTGAGGTGCTTCTTGGGCCGTAGTACTTCTTTGAAGACAGTAATTATCAACTCATAATTCCTGTGTTGATATTTTTCAGTGTTTGGATAAATTTCTAACTAGGTAGGGCCAGGAACAGATAAATTGATTGATTTAATAGTAAGGGGATGAACAACATCCCCAAAGGGGTGGGGCAGGCTGATCTTGATGCTTTTTGCAACAAATGAAAAGATCATGAGTTCTAGTAATAGATAACTGAGAATATGTTCCCTTCCCATTGGTGTGATAATTTTTAAAATTCCCCCCTCTTTTGTATGAAATACACTTACAGAAGAGTGCATAAAGCATTTCCATCTAGTTTAATTTCCTTTAAGTCAAAAAAGGACTCAGTTTTCAGGAAATCCAGGAATAAGTATTAATTACTCAAAATATATGTCTTTAGTCTAAACGTTTTGGAGGAAAAAAAATTTCCATCTCTTAAAATTCAAGTGAACCCTAAGACTTGTTTTGTGTATGAAATGATAATTTGTCAAACATCTTTTTTATCTATAAAATTATTCAATTATTCTGTTTCAAAAGTTCCAAATGTAGAATTCAGCTGGAGTAAATCAGGTAGAAATATACTCTGAACCTAATAAAAACTTAATATAAAACCTAAAGATATACTCAGAGGTTGAAATAGGATAGTTGTTAAAATGTCTTATGTTTGTGGTGTTAAAGATAGTCATGCGTTCTGAATCTTTGCTCTTCATATCTATCACTTGCTTACCTTTTAGCCTTTAATTATATCATCCATCTATAATCCAGTCCTTATTCTCTTTTAGAATGCTGTTTTTCACCTACACATCTAGTGTGCATAGAATGTACTTTTTACTCATTTGCCTGCTACATTCCTTAAGTAAAATCAGCTCTTGACTCCCCTTCCAGAACCTTTCCTGAATCCCTTCCTCTTTCCAGTGCAGTGTAGCACTTTCACCTCACACATTACCTATACTTACTTTGCTATACTATTGTCACCTGATTGTTGTTGATTTACGTACAAGTCTCTCTGCCCTAGAGCTTCTTGAGGAATAGGCTCTAAGTAAACGTTTTGAAATGTGAATAACTTCAGAGGCTGAAAAGTTTTTTAAATGCCTCTTGATTATGTCTCATCTTTGCTTTCTTAAAAAATATGCATATTGTATATAAAATAGTTCTGATTTTAGGGTTTGACAGATTCTGATACTTTTAATGCTAGCCTTATAAATAGCAATTTAAGAAGGTTAAACTTCTGTTTGCATTTAGTAAAGGCAACACAAATTACATAATGGTCCCTTTTTTTTTTTTTTTTACTTTTTAAATCAAGTTAATAGAAATATAATTTATATGTAATAAAATATAGGCATTTTAAATGACAGTTTAGTAAATTCCAACAAACATGCCCATATAACCACTACCCTGGTCAAGATTTAGAACATTTCTATCACCCTAAAAATGTTTCTTTTTATAGCCTGGAATGACCAAATGTCTCAGTTTGCCTGGACTGAGGGGTTTGCCAAGATGGTCCCAGGCAAACTGGGATGGTTGGTCACCCTGTTCATTCTCCTTTGTGGTCAGTTTCCCATCTTCTGTCTCAGGTGATCATTGATCTATTTTCTGTCACTACAGATGCCTATTCTAGAATTTCATAAACGAAATCATATATTTCTTTTGTATCTGGCTTTTTTTGCTCAGTACCATGTTTTTGAGATTCGTCAGTGTTGCTGCCTGTATCACCTGTTTATTCCTTTTTATGCTAAGTTGTATTCTGTTTTATGAGTATACCACAATTTCTTTATCCATTCACCTATGAATGGACATTTGACTTGTTTTGGGGTTTTGGTTATTATGAGTAAAGCTCCTATGAATGTTTGTTTACAGGTGTTTTTGCAGACATATGTTTATATTTCTCTTGAATAAAAAAGTAGGGCTGAAATTGCTGATCATATGGTAAGTGTATGGTTACCAAACTATTTTCCAAAGCAGTTTTACTATTTTACACTCCCACCAACAACACATCAGAATTCCAGTGCTTCACATTCTCATCAACACATGGTATTCTCAATAATTTTAGATTTAGTCTTAAAATGACTTTTATCATTAGGAAATGCCCCTCTTTATTTTTGTTTAATTTTCTTATCCTGAAGTCTTCATTTTCTAATATTAATATAGGCACTCTATCTTTCTTATGATTTTGCATGGTATAACTTCTTGCATTCTTTTACTTTTACTCTATGTGTTTTAATTTAAAGTGCATTTCTTACAGACATATAGTTAGGTGTTTTTTAATTGAGTTTGACAATTTCTGCCTTTGTAATTGAAGTACTTAGACTATTTACATTCAGTGTAATTATCACTGTGGTTGAGTTTAAGTTTTGCACCTTCGTATTTGTTTTCCTTTCATCCCATCTTTCCTTTGCTCTGTTTTTCCCCCTCTTTTACTGCCACCTATGGATTAAATCAGTGGTTTTTATTTTTTCTATTGGCTTTTAAGCTATACCTCCTTGTTGCATTTTTAGAGGTTGGTCTAGGATTTAAAATATGCATCAATATATTACAGTCAGTCTTCAAGTAGTAATGTACCATGTCATATAGAAAACAAGAACCGTGTGACAGTATTTCCATTCCCCTTCCTGTTCTTTGTGCTATAGTTTTCATACTTTTTAATTCTACATGTTATAATCCTTACAATATTTGTTGTTTATAGGGGGAACCCGCCCCTAATATTTCAACATAGGTTTTTTCTATTTTCCATGAGTGTCGGCTGGCTGAGAAATAAAGAGAAAGAGTACAAAGAGAGGAATTTTACAGCTCGGCCTCCGGGGGTGACATCACATATCAGTAGAACCGTGATGCCCACCTGAGCTGCAAAACCAGCAAGTTTTATTAAGGATTTCAAAAGGGGAGGGGATGCAAGAACAGGGAGTAGGTCCCAAGATCACATGTTTCATAGGGCAAAAGGCAGAACAAAGATCACATGCTTGTGAGGAAACAGGACAAAGGACAAAAGGCAGAACTTTTGATAAGGGTCTATGTTCTGCAGTGCACGTATTGTCTTGATAAACATCTTAACAGAAAGCAGGGTTTGAGAGCAGAGAACTGGTCTGACCTCAAATTTACCAGGGCGGGATTTTTCCCCACCCTGCTAAGCCTGAGGGTACTGCAGGAGACCAGGGCGGATTTCAGTCCTTATCTCTATGGCATAAGACAGACACTCCCAGAGCAGCCGTTTATAGACCTCCCCCAAGGAATGCATTTCTTTCCCAGAGTATTAATCCTTGCTAGGAAAAGAATTTAGTGATATCTTCCCTATTTGCACATCCATTTATAGGCTCTCTGCAAGAAGAAAAATATGGCTCTATTTTGCCCAACCCTGCAGGCAGTCAGACCTTATGGTTGTCTTCCCTAGTTCCCTGAAAATTGCTGTTATTCTGTTCTTTTTCAAGGTGCACCGATTTCATATTGTTCAAACACACGTGCTTTACAGTCAATTTGTACAGTTAACACAATAGTGGGCCTGAGGTGACGTACATCCTCAGCTTATGAAGATAACAGGATTAAGAGATTAAAGTAAAAAAAAGACAGGCATAAGAAATTACAGAACTGTTAATTTGGGGAACTGATAAATGTCCATATTAAAATGAAATCTTCACAATTTATGTTCAGAGATTGAAGTAAAGACAGGCTTAAGAAATTATAAGAGTATTATTTGGGAACTGATAAATGTCCATATTAAAATGAAATCTTCACAATTTATGTTCCTCTGCCGTGGCTCCAGCTGGTCCCTGTGTTCAGGGTCCCTGACTTCCCGCAACAGTTGTTACTTTGCTTTAAACAATTTCTTCAAGAGGAATTTTTTAATGAGGGGGAAATATCATACATTTAACCACATATTTACCATTTTTGGTGCTCTCTATTCCTTTGTGTAGATCAGAATGCCCATTTCAGAAGTCTTTCTTTAATCCTGAACTACTTTTTTGTGGTGAAGATCTGCTGGTGACAAACTTGGTTAGCTTTTGTTTGCCTAAAAATGTATTTTGAAGGATATTTTCACTTGATGCAGAAATTGGTTTCCCTTGGTTTCCAGGGTTTATTTTTCCTTCAGTTTTTGGAGAGATCTCTATTTTCTTCTGGCTTTCATTGTTTCTGTTAAGAAGTCAACTGTTGATACCCTGTATATACCCTGTCTATAATGTGTTTCTGGCATTCTTGAAGATTTTCACTTTGTGAGTGGCTTTTATCAGTTGATTATGAGTTTTTATAGTATTCTTTGTATTTGTCCTCATTAAGGTTCATTGAACTTCTTGTGTTTGTGGGATAATCATGGTTTTTATAAAATTTGGGTAAGTTTTGGTAATGTTTCTTCAAATAGTTTTTCTGCATCTGCCCTACTTCCCACCCCATACTTCCCACCATCAGACTCAAGTCACATGTGTACATGTTTTTTCCCTCCATGCTTCAGCTTTGATAGTTTCTATTGCTATTTTTTTAATTCAGTGATTGAGTTTCTTCCCTGTGTCTAACCTGTTAATCCTCTCCTGTGAAGTTTTAATTTCACATACTGTATTTTTTAACTGTACAATTTCCATTTGGTTCTTTTTTATATCTTCTATTTCTCTCCTTGTTATAATAGCTATTTTAAAGTCCTTATGTGCCAATTCTGTCTTCTCTGTCATTTCTGGATCTGTGTCTGTTGACTGACTTTTGATTTTTTCTCTTCTTATATTTTCCTACTTCTTTAAAAATGTTGAATTTTGTTTGTCAGCCAGTTTCTTAGTTGTTTACACCTGGAGGGCAGTTTCAGTGTTCGTTATTTCATCACAGCTAGATGCAGAAGTCTATAATGGCCTTTTAAAAAAATAATAATACCATGCAAGCCTTTGCATGGCATTCTATTAAGTATATTTCACAAAGCATTTTAAAATAAGTTTTAGATTTTTTATACTCAATTTTATCTTGTTTAGCCAGTTAGATGACTGTTTCTTCATAGTATTCTTCTGTTGCTAAAGACCTCTGTTATTAACAGTTTAAAATATTTTTTTCCAACTTTTATTTTAGATTCAGGGGTACATGTGCAAGTTTGTTACCTGGGTGTATTGGGTGATGCTGAGGTTTGAGGTATGAATGATCTTTTCACCCAGGTACTGAGCATAGTACCCAGTGGTTAGTTTTGCAGCCTTCTTTCCTGCTCTGGTTGTCCTCAGTTTGTATTATTGCCGTCTTTATGTCCATGATTACCCAGTGTTTAGCTCCCACTTATAAGTGAGAACATGCAGTATTTGCTTTTCTATTCTTGCAGTAATTTGCTTAAGATAATGGCTTCCAGCAGCATCTATGTTGTTGCAAAGGACGTAATTTTTTTTATGGCTGCATGGTATTCTATGGTGTATATGTACCACATTTTCTTTATCTAGTCCACTGTTGATGGGCATCTAGGTTGATTCCATGTCTTTGTTATTGTGAAGAATGCTGTGGTGAACATGCAAATGGTTGTATCTTTTTGGTAGAACAATTTTTCTTTTGGATATATACCCAGTAATGGCATTGCTGGGTCAAGCAAGTTATTTGAGAAATCTCTAAACTGCTTTCTACAGTGGCTGGACTAATTTACATTCCCACCAATAGCATATAAGTGTTCCCTTTTCTCTGCAGCCTCACCAGCATCTGTTGTTTTTTTACTTTTTAATTAGCCATTGTGACTGATGTGAGATGATATCTCATTGTGGTTTTGACTTGCATTTCTCTGATGATTAGTGATGTGAAGCATTTTTTTCATGTTTGTTGGCCACTTACATCTCTTCTTTAGAGAAGTTTCTGTTCACGTGTTCTGCCCATTTTTTAATGGGGTTATTTGTTTTTTGCTTGTTGATTTGTTTTAAATTTCTTATAGATTCTGGATATGAGACCTCTGTCAGTTGTGTAGTTTGTGTCTGTTTTCTCCAATTCTGTAAGTTGTCTGTTTATTCTGCTGATAGTTGTTTTTGCTATGCAGAAACTCTTTAATTAGTTCTCACCAATTTTTATTTTTATTGCAGTTGCTTTTGAGGACTTAGTCATAGATTATTTCTCAAGGCCAATGGCCAGAATAGTGTTTCCTAGGTTTTCTTGTAGAATTTTTATAGTTTGAGGTCTTATATTTAAATCTTTAGTCCATCTTGAGTCACTTTTTGTATATGGTGAAAGATAGGGGTCCAGTTTCATTCTTTAGCATGTGGTTAGCCAGTTATCCCAGCACCATTTATTGAATAGGGAATCCTTTCCCCATTGCTTATTTTTGTCGACTGTGACGAAGATCAGATGGCTGTGTGTGGCTTTATTTCTGGGTTCTCTGTTCTGTTCCATTGGTCTATGAATCTGTTTTTGTGCCAATATGATGCTGTTTTGATTAATGTAGCCTTATAGTACAGTTTGACGTCAGGTAATGTGATGCCTCTGGCTTTGTCCTTTTTGCTTAGGATTGCTTTGGCTATATGGGCTCTTTTTTGGTTCCATATGAATTTTAGAGTAGTTTCTTCTAGTTCTGTGGAAAATGACATTGGTAGTTCGATAGGAATAGCATGAAAAATGACATTGGTAGTTTGATAGGAATAGCATTGAATCTGTAGAATGCTTTGGGCAGTATGGCCGTTTTAACAGTACTGATTCTTCCAATCCATGAGCATGGAATGCTTTTCCATTTGTGTCATCTGTGATTTCTCTTAGCAGTGTTTTGTAGTTCTCCCTGTAGAGATCTTTCACCTTCTCAGTTAGAGGTATTCCTAGGTATTTTATTTTATTTTATTTTATTTTATTTTATTTTATTTTATTTGTGGCTATTGTAAATAGGATTGTGTTGTTGATTGGGCTCTCAGCTTGAACATTATTGGTGTATAGAAATGCTACTTATTCATTTGTTGATTTTTTATCCTGAAACTACTGAAGGCATTTATCAGTTCCAGGAACCTTTTGGCAGGAACCTTTGTCTTTAGGGCTTTCTAGGTATAGAATCATATCATCTGCAAAGAAAATAGTTTAACTACTTATTTTTCTATTTGGATGCCATTTATTTTTTTCTCCTGCCTGATTGCTCTGGCTAGCACTTCTGGTACTATGTTGAATAGGAGTGGTGAGTGGGCATCCTTGTCTTGTTCCACTTCTCAAGGAGAATGCTTCCAGTTTTTGCCCATTCGGTATAATGTTGATGTTCATTTTATTAAGTTGAATTACCATGATAGGGGTAGATTTTATTTAAATCAGGGTTTTTTTTAAGTTGCCAAAAAGTCTATTTAACTTTTGAAACTTGTTTATAACCTCGTGATCTTACAAAACCTTTATATATTTTATACAACTCAAAAGGATTCATGTTTCTTTTTTATGGTATAATCACTGTAGTTTAAGAAAATGACTTTTTAAATGTTATTTTGTAAAAACTCTTCCTTGTTTTCTGCCCTTAACATTGGATAGACCATTTTAGGGAGTCAGTGACACATGCATTTGTATCCCTATCTACCACTGACAAATTGTAACCTTGAGACTTCTGTCAGCCTTAGGTTTTTCACATGTAAAAGAGGATAATATTGTATCTGTAAAATTCAAATGAGAAAAGAAAATTGATGTGTCTAGCACACTGCTCTTACATGCTATGTGCTTAATAAATATTTGTTCTTTGTTCTCTCCTCTCTCTCTCACTGGCAGTACTTTGAAAGGAAAACTTAATTCCACTAAACTCATGTCAGGTGATTATGGTCGGCTTGCTCTTCCCGTGACCTCAGCAAGATCAGAAAGGAAACCTTAGTGGCCACCTGCAGTGAACACCTTTTGGGCTGTATTTTTTGCCTGGGTTCATTGTGTCATAAGATACTTCTCTGTCGTTTAAGTGTTCGCCTTCCTTTGCCCCCATGGTGTCACTGTCTTATGGGACCTCACCCAACTCCTTGTACTTCTAACTCAGCCTTCTGTTTCAATTTCTCTTTTTTCTGTATATTTGTATGCCCATCTTTAGCACTCTTCTTTGTCTGCTTTGCCTGTTATACACTGTCACAGCCACCTAGCACTTATACCGCAGGTACTACCAAAGCAGTTCTTTTAGCCTCAAGCTCTCTTCTAAGTAATATATCTAATGTTCACCACTTGGTGGAGATCTCCTTCTGGTTCTTCCTGAATGTCTGGTCTCAAATATTATTTTCTCTTCTGATCTACTCCTTCATGCCTAATACCATCAAGATTTTTCACAACTACTGAAATTGTTTACCTTCCAGCCACATTCAATAACCAGATTCTTTGATGCCACCTCCTAAAATTTGTTTACCACTGATAAGATTTAAATTACTTTCTAGCTCTGTTTCTAGTTATGACCTCTGAAAAGGTACTCCTTCTGGGTCTGTTTTTCTCATGTTTAAAAATGTTTGTACTAGATCAAGGGTCAACACAGTAGGGTCCAGGGGCCAAACACAGTCTTCTACCCATTTTTGTAAATAAACTTTTGTTTGTGGTTGTTTTCATGTTGCAGAGTTGAGTAGTGACAGAGACTTTGTGTCCCACAAGCCTTAAATATTTACTGTCTGGCCCTTTCCAGAAAACATTTGCTGACCCCTGAACTAGAAAATCTCTCATCTAGTTTCCTCTTTTTTTTAATAATTTTTTTGGGGACCATTCATGATCACGTCTAAGGATAGTAGGCATTTTTAAATTGCTCCCTAATGTTTTGTTTTAATTGGTTTATCATTAGAAGTCACCAACAGAAATAAGTGCTTTTTTTCCTATATTGTGAGGACCTTGTCATAATAAAATATTCTTCAGTGTTTCAAATTTGAGAGCTTTTTGAATTTTTAGTATTTTTTAATATGTTGTAAATCCCACTGTCAGCCACCCTAAGGAGAACCTGGTGTTAAGATTTAAAATACAGTAAGAAAAAGACTAGAAAAATGATAGTAGTTGAATTAAACGTGGAACATACTGTAATGTTAGGATCTCTGTTTCCCATGTAATAGCCTTCGTGATTCAGTCATGTGATGGTAAATGGATGAATAGGATTTTCTTTGCCATTTTGTGCTGACAGACCTTTTTTTAGTTAATTGCTTTTTAAAATAATTTATAGTGAATACACCAACAATTCTATTTACAGGTTGGTAGTTAAAGCCTCTTAACAGTCACTGATAACTATATTTTGAAGGTAAAGAATATAGCTAGTTAAAACTCTGACCACTGATTGTAAATATAATAAAGAAACCTTTTTTTAACCAGTGGGGAACCCAGGTGAAATAAATGCAAATCAACAGCAAAACTGATGGTAAAAGTGTATTAATCTTTATAAAGGAATGAGTTGCAGAAGAAAAAAAATACTTTTTAAATATCATCACTATTCATCAAAGCAGATTATTTCCCATTGTGGTAAAGATTTTCTACGTGCATTTTCTGGTATATATTAAAGGAGGATTCAAGGTATGTAAAAAACATACTTACATAAAAAGTTGTAAATATCAAACCTTAATTATATGCATGCTGATGTGTACTGATACCTGCAACTTATTTTGAAATGCATCAAAAAATAGGTGGATTGATGTGTGGATAGAGGGTTGTGTATGTGATGAACCAAATATAGTAAAATGTTAGTTGGAGAATATGGATAGTGGATATAGTGGGTTGGTGTTCACTGTAAAACTTTCACAACTTTTTTGTTTGAAATTTTCCTTAACATAATATTAGGTAAAATGTTTAGATCTAAGTGGCTGTGAGACAGTGAATTTAGGGAGAAGGATGTGAGAGTGAGTACACACACATGGTATACCTTAAATAAATTATTAAAAGTTTATATGTTAAGCATACCGTGTATATAAGCATATGTTTCTCAACTGTTTTATTGTGTATTTCACAGATTTGCTTCTATTAGGAATATTCTTAGGTTATAAGTAAAAAAAAAAAACAAGAATTGTAAAACTTTCATTTCAGGGAACATCCTGACTTTTACATTATACATTGTAACTGTATTAGTCCGTTTTCACACTGCTGATAAAGATATACCCCAGACTGCATAATTTAATAAGGAAAGAGGTTTAATTGACTTACAGTTCCACATGCCTGGGAAGGCCTCACAATCATGGCAGAAGGCAAGGAGGAGCAAAGTCATATATTACATGGATGGCGGCAGTCAAGAGACGAGAGCTTGTCTTGTGCAGGGAAACTCCCCTTTATAAAACCATCAGATCTTGTGAGACTTATTCACTATAATGAGAACAGCATGGGACAAACTACTGCCGTGATTCAGTTATCTCCCACTGGGTCCCTCCCATGACATGAGGGAAATAGGGGAGCTACAATTCAAAATGAGATTTGGGTGGGGGCATAGCCAAACCATATCAGTAACTCTTGAATTATCCCCCATAACCTCTATGAAAGTTAGCCGAATGCTTAAGAAGAGAAGTCCATGTGATTTCTGTTCACACAGTAAATGGATACATTTACTAATGGACATCACAAGAGTTAGTACTGTGTCTTATGTTAGCAAAGTACTGAATATGTAGAGGATGGCTGTACAACAAATACTGATTCAAGAGTGGGCATTTCTGAAGTGTCATTTTGGTTATTTCGAAATATATCAAAATGAAAAAGTATATGCAAATATATTGTTTTAAGTACAATAGTAAATATTCATGTAACTACAACTCATATTAAGAATTAGAGCTAGAAGAATTACTTTTGCCCCATCCCAGTCACAGCCCCCTTTTCCACATCCTCTTTGTTAAACTGGATAATCTGTACTTGATTTTAATGATGAATATACTTATGTTTTTTATTTATTTTTACACAGTTTTACTATGTAAACTATAGTGTTGTCTGATTTTGAACTTTAAGGCAGTCATGTTGTGTGCATTCATTGTTGAGTAAAAGCTCACCACTGTGTGAGATTCATCCATAAAGGTATGTGTAGCTCTGGTTTAGTCATCTTCATTGCTAGTTAGTATGCTATTGTATGACTATGCCACAATTTATTTGTTAATTCTACTGTTGGATTTTTGCTTTTATCGGCAGTATTTTATTATTATGAACAATGTTGCTTTAGAGGTATAAGAATTTCTCTGTTAGGGTATATAGCTTGAAATAGAAATCAGTAAGTTGTAGGGTCACTGAAGGTATACACTTATAAACACTCATTTATTCATGTCATTGCCGCTGTTGTTTGTTTTCAGCTCTCAAAAGAATCCAATAGAGTTGCATGTGACGGAATTGTTGATAAGCTTATTAGTACTACTCCCTCATTCTTCACTCCTCACCCTCTCACCAGGTACATGTATACACATACACATGCACATATCCCCAGAACAATGTTAGAAATAGGGGTTAGAATAAGTGTTAATAATTTAGATTATTTTTACAGTCACCTTTTTATTTTCTTTCCAATAACATTAGGAGTTTGCTCAGAAATTACCTTATACACAGTTAAAGGTCGGTTTATTTTTAACTAGATTCCTTTTTGATTTATATCAGTGAATAATTCTGTAGCTCAGAATATCCTTCCATCTATCTTACCCAAACTTTATGTATTCTAATAGTTAAATAATTTCTGAAAGTTTTTATTACAGGGGTAATTGGCATACAAGAAACTACACATAGGGACCACATCAAGATAAAAAGCTTCTGCACAGCAAAGGAAACAGTTAACAGACTGAAGAGACAATTCACAAAATGGGAGAAAATATTTGACAAGAGCTTAATAACCAGAATATATAAGAAGCTCCAACAACTTTATAGGAAAAATATCTAATAATCTGATTTTGAAATGGACAAAAGATCTGAATAGACATTATTCAAAAGGATACATACAGATGGCAAACAGGTATATGAGAGGTGCTCAACATCATTGATCATCAGAGAAATGCAAATCAAAACTACAATGAGATATCATCTCACCCCAGATAAAATGGCTTTTATCTAAATGACAGGCAGTATCAAATGCTGACAAGGATGTGGAGAAAACAGAATCCTTGTTATGTTGCTGGTGGCGATGTAAGTTAGTACTGCTTCCATGGAGAACAGTTTGGAGGCTCCTAAAAAAACTAAAAATAGAGCTGCCTACCATCTAGCAATCACACTGCTAGGTATATACCCAAAAGAAAGGAAATCAGTATATTGAACAGGTATCTGCACTCCTATGTTTATTGCAGCACTCTTCACAATAGCCAAGATTTGGAAGCAACCTAAGTGTTCATCAGCATGGACACTTCATGAATGGATAAAGAAAATGTGATATATATACTCATAAAGAATGAGATCCTGTTATATGCAACAACATAGATGGCACCGGAAGTCGTTGTGTTAAGCCAGACACAGACAAACTTCGCATATTCTCAGTTATTTGTGAGAGCTAAAAATTAAAACAATTGAACTCATGGAGATAGGGAGTAGAATGATGGTTAGCAGAGGCTGGGAAGGGCAGTTGCTGGGGAAGTAGGGATGGTTAATGGGTACAAAACAATAGAAAGAATGAATAATATCTAGTATTTCATAGCACAACAGGGTGACTATACTCAATAATAATTTAATTAAATATCGAAAAATACCTAAAAGAGTATAATTGGATTGTTTATAAAACAAAAGATAGGCTGTGCGCAATGGCTCACACCTGTAATCCCAACACTTTGGGAGGCTGAAGTGGGTAAATCACGAGGTCAGGAGATCAAGACCATCCTGGCTACCACTGTGAAACCCCATCTCTACTAAAAAATAGAAAAAATTAGCCAGGCGTGGTGGTGGGCACCTGTAGTCCCAGCTACTCGGGAGGCTGAGGCAGGAGAATGGTGTGAGCCCAGGAGCCGGAGCTTGCAGTGAGCTGAGATCACGCCACTGCACTCCAGCCTGGGCAACAGTGTGAGACTCCGTCTCTAAATAAATAAATATAAATAAACAAAGGACAAATGCTTGAGGTGATGGATACCACATTTACCCTGATGTGATTATTACACATTGTATGCCTATATCAGAGTGTCTCATATATTCCACAGATACATACACCTACTATGTAGCCACAAAAATAAATATTTTTTAAAACTGCACATATTTAAAGTATTCAACTTGATAAGTTTTTCCATACGCTTACACCCGTGAAACCAAGATAATGAACATTCATAATCCCAGTAGTTTCCTAGTGTCCCTTTGTAATCTTGCTTCTCAAAACTATAGATCTTCTGTCACTATAGATAGAAAATTTACTAGAATTCCATATGAATGTGATTATACTTTAGGTACTCTTTTTGGTCTGGCTTCTCTCACTCAGCTTAATTATTTTTAGATTCATCCATGTTGTTCTTTTTAAATTACTGAGTAATGTTTTACTGTATGGCTATGTACCATTTATTTACTTGATGATGCCATTTTGGTTTGTTTCTACTGTTTAGCAGTTAAAAAAAATATGCTATGCATATTTGTATACAAGTCTTTGTATGAACATGTGCATTCATTTCTCTTGGGTATGTACCTAGGAGTGAGAATGATGGGTTGTATGATATGTATATGTTTAACTTTTAAGAAACTTCCAAACTGTTTTCCAAGGTGCTATATACCATTTCACATTTCCACCATCAATGGTGAGAGCTTCAGTTGCTGTACATCCTTGCCAAGATTTGTTATACATAGTCTTTAATTTTAGCCTTCTTATTGGGTATATGGTGGTATCTTGTTTTAATTAGCATTTCCCTAATGATTAATGATGCCAAGCATCTTTTCTTGTGCTTATTTGCCATCTCTCTGTCATCCTTGGTGAAGTGTCTGTACATATCTTTTACTGATTTGTATTGGTTTGTCTTATTTTTGAATTATAAGAGTTCTTTATATATTGTAAATACAAGCCCTTTGCAGAATATATTTTGCAAATATATTCTGCAAAGTTCGTGACTAGCCTTTTCATTTTCTTAAGAGTGTCTTTTAAAGAACAAACTTTTTAAAATTTGAATGAAGTTCTGAAAGTTTTAGCAGTGTCTAGAGAATTAGAACCAACAACAAAAACATAACAAATTCTCACTTTGCCCTGAATGGTTACAGAATTATGCCTGATTATTCACTGGTTGCCACCACAAATCTAGTACTTACCATTACATTCTTCTACTTCTGTGCAGTTATTCTTGAACTGTAACTGGTTTAATATTTTATTTCAATAAATTTGATTTATACACGGTCTTATAAAGATGAGTAATATGTGGTATTTCTCTTCAAAGTCCTCAATTTTTAGCATTTAATGTTTCTTCCTGTCATCCATCTTGTACAGCCAGGTCCATGTACTTTCTTTTGTTCAGTACCTAGTATAGCTCTAGAGACAATGAAGTGCTCAATACATTTTTGTTGTGTACTGTAATTATACTTTTTTGACATACAAATATGTAAGTTTATGGTAGCAGGAAATCTCTTGTTCTTTGTATCCTCCAAAGGTCCTAACATAGTTCCTTGTATACAAGGGACACTATTCAACGACTGAATGAATTGTTGACGGTTTTAAAATAAACTTTGCCTGATATATCGATAATACAATTGGCCCTCCATATCTACAGGTTCCGCATCTGCAGAATCAACCGACTGCAGATCAAAAATATTCAGAAAATAACAATTTAAAAATACATTAATGAAGAATAATATACAACTTAAAAACAATACAACTATTTATATAGCATTTATGTTAAGTATTATAATAACCTAAAGATGATTTAAAGTATAGGAGGATGTAAGGTTATATGCAACTATTATGCCATTTTATATAAGGGACTCGAACATCTCTTGATTTTGGTATCCTCGGGGGCTCCTGAAACAATCTGAATACCAAGGGACAGCTGTATAATCTTTGGCTATACTGAACTAAGTGAAGAAAAAATACTCTCAGATGTGATTATTGCAATAGATAGTTTTTCTAGATAAAGATATCTGATTTTTACTTGAATATTTTTGAGTATGGTAATCTTTTTTATGACCCAAATTTAACATTATTGTTATCATAGAAGTCTGTCTATGGTAATACAGCATGGAATCTGTAGTCAGCTACAGATAAAAGGCTTTCACAAAGTTTGTTTGCCTTTGTCTGTTTTGTGCTACTATAACAGAATACCAAAGACTGGATAATATATAAACAATAGAAATTTACTTGGTTCACTGTTCTAGAGACTGGAAAGTCCAATGTCAAAGGGCCCACATCTGGTGATGGCCTTCGTGCTGTATCATCTCATATTGGAAGGCAGAAAGTCAAGACAAGGCAAGAGTGAGAGGGAGCCAAACTTACATTTCTAACCAGCCTGCTCTTGAAATAACAATCCTGCTTCCACTTTAATGACATGAGTCCATTCACAAGGGCAGAGCCATTACCTAATTACCATTTAAACATCCCACCTCTCAACACTGTTGAATTGGGTATTAAGTTTCCAACACATGAGCTTTGGGGGACATATTCAAATCATGGCACTGCTCTATTTAATGAGTTACGTATTTTATTTAACTTGGGAATTCCTTTTTTCAGTGAATCCAATGCCTGAAAACATGGAGACTAAATTTGTAAATATATAGGAAAAGATGGCAATAACTTGCTTTCTTTCTAGGTCCTGGGAACTCCAACAAGGGAGCAAATCAGAGAAATGAACCCAAACTACACAGAATTTAAATTCCCTCAAATTAAGGCACATCCTTGGACTAAGGTGAGTTAGATTTTTTTTTAAGTATATTAATCAGTAGTTAACTAAAACAGGTTTCTCATTGTTCTTAAACTATTTTGAGATCAGATAGTTGCATGAATACAAGCAGTTCTGCATGTAAAGATAGTTGTATAGATGTACTTGAGTGTTTCATTGACTTTATATAGTTTCATCCTCATTGATTTCCTGTAGATAGTTTCTAGCCTGGTTTTTTATTTGCAAGGTAAGGGCAGTGTACTTATATCATTAAAGTACAGAATTTGATTTAGGAGTAGGATCTTATATAAAATTTTGACAACCTAAAATTCAGAAGTTTATTTACATAGAGGTGTATAGTTTAATATCATATAGCATATCATACATTTCAAACATTTTCTTTATTCTTTTAAACTGTTAAAACATATATCTTATTATAGATGGCATTTTGTGTTTTTCCTCTCTTGTTTACTTTCCTACTGGCATTTTGGAAACAAGATTAGAAAGCAAATGTAATCTTGCTGGGAGTATACATTAAAAACAATTGATATGTTAACTGGATGTCACTAGCCTTTGGAAAAACCCAACCTTAACATTAGATAGAACCAGTTCTAAACAGCATAGTTGCTAATGTACCAGGGAACTTTTTTTTTTCCTTTGGTATTTAATTGGAATGATTTTAAAAGAGATTTTATTAAAAAGTGTTTTCACCTTAGTTTGATTTGTGAGATTAAGTATGAACAGAAAAAAAATAGAATTTCTCAGTAGGGTTTATAAGTAGAGTGAATCTCTAGCTTCTTCATTTTACAAGTTCAGAAACTCTGACCAAAGATTCAAAGTGACTTACCCAAGATTACATGGATGGCTTGTGACAAAGCCGGGATTAAACTTCTGTGTGTGTGTGTGTGTGTGTGTGTGTGTGTGTGTGTGTGTGTGTGTGTCACGGGTTACCAATGATCGACTTTATAATACGTATTTTAAGGAGAGACTTACTGTATTTTAAAATGTACATATAACAATTCATTTTATATACAATTAAATTCATTTAGTTATAGATCTTTTATAATTCGAGGTGAAGTCATTTAGGGCTATAGGTGAAATAATTTACCCTCTGTAGAATCAAAGTATGTTTCTTTCTCTCTCTCTCTCTTAATCAGATATATTATGATTCCAGTTACTTTTTCTTCAAGTTCTTATAATCTCATTATCTATCTTCAGAAAATTCTCGTTACTAATTATTTATTTCCTATTTAGAATCAAAGACCTCAATAGTATTTTAGTGCCAGAATTATAGGTTGTAACTTTTACTACAACCTGGCCAACAGACCACGATCTTGCCTCCCTTTTTTAAAAGTTTATGGTAAGCACTAAGTAGTCTGAGATTCAAAAGTGTTCTTTGATCTTTGTATTCAAGGCTTATTTTAAATCTGGGTCAGAAGATATTTAGGGACTCTCACCTGGCTCTAAACCCAGAAGATCTCAGGTGGCCTACTTGGATTTAGAGGCTGCATTACAGTTTGAGTCCATTATAGTTATTGCAAGTTAAATTGTTTATAGTAAGTGATTTGTAGTATACTATGACTTCAGCCATGTTAAGAGAAAAACAACAAAGAGAATTCTGTGTATTAAATAAATACAGGGAAATATTCCAAAATGCCAACAGTAGTTTGGGTAAGAAGAAAGTGCATGATTTTATTTTCTTTGTTCTACCTTTTCAAACTTTCATATTTTCTTTAATAATAATGTTATTTTTATGAGGAAAGGGAAAAATTCTTTTTTTGGTGTAATCTAAGTATTCATCACATATTATCCTCCTTATAGAGTTTCTGACAAATATAAAGCTGAAATTGAGTCCATGAGATCCTATTTAACAGTCCCCATCCTCCATTATTATTATTATTATTTTATCAAGACTGCCACTAGTCCTCCTTTATCTAAGGTTTCAGTTACATTTGGTCAGCCTCTGTCTGAAATCGGTGATGTAGTACAATAAGATATTTTAAGAGAGATACTACATTCACATTATTTTATTATAGATATTATTCTAATTATTCTATTTTATTATTAGTTATTGTTGTTAACCTCTTACTGTGCCTAATTTATGAAGTAAGCTTTTATCACTGTATGTATAGAGAAAAACAGTATATGTAGGGTTTAGTACTACTTGCAGTCTCAGCATCCACATGAGGGTCTTGGGGACATATCCCCTGTAGATAAAAGGGAGGGGACACTGTATTTAGTGTGTGTCAAATTCTGCATTTTCCCCCTGAATTATATCTCTCTAACGCAAGTATTAGCTAGAGTAGAATGTGAGGAATGGTTGATTATAATTAAAATGCAGCTAATGAAAGAGCTGTACTAAATATGTATGCTGTAAATCTTCCTTTGCCCTCTTCAATTCTTGATGTTTTTATATCTTATACTAATGCTTTTCAAACTTGAATCGTCTATGTAAAGCACATTTATTTAGGTTTCCATTCCTGTACCATGTGTAGAATAATGACTCAGTTCTCCCATCTTTTTTGTCTATTAAAAGGACTGTGAACCTTTCATTCGTCTGGTGTTTTTTGACATAATTTGGTTTTCACTTCATACACATGCATTATGTAATAAGTGCACTTATGTTGGTTCCTCATTTGTGCATACTAGAGTGGGTGTTACTGGGATTGTAAACAAAAAAGTAAATTCAGATGCAGAAATTTTATTGTTTTTCTCTGTCATCTAGATGATTGAGAATATGCTTGTGTTGGTTTTTTTAAATAGGTTATTATAAGAATTAAAATGCAAAACTTAAAATTCCTAGAGGGAACTCAGACTCCTTTCCCTACCACTGTGATAGTGGACAGCAACTTGAGAAATGCTCTTAGGGTAAGCAGCCAATTGAGTCATTTAAAAACCATATAGAATGTCCTCCAAAGAGAAGACCATTTTGCCCTTGGAGGGCAGGTAAACAGGAGTCTGGAAACAGGAACCACTTTACCTTTGTTGCTGTCTTCTGTTAGTCCTATCTCCTGAAGCTGTGGACATGTGAACCCTGGTTTCCTGTGCTGCAGTGTTGTGCAGCTATATCCCCAAGATTGGGACCTGGTGTTCTAAAAAAAAAAAAAGTAGACAGAAATAAAGACCAAAAGAGAAAATGTCTTTTGTGGAAACATTGAGGTAAGGGGATACAGGTGTGTAAAAGAAATAGCAGAAAAATAACACTGAGATGATCCCAGTGTGGTGTATGGCAGAAATCTTGAGAATTAAAAACTCCAATAAGTTGCCCTGGGCTATTACATAAATAGCAATAGCCAGTGCAACATAATTCATTAATAAAGCACTTGTGGCTTTAGTAGGAAAGGAAATAGGTGCTAATATTCTGAAACAAGGATTATTATTGGAGGTGAGGGGATGAAGACCTATGCCTTGGTGTACGCTGTACACTGCAAAGAAGAAAAACACATGGAAAGAAAAGGAAGTGATGCAATAGTAGATTGAGAATTAAGCAGAGACAGAGATTGGTTGGAAGAAGAGAAGAAATTTAAATTCTGCATTTAGTATGTGCAGGTGTGGTTAAATGATGGGCTATTATATACAGAGTGAGAATCTAGTTTAAACACTGCTCCTAATGTTTATGCCTCAGCTTTTTTCTTTTGTAAGATAGCGATTATCTGCTGTGTCTTTTCTCAGGATTATTTTGAAAATACAGCCATAATATACATATAAAGGATTACTTTAGTTTTGAATAAATGTGAAGGATGTAGCACTCCAATGGAGTTTTCTGATTTGTCTTCTCTGTCTCCACTGCCCTGACCTTAGTTTAGGCCACCATCATATCATAGAATTATTAAAAACAACCTCCTACCTCCTGATTTCCATCCTTTGGTTTCACATCATTTTAATCCATCCTCCTCATTTCTGTCAAAGTTGGCTTTTTTAAAAAGCACATGTGATGCTGTCACTCCTATTTAAAATTCTTCTCTGATTCCTCATAGCCTTTAGGAAAATTTAGCGTTAAATACATATAATGACAAGGGTGATCTTATGTGCCAGTTTTTGCTTGTCCAGTGTAATTATTAATTGCTTGCCTCTTCACTCTCAGGAAGGTCCCAATTTGGGTGGCAGATTATTTAGTCACTCTGTTCTTGATCTTTTCTGCCTTTCTTTTCCAGAAAAATAGAGTATTTAGTATTTGTCCTATTCCCAACCTTCTTGAGGTATCTAGTTCTTGAACCCAGGCTCTTTCCCAAGTTTTACAGCTTCCTGTATCCTTAAATGCATGTTGTTAGGCAATGAATTTGAAAGTTTAGTGTCTAGTTAGGGTTGATTAGGGATTTTTAATAAGGTTATATCATAGTAGGTGTATGAGGTGCCTTCCCGCCCACTTTCGAGTGCCTGATCCTGCTACCTTGTTTAAATTTCTTTATGACAAGCATTTCTCCTCTATCCTAGTAATAAACAATCCTGTGAGGTCAGTTAGGTAACACAGATGTCTGTTTTATTCTTTCAGAGTAACAAAAGAATAAAGTAATAACTGGTTAGTAGAAGGAAGTAGATTACAATCCTAAGGCCTGCTGATCTCTTAACAGTTACATTAGTGCTATTTAATATGTTGGCTACGTATTGGAGTGTTGTCCAGTTTGTAGCTCACTTTGAAGGGACCATGCAGCCATGCTGGATTTTCTGGTTTAGTCAGATTGTCTCCTAGTTGTTCCCCAGAGAAGCCACATTCATTTCTGCCTCTTGCTAGTGTCTCCCTTCCCTCTCTCTACTCCCCCTTCCACTGTCTTAGAATGTTCTTTTTTTCTTCTCTGCTTACCAACTCTTAACCTTTCTTAAGTTCTCAAATCTCACTTCTCCCATGAAATATTTTCTCATTGTCTAAGTTCTTTATGATTATCCTACCACATAACTCCTATAGTACCTACCAAATTATACCATATATATTATAGCAATTCCTCATTGCTTTTTTATAATAATAGTATTAATATGAATGCCAATTACTTCAAAATATTTGTTGCCAAGTTGTTGGCATATATGGTAGTTTAATACTTAATAGTAAAGTGTCTGTAGCTTTTGTATGACCATAGGTCATTTGGTAAGTCTCCCAGAAAGCATTATTCACAAAAATTAATCCTTGCATACTTGATTTCCTAAAACACTGTCAATATGCTTCATAGTGAATCAATACTAGTGTTTCTAACTGGCTAACAGAGTAAGCAGAAAATTGAATTCTCAGGTCATTTCAGCTTTCAAAGGAATTATTTTTGACTGAAAAAGTTACTTATTCTCTATGCTTACAGCTGAACCAAAAAGCCCCACTGTACTTATTTCTTTTTAAGACTTTGTCCATAATGCTACAGTTTTTCCCCTGAGCCATTCAATAGAATTTTCAGAACTTGGTAAACCTACCTGTTTTAACCGTTGTTCAATGTATTATTAAAATGCCTTCAGAGAGGCCTAGAGGGCACAAAACAAAAATTGCTGCCAAAGTTTTCTTTCACATCCATTCTATCTACCTTTTCTGGTCTCTCTGCATTACTCATTTCATTCACATGTATTCCAGAAAGCATAAAACCATGTTGGGGATTTCTATTGGCTCCTAAGCTTGCCACTTGTCTGTTTTGTTCTATTGCTTATGGTAAATCAATTTTTATATTATTATTCAACCCCCCTCTGCCCTGAACATTCTACCTAGACCATTCTCACTTGCCTCACAAATACATATAGTATGTTCTCTACTGAAAGTTCTACCCACATCCTTATTATTGCTATAATAATCACTTCCTCTCCCTTTCTAAAGCCACTTTCCTATGTTAGTAGACCTCACTTTTTTATTTCTACTGGCTATATATTTTTATTTGTTTGCTGGAAACCCACATTAAAATCCAGCTTTTAGGGTGGCTAATCCAAATGTGAAAGGAATAATGTGAAAAAGGAAGAATACTAAGTAAGACATAATTTTCAGATTGCTTGTGGGAGGCAAAGGATGAGGTTGGGGTGGATTTGAAAAGAAGACAAAATTCTATTTTTAATTTATCATTTATTCTTTAAATCTTGTATCTTCTATGTAACCAGTGCTGTGCTGGGTACCATAAAGCATGCAAAAGAAGTAAAATATATAGTCTTTGTCCTTGAAAAGCTGACAGTTGAAAAGCTTAGTTGAAGCAAGTATTGAATAATGTGAGATACTATGTAACCGTATACTTAATTCTGTGCTGTAAGTGTTCAGAGGTGTTCCACATGGCTGTAGGTGTTACAAGGCAGACTTCCAGTGAGGATGGTGGAGGGAAAAAGGAACCCCCACTTAGGGATAATACATGAGGTGGGATGTTGAAGGGGAGGTTTAAGATTTGCCTAGGTGTAGAAAAGGTTAGGAATTGTTATAGCCTGGGTGAATATCTCTCAAGGTGGAGAGAGCTGAATGAAAAGAAAATATTTCTATATTCATAGGAGAGCCAACCTGACTGTAATAATTGTTTTGTGAACAATGAAAGATTAAATTGGATAAGCGGACATTTGGCAAATCCCACTCCTGTGTAGGCATGTAGTACTATTTCATCAGCACATGATGTGAGGGAGAGAAATTATGTTACATAGTTAAATGCTGATATCTACATATATACAGCCAGTCATTTAACATCGTTAGTAGGTGCTTAGAAACTGCAACTTTAAGTGAAGTTATGCACAATAGGTCCTCAAATAATGTTGGTTCATTCAGCGTTGATGAGGGAAAACATTTGGTTTTATTATACGTTTCACTAAAAGTCACAGTTTTCAAGAACCTATCAATGACATTAAATGAAGATTTACTGTATAACTTTTCTTACCTATAGTAGAACTTGGGAAAACTCGATAAGGCTTTTAATTAGTACAGCTGAAATTCACTGGATGTTAGATTTGTCATGGCTAAGGAAAGGATTCTTTGTGTTTCTTATGCTCAACCTTCTTTACCTGAACTGGTATCTTAACGAAAAGGCTTAGAAAATTATGCAGTAGACTTGAGCTGAATTCAGTTTGTGTATCCTACCCTGTTAGATGCCAACTTCATAGATAGCAATTTTACTTGGGAGGAGGACTCTGAAAGTTGTTTTCAGTAGCCTCTGGTAATCATTTTTGATAGTACTTAAAGTGAATTGGATTACCTTGTATGTCAGTGCATCATTAGATCAATGTAGCAAAGCATGTGAAAGACTGCCAAAGAATATATGTTTTTTTTTTTTTTTTTTTTTTTGAGATGGAATCTTGATCTGTTGCCCAGGCTGGAGTGCAGTGGCACGACCTCGGCTCACTGCAGCCTCCACCTCCCGGGTTCAAGCAATTCTCCTGCCTCAGCCTCCCGAGTAGCTGGGATTACAGGCACCCACCACTACACCTGGCTAATTTTTGTATTTTTAGTAAAGATAGGGAGAATATTTTAAAAAATAGTATAGACTAATTTGTTAAGTAATTATTGAATTATGTGCTACATATGAGCACTTAAGTAGACTTGATTTCTTTCTTAGTTAACATAATTACCTATTCAACAATCCATGGCATTGTCTCACTTTTAATCCTATGTTTAGGTTTACAAATTGCATATAATTTCAGATGATTAATAGATTACTTGAGAGTCAATATTGGAGTTGCTCTTTAGGAGTATTCATGGTTTATTAGTTTTTAAAACTGGATGCTTATATTTTGTATATGACCAGGATATAGGATGAGTGTTGTACATTTATAGTAATAAAAACTAATGAGGAATAGCTATTTGGAACAGACATGGCTCTTGTTCTGTGTTCTGTTAGATTAATTATCACTGCCAACAGCCATTTAAAATGGACATTTTTACATTGCTCTGATTGGCTACATAATACAATAGAGTTGCTAAGAGCTGATGCTGTGAGATCCATGTTAACCATAGGTCTTAGTATGGTGTATGTGATTGTTTAAAAATGGCCTTTTTAAAGTGCTTGAGATTCAGTCACAACACTTAGCTCCAGGTTGAAATTTGAAGGACAAAGTCTATTCTAGGACATGTAGGGCAGAAATTGCCTCTGTCATTTTTTAGTTACCCAAATGCAAATTTATTTTGAATAATTCTTCATTTAAGGACTTCTTTGCATTTGTTCAATACTGCAGAAACTTTCTTTTTGAAAAAATGATTTTTTTCTGTTAGTTTCTTCTATGGGCTAGTATTTGTGATGGGAGTTGATATTTGTTTCAATTTAAGAAAATGAGTTGCTGCATAGGTGAGGTAGTATTTGAATCACTTTAAAAGTTCATGTCAGTGTTTTGGTTCTTTTCAGTATTTCCTTTCTCTTTTCTTTCTTTTTTCCTTCCTCTTTTTCTTTTCTTTCTTCTTCTTCTTATTTTTTGCTTTGTTTTATTTTGTTCTGTTTTATTTATTTACTTTTGGTTTTGTTTTTAAAGGGGTGTTTTGGGATCTCTGTGGCCTTGCTGCATACTTCGCTGGCCATATTTAGTCTGCGTACTAATTGTTAGTTGGCCCAGTTGAGTCTTATTTTGTGCTCTCAGTTCTTTCAGTCTGGTTTTCTATTTTTGTCCACCTGGTTGTGTTTTAGTTCATGAGAGAATTTATTCTGATGGGCCAGATTTTAATCTGTGTACTAAATTTTAGTCTGCAGACTAAAAGTAATCCGCGGATTATTTATTTTTGAAAAATATTTAATTCCCCCACTGGAAACTATCCTAAAAGAATGTTAAATTCTCTTAGAATAGCCAGGGGAGTTCACAGATACTGGTGAGTTCTGCCATTTTTTGTTCTCAATACCTAGACATAATAGACCCTGCTACCTCCCTTGCATATTTGGCTCCGTTGTGCCTAGGTGTTGGTATACATTACTATGCCTGTCACCTGTAACTGTGACTGTCCCTTAGTTGTATTGTTAATTTTATATATTTTGTTTAGCTTTTGGTGGGTGAATTGGGCATATTTGCAGATGGAACTGTGTTTAATTTGTAGTGCTGGAAGATGTAGGATTTATTTTTTCAGAGAGTTTTTCCAAAGAGGAAAAAATGTTCTCTATTTATTTTTCCTAAGTACCGGGTGCAAGGGTATGAGCGGGCAAAGCCCACAATAGAAAAAGTAAGTTAATACCCGCACTCCTGAGGTGATATGTCAATTTCCTGATGAGTCCTAAGATAATGAGAATGTCAGCAAAGAAACATCTTTTAGCAGAGAAGTCAATCCAAAATGGAGAATAATCCGCGGTGGCCTGATCCTTCTTAGCTCACACAAATTGAAAGTATCTGGCTTGAAATCTATAGTAATATAACTTAAATATATTTATTACTTTCCTCTCATCACTAATAACTTAGCAAAAAAATGTTTATACTGTGTAACTGGAACACATTAATAGAGAAAAAAGTAGCATATTGGGAACTTGAAACTTTAAAAGCAGGCTAATATGCCCCCTCCCAGCCATGTCTGTGGATGATGAATCCAGGTCATAGAAGACCATTTTACTTTGGGAACTTTACTTCTAGATTTCATTTTGATTTTAACTTTTTTTGGTTTTGTATTTTTTTAATAAACGCACTGGCATTGGAACATAATAAACTAAAATTAAAATGTTTCTTTACTGTGCCTCACCATTGCACAATCAAAAAAAATTTTTTTGCATACACTGTGGTGAAATAATTTTTAAAACTTGGACTTGCTACTGTGAAGACTGATGTTTAAAGTTTATAACTGTATAAACATTTTCTATGTCCCCCCCCACACCATGGATTTCTTATAACATTGGATATATTTTTCCTTGCTGGACTATTCTCTTTTGGATTGACTTCCCCTGTTTGGATTATTTCACTGCATTATCATCTTTAGGATTCGTCAGGAACAGGACATTTCACCTCAGGAGTGCGGGTATGTACTTAATTTTTTTTTCCCAAAATTTCAGGGCAGGTCTATAAAACTTGGGGGAAATCTTCTTTGAGAGGCTAAATAATTACTCATTCTTGAAATGTAATAGTAAACAATGTAAGTAGCTGTGATTTCTGTTTTTATTCACTGTATGGCATAGGTTTCACTTATAGTATATTTAGATTGTCAGCCTCTTGGGTGATTCATTGACATCTAGGCTGAAGTTTAGGAATTGTGGGGTTTTAAAATTATTATTTCTATTACAAGAATAAATATTGATGAAGATCCATGAAACCAAAGGTCTGAGTGTTAAGCAATTTCAGTGAGTAAGGAAAGAAGTGACAGCGGAAGCTTCTTTAATTAAAAGACAAATTTCAGTTCTTGGTGGTTTCCTTTTCTTTAGAAGCAAAAATAATTCAGATGAGCTAGTTTCTAGTTTGCCCTATAATTTTTAGAAGTTACATGCTAACTCACCCTGTATTATGGTCAGAAATCTGAACTGTGGGAGATACTGGGTTTTGACCCCACGTAATTTTCCACTTAACCTTTATTCACAGAGTACTGAACCTAGGCTTTTCTCATCAAGAATCTCTCAAGGGTTTAAAATGACAGTGTATAGTTTTTGTAAAGGCAGGTTAAATCTTGATTTTAATGTAGGCTTTTGACATGTATTATTTTCTTCATTGTTTTTAACTCTTGAACTTTATGAGTTAGGATTCCCTGACAAATATACGCTAATAAATGTCTTAGTACCGATATGGATGATCACTTGTAGGCAGTAAAACACCAAAAGATATGGGTGACTTAAAAAATTACTGGAAATAGGCCGGGCACGGTGGCTCACGCCTGTAATCCCAGCACTTTGGGAGGCCGAGGCGGGCGGATCATGAGGTCAGGAGATGGAGACCATCCTGGCTAACACGGTGAAACCCCATCTCTACTAAAAATACAAAAAATTAGCTGGGTGTGGTGGCGGGCGCCTGTAGTCCCAGCTACTCGGGAGGCTGAGGCAGGAGAATGGCATGAACCCGGGAGGCAGAGCTTGCAGTGAGCCAAGATCGGGCCACTGCATTCCAGCCTGGGTGACAGGAAGACTCCATCTCAAAAAAAAAAAAAAAAAAAAAAATATATATATATATATATATATATATATATATCGGAAATAAGCTTATAATACTGGTTTATTAATAGCTTTAACACAAAATCTTTGAAAATAAGAAATTTTTTTATTTAAAATAACTCAGCATCCAGCCATCCTACATTTGAATGTTAGTGGGAGATATTTATTTCTACTTTTGGTGCTACTTTTAATTCCACTTATGTGCTGCCATATTGGTGCAAAAACATTTTGGATTAGCTAGCAAAATAAATCCATATACTATCAAACAGAAGCAAACTTGCCTTCAGGGATAAAATATGCCAATACTGTTTAATATTTTTACGAAAATTTTCTGAGTTTTCCCACTGATTATTTTCTTTTTACATTCTGTATATGATTATGGACCTTGGGAGCAAGAGAGGGGACCAGTAACAGTGGAAGAGCTAAACATTTCAAATTCGACAGTAACTCTAAGGTTTCCTTGACTGAGGCGAGTCAGAGTATTCAAAAGAATAAAGATAAGGCAGGTTTTGACCTTACAAAAAGGTTTCTTTGTAACATAACCAAGAAATTGACTAAGGCCTTTCTTTATGTTCCGAAATAATTTCCTAAGAGCCTACTTTACCTAATTTCTCAATTTTCATGGAAAATGTCTTTTTCAATAATAAATTAAAAACAAATACAATCCTCTTTTCACTGTAGACAGCACTCATAAATAATCTCTGGAAAGTCTAATGAGCTCTGTAGTTGTAACTAGTTCTACTAACTGTCAGCATAAGTGAACAACCAAATGTTACATGAGCCATTCTTACGAGGAAACCTTAGCCTTCCAGGCTGCTCCATGCCCTGTCACAATCTGCGTGGGCTTTTCTCACTTGTGGGTCCGTTTCCCTCCATTTATAAGTGTCTACTTCTCTGCCCACCTCCATCGTCACACCTTTTATTTCGTTGTATGTTCTTCCTGTCGAGGGATATATGTTTCATTTTTCTTTAATTTCAAAGGCTTCTCGTCTGTTTATTTCTATCCTTACCTTTTTATTTTTATTCTGTAGGTGGCCATAATTTAGAATGAAGAATATTTTTATAGTTTTTGTATTTATTAGCTTTATTTAAGACACAAATTAGTAGAAAGCTATCTATTCCTTTAAGTAGATTAATTTAATTGAATTTTTCTTCAATATAGCCTTCAGTTGACTTTTTCTTTGTCTTAATCATTCTTAATGAATAATACATTTTTTTCTCCTTGATTAAAACCCTGGAATATTCATTCAAGTGGGGGAAATCTGGCCACATTCATGGTAACACCTACTTGAGAAAAAAAATGCAGGACATTTTATCAAATTCTAGGTATTCAAGAATTTCTTCAAATAATGGTAGGCTCTGTTTATTGGAAATAATACCAAATCAGTAGCATTTATAGACCTAGAGTAAATAGCTCTTCTTTCTCTTCTGTTTGATTGCCAAGTTTTCGAACAGTGCTGCTCATCATTAACAATTGTTCGGCTAAAAAAACAATGCAAAAGAGGCAATCTTTTATTTACTGCCATAGCAGTGAAAACTTTAAAATTTAAAAAATATTTTTCTAGTTGTGCTTGCCACCAGAACTCAGCCTTTCCCATGTGCCTGTCATATTTTGTATGCATGTCTGATTGTTATTACTTTATGATTAGCATATATAGATTTTTCTCTGAGCATTTCTCATATAATCTTTAATTAGCAATTCACCCCTGTGAATCATATGCATTTAACTCTTTCCATTCTAGAAGGTCCTTTCCCAAATGCAACCATGTTTCTGTACATGGTGGGAATTAAGTCATTATTCACAGGGTATTTGCTTAGATTCTTAAAATAAAACATTAATTGTTCTTTCCCTTTTTTTGTACTGCAGGTCTTCCGACCCCGAACTCCACCGGAGGCAATTGCACTGTGTAGCCGTCTGCTGGAGTATACACCAACTGCCCGACTAACACCACTGGAAGCTTGTGCACATTCATTTTTTGATGAATTACGGGACCCAAATGTCAAACTACCAAATGGGCGAGACACACCTGCACTCTTCAACTTCACCACTCAAGGTAACTCCAAACACTTAGCCTCTTCACCAGTTCTAGGAAAGCTACACCCTGGGTGTGAAATGACATTCTATTAATTAAAATCTGTGGAGGACAAAAACGGACATATTAAGTACTTAGGTAGGTGAAAAGAGCATCCTTTCTAACTTACTGGCCACTACTTACATGGTTTTGAACAGAAGAGTAGCACGTAAAAGTTTTCCAATAGACATAGCTTCTTTAATTTTTAGCAGAATATAATGTTGGCACATGAGAAGTTACAGAGAGTTCAGTGAGTGAAGTTTATCACTAATTGGACAAATGTACAATTTAACTTTTAGGTTTGGATCTGAAACAAAATAGTAGCATTTCTTGCTTCCAAAGAGTTTGTATCAAGTTTTTTTAAACCTGGAATGAATTGGCTATATTTGTGTAAATTCAGTTGTCTTCCAAACAGGAGGAAAAGTAGAGCCCTATAAACCCTTTCTAAGAACTTAAACAATAGACACAAGGAAATTTCCATCCCCTCTGAGACTGGCACCATTGCTGCTGCTGAGATAATACTGAAAGGGAAACGAACTTTGTGCATTGTGGTTTCTGGGAGACCTTGGGATAGTCACTATTTCTTCACTATTTCTGTGTTCAGTTTTCTTTTCTCCTTGATTAAGACCTAAGTGATTCATTCATTCAGTCACACCGCCTCTGCTGATGTGACTTTCTTATTACACTGAGCATAAAAAGTGTACAATTCATTACAAAAAAAAAAAAAAAAAAACAAGAAATAGTTGATATATTGATTAGTAAGCATACTCAGGCTAGAAAACAAAAAAGGGAGATGTAGAGTTTTATGTGACCAAGAAAGAAATATATTTCCTTTATTCATATGTATCATATCTTTCTTTTTTTTTTTTTTTTTTTATTATACTCTAAGTTTTAGGGTACATGTGCACATTGTGCAGGTTAGTTACATATGTATACATGTGCCATACTGGTGTGCTGCACCCACTAATGTGTCATCTAGCATTAGGTATATCTCCCAATGCTATCCCTCCCCCCTCCCCCGACCCCACCACAGTCCCCAGAGTGTGATATTCCCCTTCCTGTGTCCATGTGATCTCATTGTTCAATTCCCACCTATGAGTGAGAATATGCGGTGTTTGGTTTTTTGTTCTTGCGATAGTTTACTGAGAATGATGGTTTCCAATTTCATCCATGTCCCTACAAAGGATATGAACTCATCATTTTTTATGGCTGCATAGTATTCCATGGTGTATATGTGCCACATTTTCTTAATCCAGTCTATCATTGTTGGACATTTGGGTTGGTTCCAAGTTTCTTTTAAAAAAAAAAAAAGAAGACTTTTATTTTGGTATTTTAAAATCTTATGTTTGCCCAGCACATTAGATATAAATATGTGTGTCTTGAACATTTATGTTTTTGAGGGTTTGGAGAATGCATTTGTATTTGGATGTAATGTGTATAGATACAGTGTGTGGTCTCTGTGGTTATCAGAGTGCTTATGTGATTCTGTGAGTATCAGTGAAAAAGTGGACCCTGTAAACACAGTCATGTATTGCTTAATGATGCAGATATGTTCTGAGAAATGTATTATTAGGCAATTTTCATCCTTGTGCAGACGTTACAGAGTGTGCTTACGCATACTAAGTATATTATTGAAAGTGCTATCATTTTGAGGTATGGCCCCTTGTTAAAAAGTGTTCAAATGCTCTGTCTTAGCACCCATTCTGAAACTGGGCTGTGATCACAAAGTAGTACTTTCTCACGGTCTTTGTAAATCGCTATTGTTACTGTTTTTGAACAGTGTTTCTATGCAATAAAGACACAGATGTCCAGGGAAGAGGTGGGGTTTTTTTGTTGTTGTTTTTTGGTTTTTTTGTTTGTTTGTTTGTTTGTTTTGTTTTTTTTTTTTTTGAGACGGAGTCTCACTCTGTCACTCAGGCTGGAGTGCAGTGGCATGATACCGGCTCGCTGCAACCTCCACCTCCCAGATTCAAACAATTCTTGTGCCTCAGCCTCCTTAGTAGCTGGGATTACAGGCTCCTGCCACCATACCTGGCTAATTTTTGTATTTTCAGTAGAGACGGGGTTTCGCCATGTTGGCCAGGCTGGTTTTAAACTCCTGACCTCAGGTGATCTGCCTGCCTTGGCCTCCCAAAGTGCTGGGATTACAGGCATGAGCCACCATGCCTGGCCTTGATGATGCCATTCTATTTGATATGATACTCTGTATTCTAATTTTGGAGCAGTGTTTCCAAATGGTGATCTTGTTTTCTAAGGAAGCTGTAACTGTGTACAGATGCAGCTTTAAAGCACATACTAGTTAGTATGTGGATGACTAGTTAGTTAATGGATGACCAGAATAAAACTGGGTAATCCAAGGGGTTGAAGAAGGAGAATCAATTTTCCACTTGGTTGTATAGCTAAAGGAAATCTAGAGATAGAAACATTGTGGGTCTGGTGAAGGGTGAGGGGTATTAGTGAGGTTCTTCTAAAGGCAGCATAAAGCCCTCCTCCATCCTCATAACAAATTGTCAGTGACATCTGCAGCACTACTTCCCCCAAATAAAATAAAGTACATATAGTAGGTGCTCAGTGAATGTTTGAGTGCCGTGTACCACTTTAAGTAAACATAATATTCATTAATTCATACAACCAGTATTTATTGGGCATTTCTAATGTTCCCTCTGGTTGTTATTACTATTGTTGTTTTAATTAGTAAAGTAAACCTGCTATATGTACAGAACTATAAAGATTAAACACTTGAGTAAAATATAGTGTTTTATTAAGGTAAAGCTTACAATAAAGCTAACTGCATTTTGATGTTTGTTACTGTACCATGAGGTAATTAGCCATAAACAGTAATTAGTATTACTTTCATGTAATCACAGTATTTCCATATTCAGATAGAGGAAGGAGAGAGATGAACAGATATGAGATGGACAACTTTAAGATCTTTCTGATTGCCTAAATCCATAACTCAGGAGAATATCAGACCTCTCATTTTTCCAGCACTGAAGCTTCAGTGTTCCAGGACCCCATGACTGACAATATTATCTGCATTCAGATGTTGGAAATTGGAATAAACCTTTGGCACACCCCCTTCTTTCTATTTCTTCCTGTCATTAGAATTTCAAATTCAGCCATAGCTGAATCAGACCTTAGGAAACAGGTAGAATCAGGAAAGCCCAATAAGGATCAGTATTTTCTTATGAACTAATTTGTTGCCTATTCCAAGACTGGAATATATTAGGGAATCAATTGTTTTGTATGTTTAAAGGTGAGTCTCCCCCTAACTCTATCACACACATCCCCAATCTCAGTTTTTTACCTAATTTGTATGAAATTTTACCAATTGAAGTTATTTAGTAAACATTGTCCTCCTGAGAGTGTAGGGTAGGATGGGGGTGGTAAAGATATTATCCATTTACTTTAGTATGAGCTAATGTGAACATTCTATTCCTCTACCACTTGGCTAGATTATGTGAGAATGGTAGCTTTGTAGGGAGATAAGTAAGAGTGGCAGCATGTTGGCTAGGCCAGAAGAAGCAGTGATTTAGTAACTCTGGGGAACTGTTTAATTGAGAGTTGAAACAGGATATTTGGGGCAGCCAGTGAGCAATATGCAGACTCAGACAGACTGAATATTTTGGGGCGGGGGGTAAGAGTATCTGGACACGAGAAAAGCAGGTGATGAGATAGAAAAGGTGTTCCAGAAAGCAAGTAAAGAAAAGAACAGTAAAAGGAAGATTGAGATATAAAAAACAAAGGAAAATAAGGAAAGGGTTAGAAAATATTTTTTGAAAGAGTATAAGAATGTGTTACAGAATAGGAATTGATGAAAACATGGAATTGAAAATGAGTAGGAGATGGGCAACAAAAGCAAGTGTTCTAGAATCCAAGCTCATCAAAAGTTTGTATTTCTTTCATTTGAAAGCAGTAGGCTACTTATTTATAAAATCTATTGTAATTAATTATGATAACTAGCAGATTCCATATTTGTAACAATGATTTTTAAACTTATTTTCCTGTTATAAAATAACAATAGACATAAATAAGGTCAGTGCATCTATTTATCTGCCCATGTGCTAGGCATTTTCTTCTAAGTTGCCTTATCCTCAGACACATCTGAAGTGAATATAGTATTACAACTACCTGAGATTAATTAAAGTATGGACATACATTGTTTTATTGAGCTTCACTTTATTGCATTTCACAGGTAATGCTTTTTTTTTTTTTTATATACACAAATAAAACGTTCGTGTCAACTCTGTGTTGACTAAGCCTGTTTTTCCAACAGGCTATGCTTACTTTGGTGCCATTTTTCCAACAGCTTATGTTTATTTTGTGTCTCTGTGCCACATTTGGTAATTCTTGCAATATTTAGAGCTTTTTCATTGTTATTACATCCATTATGGTGATCTGTGATCAGTAATTTTTTTGATGTTACTATTGTGATTGTTTTGGAAGTTTGTATTGAACTAATTGATCAATGTGTGTGTCCCAACTGCTCCACCAATCAGCCAATCCCCATCTCTCTCCCTCTTCTTGGATCTTCCTATTCCCTGAGACACAACAATATTGAAATTAGGCCATTTAATAACCCTACAAGAGCCTCTAAGTGTTCAAGTGAAAGGCAGAGTCACACATACTCTCCCTTTAAATCAAAAGTTAGAATGATTGAGCTTAGTGAGGAAAGTGTGTCAACAGCTGAGATAGGCCAAAAGCTAGGCCCATTGTGCTAAACAGTTTGCCAAGTTGTGAATGCAAAGAAAAAGTTGTCAAAGGAAATTTAAAGTGCTACTCCAGTGAACACACAAAGAAGTAAATAGAGATCAAAACAGCCACAGTATTTTCTTAAGGCAAAGCCTAATCCAGAGCAAGGCCCTAATGTCACTCAGTTCTGTAAGGGCTGAGAGAGGTGAGGAAGCTACAAGGAAAAGTTTGTAGCTAGCAGAGGTTGGTTCATGAGGCTTAAGGAAGGAAGCCATTTCCATACCATTCAAGTGCAAGGTGAAGCAGCAAGTGCTGATATAGAAGCTGCAGCAAATTATCCAGAAGACCTCTAGCTAAGATCATTGGTGAACATAGCTACACTAACCAACAGATTTTCAGTGGAGACAGAACAGCCTTCTATTGGAAGAAGATGCCATCTAGAATCTTCTTAGCTAGAGAGGAGAAGTCGATGGCCTGGCTTCAAAGCTTCAAAGGATAGGTTGACTCATTTGTTATGGGCTAAGACAGCTGGTGATTTTAAGTGGATGCCAGTGCTGCTTTACCGTTCCAAAAATCCTAGGGCCCTTAAGAATTATGCTAAGTCTACTCTTCTTGTGCTCTATAAATGGAACAAAAAAGTCTGCATGACAGCACATCTGTTTACAGCGTGGTTTACTGAATATTTGAAGCCCACTGTTGAGACCTACTGCTCAGGAAAAAAAGATTCTTTCAAAATGTTACTGCTTAATGACAATGTATCTAGTCATCCAAGAGCTCTGATGGAGAGGTACAAGGAGATGAATGTTGTTTTCATGCCTACTGACACAGCATCCATTTCTGCAGCCCATGGATCAAGGAATGATTTCTACTTTTATGTCCTGTTATTTAAGAAATGCATTTCATAAGGCTGTAACTGCCATTACATAGTGATTCCTTTGATGGATCTGGGAAAAGTAAACTGAAAACCTTCTGGAAAGGATTCACCATTCTAGATGTCATTCGGAACATTTGTGATTTGTGAAAGAGGTCCAAATATCAACATTAACAAGATTTTGGAAGAAGTTAATCCCAAGCCTCATGGATAACTCTGAGGGGCTCAAGACTTCAGTGGAGGAAGTCACTGCAGATGTGGTGAAAATAGTAAGAGAACTAGAATTAAAAGTGAAACCTGAAAAGTGACTGATTTGCTGCAGTCTTTATGATAAAACATGAATGAATGAGGAGTTACTTCTTATGGATGAGCAAAAAAAGTGGTTTCTTGAGAAGGAATCTGCTTCTGGTGAAGCTGCTATGTTGAGATGACAACAGAGGATTTAGAATATTCCATAATCTTAGTTGAAAGCGGTGACAGGGTTTGAGAGGGTTGACTCCAATTTTGAAAGAAATTCTACCAGGGTAAAATGCTATCAAACAGCCTTAAATGCTACAGAGAAATCTTTTGTGAAAGGAAGAGTCAGGCATTGTGACAAACTTCATGGTTGTTTTGTTTTAAGAAATTGCCATAGCCACCCTAACCTTCAGCAACCAATATCCTGGTCAATCAGCAGCCATCGACATAAAGGTATAAGACCCTCCACCCACAAAAGATGACTCGCAGAAGGCTCAGGTGATCTTTAGGATTTTTTAGTGATAAAGTATTTTTAAATTAAGGTATATATGTGGTTTTTTTTAGATGTAATGCTTATTGCCCACTTAATAGACGATAGTGTAGGGTAAACTCATCACTTACATGCAGTGGAAAACCAAAACATTTGCGTGACTCACTTTATTGTAGTGGTCTAAAACTGAATCTGTAGTATCTCCGAGGTATTCCTGTATCTTCTAAGGTTATTCTCAAATTACTATGAACTCTGAGGTGAGTCATAATGGTTTTTAGACTTATTATTTACAATAGCCATGATAAATTTACATAGGATAGGAACTCTTGATGTGTGTAGGACACATCAATAGAATTGATGTCAGAATTATTCTTCAGTACTTTCTAAGTAATCTAGAAGAGTAAAATTTCTATGTAATCAGGTATACTCTTCTGGGCAATGAAATGCTAGGTAGGCCAGTGGAGACACACCACAGGGAGAACTTGAGAAAATTTATGAGTGGACTAAAAGGGGGCAGGTAAGATTTAGTTCAGGTAACTACAGCAGTAATGACAAATAATGAGTGACTGTATTCAAGATTTTAGGCTCTAAATTATCTATTTTATATAAGAATTTTTATTGTTTTGCCTGAGATTATTTGGTCCACCCTGCTACTTTGGATGTACTCTACTGGGGAAAATGTAGAGTGGTGTAGGAACAAACAATCAAACACTAGTATCTTGAATGAAAGTTCTGTGTGTAGTTTGGACAGATATACTTACAGAAGACCAGAACACTGGTGGTATATGATATATAACCAAGACAGTAAAGAAATGCAACATTGCAGGAGCAAAGAGTAAGTCAGACCTAAAGCCTAGTTCCCTTTAACTACACAGGTGTAGACCTTGGTCAACACACTATCCCTACCTGAGTTTCCCCATATAAATAAATGAGATTGTTGGATTAAAGGATATTCAAGGACATATGCATCTTCAAAATTTTAATTATAAAAATGAATTGACTCCAGAAAGATAAAGAAAAAATGACAAAGCTAAAAATGTAGACCACAATAGGATTGAGATACAAAATCATGATATAAATAAACATAGAAAAATGTAGACTGGTTCTCCCAGAATCAAAATATTAGCAGTATTATTATACTTTAAGTTCTAGGGTACATGTGCACAACGTGCAGGTTTGTTACATGTGTATACATGTGCCATGTTGGTGTGTTGCACCCATTAACTCGTCATTTACATTAGGTATTTCTCCTACTGCTACCCCTCCCCCTCCCCCCACCGCACGACAGGCCCCGGTGTGTGATGTTCCCCACCCTGTGTCCAAGTGTTCTCATTGGTCAATTCCCATCTGTGAGTGAGAACATGCAGTGTTTGGTTTTCTGTCCTTGCGATAGTTTGCTCAGAATGATAGTTTCCAGCTTCATCCATGTCCCTACAGAGGACATGAACTCATCCTTTTTTATGGCTGCATAGTATTCCATCGTGTATATGTGCCACATTTTCTTAATCCAGTCTATCATTGATGGACATTTGGGTTGGTTCCAAGTCTTCGCTATTGTGAATAGTGCCGCAATAAACTTACATGTGCATGTGTCTTTATAGCAGCATGATTTGTAATCCTTTGGGTATACACCCAGTAATGGGATGGCTGGGTCAAATGGTATTTCTAGTTCTAGATCCTTGAGGAATCGCCACACTGTCTTCCACAATGGTTGAACTAGTTTACAGTCCCACCAACAGTGTAAAAGTGTTCCTATTTTTCCACATCCTCTCCAGCACCTGTTGTTTCCTGACTTTTTAATGATCACCATTCTAACTGGTGTGAGATGGTATCTCCTTGTGGTTTTGATTTGCATTTCTCTGGTGGCCAGTGATGATGAGCATTTTTTCATGTGTCTGTTGGCTGCATAAATGTCTTCCTTATGACTACTGGATACATAACAAAATGAAGGCAGAAATAAAGATGTTCTTTGAAACCAATGAGAACAAAGACACAACATACCAGAATCTCTGGGACACATTTAAAGCAGCATATAGAGGAAAATTTATAGCACTAAATGCCCACAAGAGAAAGAAGGAAAGATCTAAAATTGACACCCTAACATCACAATTAAAAGAACTAGAGAAGCAAGAGCAAACACGTTCAAAAGATAGCAGAAGGCAAGAAATAACTAAGGTCAGAGCAGAACTGAAGGAGATAGAGACGCAAAAAACCCTTCAAAAAGTCAGTGAATCCAGGAGCTGGTTTTTTGAAAAGATCAACAAAATTGATAGACCGCCAGCAAGGCTAATAAAGAAGAAAAGAGAGAAGAATCGAATAGACGCAATAAAAAATGATAAAGGGGGTATCACCACCGATCCCACAGAAATACAAACTGCCATCAGAGAATACTATGAACACTTCTACGCAAATAAACTAGAAAATCTAGAAGAAATGGATAAATTCCTGGAAACATACACCCTCCCAAGACTAAACCAGGAAGAAGTTGAATCCCTGAATAGACCAATAACAGGCTCTGAAGTTGAGGCAATAATTAATAGCCTCCCAACCAAAAAAAGTCCAGGACCAGACAGATTCACAGCCAAAATCTACCAGAGGTACACAGAGGAGCTGGTACCATTCCTTCTGAAACTATTCCAGTCAATAGAAAAAGAGGGAATTCTCCCTAACTCATTTTATGAGGCCAGCATCATCCTGATACCAAAGCCTGGCAGAGACACAACAAAAAAAGAGAATTTTAGACCAATATCCCTGATGAATATGGATGCAAAAATCTTCAATAAAATACTGGCAAACTGAATCCAGTAGCACATCAAAAAGCTTATCCACCACAATCAGGTGGGCTTCATCCCTGGGATGCAAAGCTGGTTCATCATACGCAAATCAATAAACATAATCCATCATATAAACAAAACCAAAGACAAAAACCACGTGATTATCTCAATAGATGCAGAAAAAGCCTTTGACAAAATTCAACAGACCTTCATGCTAAAAACTCTCAATAAACTAGGTATTGATGGGACGTATCTGAAATTAATAACATGTTTATGACAAACCCACAGCCAATATCATACTGAATGGGCAAAAACTGGAAGCATTCCTCTTTGAAAACTGGCACAAGACAGGGGTTCCCTTTCTCACCAGTCCTATTCAACATAGCGTTGGAAGTTCTGGCCAGGGTAATCAGGCAGGAGAAAGAAATAAAGGAAAAGAATTAGGAAAACAGGGGGTCAAAATGTCCCTGTTTGCAGATGAGATGATTGTATATTTAGTAAACCCCATCGTCTCAGCCCAAAATCTCCTTAAGCTGATAAGCAATTTCAGCAAAGTCTCAGGATACAAAATCAATGTCAAAAATCACAAGCATTCTTATACACCAATAACAGACAAACAGAGAGCCAAATGATGAGTGAACTCCCATTCACAATTGCTTCAAAGAGAATAAAATACCTGGGAATCCAACTTACAAGGGACGTGAAGGACCTCGTCAAGGAGAACTACAAACCACTGCTCAACGAAATAAAAGAGGACACAAACAAATGAAAGAACATTCCATGCTCATGGATAGGAGGAATCAATGTCGTGAAAATGGCCCTACTGCCCAAGGTAATTTATAGATTCAGTGCCATCCTCATCAAGCTACCAATGACTTTCTTCACAGAAATGGAAAGAACTACTTTAAAGTTCATATGGAACCAAAAAAGAGCCCGTATAGCCAAGACAATCTTAAGCAAAAAGAACAAAGCTGGAGGCAGCACGACTTGACTTCGAACTATACTACAAGGCTACAGTAACCAAAACAGCATGGTACTGGTACCAAAACAGAGATATAGACCAATGGAACAGAACAGAGCCCTCAGAAATAATATCACAATCTACAACCATCTGATCTTTGACAAACCTGACAAAAACAAGAAATGGGGAAAGGATTCCCTATGTGATAAATGGTGCCGGGAAAACTGGCTAGCCATATGTAGAAAGCTGAAGCTGGATCCCTTCCTTACACCTGATACAAAAATTAATTCAAGATGGATTAAAGACTTAAATGTTAGACCGAAAACCATGAAAACCCTAGAAGGAAACCTAGGCAATACCATTCAGGACATAGGCATGGGCAAGGACTTCATGACTAAAACACCAAAAGCAATGGCAACAAAAGCCAAAATAGACAAATGGGATCTAATTAAGCTAAAGAGCTTCTGCACAGGAAAAGAAGCTACCATCAGAGTGAACAGGCAACCTACAGAATGGGAGAAAATTTTTGCAATCTACCCATCTGACAAAGGGCTAATATCCAGAATCTACAAAGAACTTAAACAAATTTACAAGAAAAAATCAACCCCATCAAAAAGTGGGTGAAGAGCAGTATTATTTTTAAATGCCCAATAAGTTTATTTTTTAAATTGGATTTGAAAAACTTGGTAATGCCTCATTTATTGCATTTCATTAAGAATAGAGTTCTGGGCTGGGTGCAGTGGCTTACACTTCTAATCCCAGAACTTTGGGAGGCGGGGGTGAGCAGATCACATGAGGTAAAGAGTTCGAGACCAGCCTGGCCAACATGGCGAAAACCCGTCTCTACTAAAAATACAAAAATTAGCCAGGCGTGGTGGTGGGTGCCTGTAATCCCACTACTCAGGAGGCTGAGGCAGGAGAATCGCCTGAACCCAGGAGGCAGAGGTCACGGTGAGCTGAGATCACACCACTGCACTCCAGCCTAGGCAGCAGAGCGAGACTCTGTCTTTAAAAAAAAAAAAATAGAGTTCTGAATATAAGATTTTCAAGTACATCACTAGAACTTTAAAAATATTAACACTTTGCTAGATAACTTCTAAAAACACCTGTACTATAATGTAGTTCAATAAAAGCATTCAGACATTTTTTGGTGAGTGGTATAAATTGGAAGGATCCCAAAGTCATCATGGCTTTCAGCAAATATCATATTATATAGTCCTCACATGAAACATCACCAGTATTACCAAAACAGTATCAGTAAGCCTTGTAATTTGCTTACTATTTGTCTGATTTTCTAATTAGTTTAGCATTAGGAACATGGTCAGGAATTTCCTGGGCACTTTGGAATTGTTACCAAGGAGAGAAGCAGTTATGATGTGGTTTATTCATTCATCTACAAGGAAATATATACAAGTAAGTAAGCACCATTAGAATTCAGAAATGTGTGAGAGCAAGGGACATCATCTTAGCATTTGAATTATTGCCTAAAAAAATACACAAATGTAATGGGGGCACTCCATTATTAAGTCATTTAAACCTTTTTGTGAATAGAGAGAAATAGCACTTTTAACTGTATAGACAACCACTGACAATTATTATATGTAATAAGAGGCCTGGTACACACATGAGGAGGTCAGACTTCTTGTAGAAGAAAAAGAATGTCTGCTTATTTTAGTAACTCCTTTTTGGAGATCTGCAGGGTGAGCTCCTTCAAAGCTAGTAGAGGAGGAAGATTCCCTTTTATATAATGACTGCTAAGTATTTTATTACATCACTGTAAGAGGAGATCTAGTCAGTAGAGGGGTTGATTTTCTTCCCTCTGATTCACACATTGATTGCTGCTCTCAAATTTGTCCTCATCTTTCACACAACAGTTTGTACAAACACGTTACCACTAGCACCTACCTGCCCCCTCAGAAAACTAGGAAAGTTCTTACCTGTCCCATTTTATCAATGAATTTGGGGATCTTGTACTTGGAAGAATAGAAACTTTTAAGGCAAATTTCAGATTTTACCAACTAGATGTAGGTTTCATTTTTCCATTGGAAAAGACTGCTTTATCAGGCATATTTGAGTTTATTGAGTTTGTCTTTTCATGGGAATTTTTCTTCTGTGTTTTGCAGTATAAAACAATGCAGCAAAATTTAGTTAAATGGATTTTGTTAACTTTTTGGTTGATTCATATCTATATTTAAACTCATTTTGCTTTTGTTTAAATTGTGCATTAAAATGTTTAATTATGGAACACATAATTATTGATGCACCATCAAAACATTTGTAGTTTTCCCTAATAAACTACGTGGCTTTTTAATGAATAGTTTTCATGACTTCTTCAGTTGGCTGAAGAAATTTTTATCACATTAATTTTTCTAAAGTTTTCTGGAATTTCTTGCCGTTTTGTTTTAAACCATGTCTCTAGGTAACACAGTCTATCTTTTATCCTTCCTATTTTTCATTTTCCTCTCACTTCTCCAGAGCTGTCCCACTTCATTATGGACCTTTTTGTTCTTATCCCCCTACTCTCAAGCTTAGCACACATATCTAGTAAATAAATATTACCTTACATTTCAATTTCAGTCTCTTCAACACTCCTCTGCCTTCAAGAATACATACACTGTGTCTGATGCTAACAGGTGCTGTTACTTTGCTGTTTCTATCCTCCA
Organism: Homo sapiens; assembly: GCF_000001405.40. Classification (NCBI taxonomy): domain Eukaryota; kingdom Metazoa; phylum Chordata; class Mammalia; order Primates; family Hominidae; genus Homo; species Homo sapiens. Next base: position 119,850,712 of record NC_000003.12, on the reverse strand, counting down.
AAATACCACCATTTTTTCTATTCTTTCACTGCAGTTTATATTCACCCTCACTGACTCCATTTCCTTATCACTCATTGCCATGGGTAGACAAAGTGATTAGAAGTAGGTAGTAATGGTTGGGATTAAAAAAAAACATTTTGAACTGGTTGACATAGCCCTATAGAAATGCCCATAGTCTGTCCCCATAAAAAGTGTGGACTTACAGTGGCAAGAATAGGACTATAGCAAGAGTGCAAGGAGGCTTCCTCACAGGGAAAAGTTGTAAGTAACAGTTAACAACCTCTTTGAAGTAGAGAAGACTGAACAGATGAAAGCAATGGATTTTAAGGATTGCCTGTAATTAAGGAAGAGAAGAAGAACAATGGGGTGTAGAAGTTGGAAGGATGTAGAAGTAGTAGTGATTGTTCATTTTAGAATTCTTAACTTTTAGGTTCTTGCTAGAAAAAGGTTCACAAAGTACCCCCCTTCACATCTTGGACCCCACCCTCACCCGCACTCCGTGTCTTTGGGTGTGGCAAAGCCTCCGAGATCCCAAATCTTTTCTATTTCTTGTCTTCTTAATTTCTTCACTTTTTTTCCCCTTACCCTTCATTAGTTACCCCTCTCTCCTTATCTAAGGCCAAAATGACAGTCTTTTTACATACATACATACATACATACATCTATAGATTTACATTACATACATCTATAGATTTACATCTATAAAACTATTTACATAGTATTTACATTGTATTCGGTATTATAAGTAATCTAGAGATGATTTAAAGTATATGAGAGGCTCATGCACGAGAATCGCGTGAACCCAGGAGGCAGAGGTTGCAGTGAGCCAAGATCACATCATTGTACTCCAGCCTGGGCAACAGAGTGAGACTGTCTCAAAAAATAAAATAAAAAATAAAAAAATAAAGTATATGAGAGGCTCTGTGTAGGTTACCTGTAAATACTATGCCATTTTATGCAAGGGACTTAAGCATCTTTGGATTTGGGTATCTGAGGAGGGTCTTGGAACAAATCCCCCAGGATACCAAGGGATAGCTGACTATACATTACATATTCTTGTCCAGACTAAGACACAAAACTGCTGTGGCCTTCAACTGGCATTCAGATACACAGAAGGATAGGTGATGTGGTAAAAGAGAGTAAATATATGGGAGAAAATGGACAGCATGGGCCATAAGGAGAGGGACCACAGACCACTGATACTCAGTTTATTTTAAAGATTATTTTTAACAGCTTTGTCAAAATGTCTTATTAAAAACTCCGGTCCTCTTTTCATTTTTAGGTTTATTTTAGGTATCGAGCACATGGTTATTGAGATGTTTTCATTTGACAGTGCCCCTGTCCTAAGTGGTTGCCTTTCTTGCCAGATTGTTTTTTCAGTTGTTCTTGTCAATTTCTGTTGATCAGACAAAGGACAGTTGTCTTTTTATCTCCCTATCCTGGGACCTTACACATTTCATGTTCAATATTGTTGGATGGATATGTGGGTGGGTTGATGGATGGTTGGATTTTAAAGAAGCCTTTCTATTTTAGATGCTTTTAATTGAGAATGGTAAATCTGAATTTCTTTAGAATAAAAACCACATATTAATGCTTTTTTTTGTACCTGGAGCCATAAAGTTTTCAGCCATCACAATTGCTAGCAATTATTTTGCTTTCCTGCATATAAGATTATGGGTTAAAATTGAACTGACTTGAAGTAAAATGGCATAGGAGCTTTCTGTTCCTTAGTGAGAACCCAGATAGCTACCAAGTCTGATTGTGAGAAAACAGTATCTCCTAGAACCTGATAATTAGGGCAGTATCTTCAACTGTCTTCCCAGGCAAGACTATTTGATGAGCTGGACTAAATTTTCTCATTTAGGGGAAAGGAAAATGAATAGTTTTCTCAGTTTTAAGCTTTTCCTTTCATTCATTTTTAATAAATCTTAGCATCAATTTATTGCTTTTCTTTACCACAATCTGATATCATTTAGTATGTAATTTAGTACAAAATTTAGATGTTTAGGTACTGATTTGAATAAATATTATTGGCAGGGGCTTTGCACCAGAAAACATTTTAAAACTACTACATTAAAAGTACAATTTCCCTTGCTAGGGTCTTAGGGGAAGGGATTAATGTAGAGTGACTGCTTGCGAGTTTGGTGTTTCCCTTTGGGGTGATGAAAATGTTTTGGAACTAGAGGAGATGGTTATAAACCTTGCGAATGTACTAGATGCTGAATTGTGCTGAATTGTACACTTTTAAATGGTTTATGTTAACATAAATTATACCTTAATTTAAAAAAAAAAGCTTTTCTTGAACTTTTTAAAATTCATGCTGTATCTGTGAATTGCCAAAGTGTGTGCTGTAGCTCAGAGGATAATGTCCTCCTGTAGCTTGTTATGGTTATGATTGTTCCTTCAAACTGTGACACATATTAGAGTGAAAATTAGTACTTACAGGCTAAATACTTAAGTAACAAGCATAAACCAGGGTTATCCCAGGTAACTGGGAGAACAGTCACATTACCTAAAACTAACAAAAAATGCTTTTGTGTACAAGCTCGCTACCACTACTTGCTACAGAACTTGATTCTTCAAAGAAGTAAGTACAGTTGACAGAGACAGCTTCCCCCATGCAGATAAAAAGCCTATTTCAAACTTGTAAAAAGTAACAAAAATAATCTTACTGAGTAAAGAATTGGATAAAGACATTTTCAGTTTTAATAAAAGCAGTGACACTTTAAACAGATGTTTCTCAAATCCTTTTTCCACTAGTGTCTAGATAAGTCTTATCTGCCATTGGCTCATAAACAGTTGGATAGGTTGGTCAGTACATCCAGTTGTACATACATACACATACAGACACACATTCTCATTCATATTCTCTTTGCTATGACACCACCACCTTTTAAAAACATAAAGAATATGTTTGTACAGTATTTCCTGTAGTCAAATATTGACATAGTAGGACAGGAAAACCTAATATATTTAAATCAATGAAAGATGCAGATATGTCTTATTAATATACCTACTCCAAAACTTTGGCCACATCTTTCCCCGAGATATTTTTAGTTCTCAGACATAATTTTAGTAGATAATGCCTTTGTTATATATCACAGTACTTCTGTGGGCTTTTTCTGTAAGTTGATTACTAACTCAGTTAGCTAGTTTGAGATATAGGTTTGTCATGTGGGTTTTTTTTTCCCCTGTTAAACTGGTAGGGTTTGTTTTGTTTTGTTTTGTTTTTGAGACGGAGTTTCGCTCTTGTCGCCCAGGCTGAAGTGCAATGGCACGGTCTTGGCTCACTGCAACCTCTGCCTTGCGGGTTCAAGCAATTCTCCTGCCTCAGCCTCCCAAGTACCTGGGATCACAGGTGTGTGCCACCACGCCAGGCTAATTTTTGTATTTTTTTTTAAACTTATTCTTTTTTTATGATTATTATTATACTTTAAGTTCTGGGATACATGTGGAGAAGGTGCAGGTTTGTTACATAGGTATACATGTGCCATAGTGGTTTGCTGCACCCATCAATCCATCATCTACATTAGGTATTTCTCCTAATGCTATCCCTCCCCCTTCCCCCCTACCCCGCAACAGGCCCTGGTATGTGATGTTCCCCTCCCTGTGCCCATATGTTCTCATTGTTCAACTCCCACTTACGAGTGAGAACATGCCATGTTTGGTTTTCTGTTCCTGTGTTAGTTTGCTGAGAATGATGGTTTCCAGCTTCATCCATGTCCCTGCAAAAGACATGAACTCATTCTTTTTTTATGGCTGCATAATATTCTGTGATGTATATGGGCCACATTTTCTTTATCCAGTCTATCATTGGTGGGCATTTGGGTTGGTTCCAAGTCTTTGCTATTGTGAATAGTACTGCAATAAATATATGTATGCATGTGTCTTTATAGTAGAATGATTTATAATCCTTTGGGTATATACCCAGTAATGGGATGGCTGGGTCAAATGGTATTTCAAATTCTAGATCCTTGAGGAATTGCCACACTATCTTCCACAATTGAACTAATTTACACTCCCACCAACAGTGTAAAAGCATTCTTGTTTCTCCACATCCTCTCCAGCATCTGTTGTTTCTTGACTTTTTAATGATCACCATTCTAACTAGTGTGAGATGGTATCTCATTGTGGTTTTGATTTGCATTTCTCTAATAATCAGCGATGATGAGCTTTTTTTCATATGTTTGTTGGCCACATAAATATCTTCTTTTGAAAAATGTCTGTTCATATCTTTCGCCCACTTTTTGATGGGATTGTTTGTTTTTTTCTTGTAAATTTGTTTAAGTTCCTTGTAGATTCTGGATATTAGCCCTTTGTCAGATGGATGGCAAAAATTTTTCTTATTCTGTAGGTTGCCTGTTCTGATGATAGTTTCTTTTGCTGTGCAGAAGCTCTTTAGTTTAATTTGACCATTTGTCAATTTTGGCTTTTGTTGCCATTGCTTTTGGTGTTTTAGTCATGAATTCTTTGCCCATGCCTATATCCTGAATGATATTGCCTAGGTTTCCTTCTAGGGTTTTTATGGTTTTAGGTCTTACGTTTAAGTCTCTAATCCATCTTGAGTTAATTTTTGTATAAGGTATAAGGAAGGGGTCCAGTTTCAGTCTTCTGCATATGCCTAGCTAGTTTTCCCAACACCATTTATTAAATAGGGAATCCTTTCCCCATTGCTTGTTTTTGATAGGTTTGTCAAAGATCAGATGGTTGTAGATGTGTGGTGGTATTTCTGAGGGCTCTGTTCTGTTCCATTGGTCTGTATATCTTTTTTGGTACCAGTACCATGCTGTTTTGGTGACTGTAGCCTTGTAGCCTTTGCTGATGCCGCCAGCTTTGTTCTTTTTGCTTAGGATTGTCTTGGCTATACGGGCTCTTTTTTGGTTCCATATGAAATTTAAAGTAGTTTTTTCTAATTCTTTGAAGAAAGTCAGTGGTAGTTCGATGGGAATAGCATTGAATAATCTATAAATTACTTTGGGCAGTATGGCCATTTTCACCATATTAATTCTTCCTATCCATTAGCATGTAATGTTTTTCCATTTGTTTGTGTCCTCTCTTATTTCCTTGAGCAGTGGTTTGTAGTCCTCCTTGAAGAGATCCTTCACATCCCTTGTAACTTGTATTCCCAGGTATTTTATTCTTTTTGTAGCAATTGTGAATGGGAGTTTGCTCATGATTTGGCTCTCTGTCTGTTATTGGTGTATAAGAATGTTTGTGATTTTTGAGATTGATTTTGTATCCTGCGACTTTGCTGAAGTTGCTTATCAGCTTAAGGAGATTTTGGGCTGAGGCGATGGGGTTTTCTAAATATACAGTCATGTCATCTGCAAACAGATAATTTGACTTCCTCTTTTCCTATTTGAATACCCTTTATTTCTTTCTCTTGCCTGATTGCCCTGGCCAGAACTTCCAATACTATGTTGAATAGGAGTGGTGAGAGAGGGCACCCTTGTTTTGTGCTGGTTTTCAAAGCGAATGCTTCCAGCTTTTGCCTGAAACGTTCAGTACCGTATTGGCTGTGGGTTTGTCATAAATAGCTCTTACTATTTTGAGATATGTTCCATCAATACCTAGTTTATTGAGTGTTTTTAGCATGAAGGGCTGTTGAATTTTATTAAAGGCCTTCGCCACATCTATTGAGATAATCATGTGGTTTTTGTCATTAGTTCTGTTTATGTGATGAATTACGTTTATTGATTTGCATATGTTGAACCAGCCTTTCATCCCAGGGATGAAGCCGACTTGATCATGGTGGATACGCTTTTTAAGGTGCTGCTAGATTCGGTTTGCCAGTATTTTATTGAGGATTTTTGCATCTATGTTCATCAGATATATTGGCCTGAAATTTTCTTTCTTTCTTGTGTCTCTGCCAGGTTTTGCTATCAGGATGATGCTGGCTGCATAAAATGAGTTAGGGAGGATTCCCTCTTTTTCTGTTGATTGGAATAGTTTCAGAAGGAATGGTACCAGCTCCTCTTTGTACCTCTGGTAGAATTCAATTGTGAATCCATCTGGTCTTGGGCTTTTTTTGTTGGTAGGCTATTAATTACTGCCATTGGTCTATTCAGAGATTCAACTTCTTCTTGGTTTAGTCTTGGGAGGGTGTATGTGTCCAGGAATTTATCCATTTCTTCTAGATTTTCTAGTTTATTTGCGTAGAGCTGTTTATAGTATTCTCTGATGGTAGTTTGTATTTCTGTGGGATCAGTGGTGATCTCCCCTTTATCATTTTTTATTGTGTCTATTTGATTCTTCTCTCTTTCCTTTATTAATCTGGCTAGCAGTCTATCTATTTTGTTAATCTTTTCAAAAAACCAGCTCCTGGATTCATTGATTTTTTTTTTTTAAGAGTTTTTTGTGTCTCTGTCTCCTTCTGTTCTGCTCTGATCTTAGTTATTTCTTGTCTTGTGCTAGCTTTTGAATGTGTTTGCTCTTGCTTCTCTGGTTCTTTTAATTGTGATGTTAGGGTGTCAATTTTACATCTTTCCTGCTTTCTCCTGTGGGCATTTATTTAGTGCTATAAATTTCCCTTTAAACACTGCTTTAGCTGTGTCCCAGAGATTCTGGTATGTTGTGTCTTTGTTCTCATTGGTTTCGAAGAACTTATTTATTTCTGCCTTAATTTCGTTATTTACCCAGTAGTCATTCAGGAGCAGGTTGTTTAGTTTCCATGTAGTTGTGCGGTTTTGAGTGAGTTTCTTAATCCTGAGTTGTAATTTGATTCACTGTAGTCTGAGAGACTGTTTGTTATGATTTCTGTTCTTTGGCATTTGCTGAGGACTGTTTTACTTCCAATTATGTGGTCGATTTTAGAGTAAGTGCAGTGTGGTGCTGAGAAGAATGTATGTTCTGTTGATTTGGGGTGGAGAGTTCTGTAGATGTCTATCTACAGAACTTGGTCCAGAGCTGAGTTCAAGTCCCAAATATCCTTGTTACTTTTCTGTTTCGTTGATCTGTGTAATACTGACAATGTGGTGTTAAAGTCTCCCACTGTTATTGTGTGGGAGTCCAAGTCTCTTTGTAGGTCTCTAAGAACTTCCTTTATGAATCCGGATGCTCCTGTATTGGGTGCATATATATTTATGATAGTTAGCTCTTCTTGTTGCATTGATCCCCTAATTTTTGTATTTTTAGTAGAGACGGGGTTTCACCATGTTGGCCAGGCTGATCTCGAACTCCTGACCTCAGGTGATTCACCCACCTTGGCCTCCCAAAGTGCTAGGATTACAGGCGTGAGCCACTGCGCCCGGCATAAACTGGTAGTTTAATGCAGAATCTTATTTTCACTCTTACCAATAAAATAGTTTTGCATACAAAGTTAAGAGTGGACTCTAACATTTGTGTCTTAACCTTCTATAGAACTGTCAAGTAATCCACCTCTGGCTACCATCCTTATTCCTCCTCATGCTCGGATTCAAGCAGCTGCTTCAACCCCCACAAATGCCACAGCAGCGTCAGGTAAGAACGTTCTAAGTCTCTTCTATAAAAACATATTCTGGGCTGGGCATGATGGCTCACACCTGTAATCCCAGCACTTTGGGAGGCCGAGGTGGGTGGATCACCTGAGGTCAGGAGTTTGAGACCAGCCTGACCAACAAGGTGAAACCTTGTCTCTACTAAAAATAAAAACTTAGCCAGGTGTGGTGGCAGGTGCCTGTAATCCCAGCTTCTGGGGAGGCTGAGACAGGAGAATTGCTTGAAACCGGGAGGCGGAGGTTGCATTGAGCCGAGATTGCGCCACTGCACTCCAGCCTGGGCAACAGAGCAAGACTCCATCTCAAAAAAAAAAAATTCTGTTTTTCAAAAAGATATGATTACCTTTCATTTCATTTGATGAGTATGAACATTTAATATCTTTTATATATCAAAAACAGCACAGCCAAATGAGTAAACCTGAATAAAATTTTTTGCTTTATTTCCAAAAAGCATAAAACAAAAGCACCCACCCAGGTACCTTATATATAAGATATAAATATCTTCTGATAATGTTAAATTCTGTCATCTTAGTGAGAGGATCACTCGAGGCCAGGAGTTCAAGATCATCCTGGACAACATAGTGAGACCCCATGTAAAAAATAAAAATAAACTTAAAAAATCTTTGAAGTTACGGTTTTTACATAATTTCAATAGGAAATCAAATCAAATGAGATGTTTATAGCTGAAAACATATAAATATGTTGTTACTGAAAATAATACACTTTTGTTTTTTTCCCCTCGAATGTAAATTGCAGTAGTATACTAGAGAGGCAAATATTTTCAAGAAGTATAAATTATAAGTTTATACTTATATTTAATCATTTTTTTAATCATTTGAAAGGGCTAAAACTGCAATGCAAATATGTTTAACTGAGATTTAGATCAGAATGTGACAAGACTCTTATATACCAAAAAAAAATTATTCACGGGTTAGAGCTAGGGTGTGCTGCAGGGCCTGAAGCCAGCTAATGGTGGGGCCTGATTTAGTGAGAACCGGTGTCCTTGCAAATATTCTGAAAATATCCAACCCTTAAGAGTGAAGTGAAATTCTTCCAAATAATGACTGGATGCTTTTAAAACTTAAAAGTTTTAAGTTAGAAACATAATAGGTAGCACAGTTAAGGGCTCAGAATTTGGCACCTTTTTTTTCTCTCTCTCTCCAAAAAGCTAATGGCAGGAGCTGACTTCATTTTCTTTAAATAGTCTTGAACTGAGTTGGATCAGATCCATTTTTGCCTAAGGGTATTTATGCTGCAGGAGATAAAATCTTTCATTACTAGTTCTTATCATTAAACAGTAAGGTCAAAATCCATGTCTTGTTGTTTGATGGTGTTGTTTCTGTCTAATCTTAAAACTTTTAAAATGTTGCTAATAAAGATTTAAAACATTTCATTCTAGTTCATGTTCAGGAAAAGTCTGGAAAGAAAGATCTCTTTTCTTGTTCCAAGTTTATCAGCACATGCTACCTTGAGAAAGTAATTTGAACTTTATTAGTTTAATTAGTGTCTTATTCATTTTCCCAGTCTGTAAAATGGAGTGGCAATTACTTTAGGACAACATTTGTCTTTACTTGTCTTTATTTGTCTGTACTTTAGGACAGCATTGCCACTCCATTTTACAGATTGAGAAAGTGTGCTGAAATCTGCTTTAAAATTTTTAAGGTAAAAAGATTTTTTAAAAGTATGACCTGTTTAGAATCAAGACAGAATTGCTATAAGCCATTAACAAATTTAATACTGGCCCAGGTTACGTTAATTGTTCACAACATGAAAAAGGCCCTAACTCTGAACTAACACATTTACTTACTGAGCTCATTTCTACAGTTTTACTAGAATGGCTTTACACTGTGTATAAAAATGAGTAGGTTTTGAGCAGTTTAAAGTAACTTTCTTAATGCAAGATAGCGAACTAATTAATGATTGTGACTTATGTTTTTGAGCAAATTGTCTGCTTAGTAGGAGCCTAGTATAACCTGATTTTCATGTTGTTTTGATACAGGTTACAGCAAACTGAAAAATAATAATAATTTACATGTGTATATTTTTACAGCTATAGAAATCAGATTTCAACATAAAAATAGAAACTGACATTGAACTTTGACTCTGAGAGTTTACTCCAAAGTTGAATTGGGGTATAGTTAATAGAGGAATAGTAAGCTGAGGTCAGAGCTAAAATTAGTTTAGAGAAATGCATGCCTTGAGTACCTTAATAGTTACCGAAGAGGATATTTCAGATATTGGTCTGAGCTAAAGTAAATAAAGAAGTGTTATAATTCTGTTAAAATTTCCCATTGTTCATTAGATTGAAAGCACACTGGTGGCTTAGAAAAAACGGTGTTTCTGGCCCTGCTGTTTAAGAAATATTTCTCCTTTAGGGCCTCAGATTTGGTACTGAAAGAGATACAGTAAATGAACTTAACATCATCATTCTAACAAAAAATGTGAGTTTCAAATAGATACTTTTTTTTAAAGTTCCCCTTATTGTAACCCAAAAACAGTTTAACCACAGTATAGTTAAACAGTTTTCTATGGCGCTGCAGTAGTGAAGGCCCAAGTATGTCACCAAACATACTTCAGGAAATGCTGGTCTAGACCAAGTGATTGATTGCTTGGCCTTCCGGCTGCCTGTAGTTTAAGATTCATGTATGTTTTAAATAAGAATTTGTCATTGTGAGTTACATTCTTTTGTAAGACCTTAAAATATATATGTCCTCGGCCAGGCGCGGTGGCTCACACCTGTAATCCCAGCACTTTGGGAGGCTGAGACAGGCAGATCACCTGAGGTTGGGAGTTCAAGACGAGCCTGACCAACGTGGAGATACCCTGTCTCTACTAAAAATACAAAATTAGCCGGACGTGGTGATGCATGCCTGTAATCCCAGCTACTCAGGAGGTTAAGGCAAGAGAATTGCTTGAACCTGGGAGGCGGAGGTTGCAATGAGCCGAGATTGTGCCATTGCACTCCAGCCTGGGCAACAAGAGCAAAACTTTGTCTCAAAAAAAAAAAAAAAAATTCTCGGCATCAGACATGTTTTTTTTAAAAAGCCATGTGGAGGGCAGGATTGACATCCATCCTCTTATGACAAAAGAACCTATGACTTTTCTTTCCTGGATAAATGGACATGCATCTCTCCACACAGACAGAGTGAGGGACTGCTAAGCTACAGACATAGCCGAAGCTTTCCTCACAAAGCATTTCAGGATCTGCTCCAGAGTACAAAATAAATAAATAAACTATTAAACTATAAAGCTCTAGACCTTGAATATCTGAACCTGGAAATATTTCAAATTTAAATTTTCAAAGAATTTCTAATCACCCATCTAAGCTACATCACCACAGTAATATACCCCCACATACCCTGGGGCGAATTAATTATAATATGAACCCCTAAGTAACTAAACTAGTTGTCATACTTGATTTAAATCAGTGTAATGGAGCACATAACATCAAAATGATTCGTATCTTAGAGGTGGAGCCACTTTTAGTTTATGACAGTCATATCAACAAGAAGCAAAATAATACTTAAATAATACTTAACCTGTTTTCAGTAGCCTGAGAATGTGCCTCCAAATCATCTAAAAATGACCTTACATCACTAAAATACAAATTCAAAAGACTACCATAACTGAATTATCATCTGATCTGTTAAAATACCATTCCTGTTGTTGCTCAGCATCATTGCAATTCAGGTACTGTCAAGTATATTTGTGTCTAGAGCAAGATCATCAGAATACCGAGGCTCCTAGATAAACTGCTTGGGACACTTTTTATGTTTATAGCTGGCTTAAACAAGAATGGAGTTTTCTGACATTTGTGTAGACCTGGGAACAAAGCTCAATCCTAAAGTATGTGGAATAAAAGCAGAAAAACAAAGCATATTGACAAAGATGCCATCAACCATTATCATACTGACTATATTATGGTGAAATAAGCTTTGGATTTTAGTCAGTTACTGTTGTTAGCCAAAGCTGTTAAATGGCTTTCAGATATTTAAGTCTTATTAAATTTTAAATACATTATAGGCAGAAATCTAATTCTCTATATTGCTGCTTCTGAAAAAGCAAAAGAAAATAGACATTTTCATACCCAGATTGTGGCCTAAAATCATACTGTGCTAATTCTGGGAATATGTAATTGTTCTCTGTCATCACCAACAAACTTTGACTAGTACAACAAAATATCACAATTCTTTCTCACCTTTGAAAATGGTAAAGATGGTGCAAATATTAAGTTTGAGGACATTAACACTGAGGGAACTGCTTTTGCAGATGTTTCAACTTTCCTTTTGTTGTGTTCTGCAACTGTATGTGAGCTGATAAAAACTTGTGGGAAAGCATTATAGTATAAAACAAGAGCTGTCAGAATTCAGAATTTTTAGTTCAGTAATTCCACTTTAGGGATTTTAACTTCAGGATAAATCTATTGGAAAGAAAAAGGCTATCATATACAGAGAGGGGAATCACATAATATATATAATCATAAATCATATAATAAAACAGTATGTATTAATATATAACAAAAAGGAGAGCCAATGTAACCTGAATGGTCAACAGTAGGAAATTGTTTTAATACATTGTGGAATCTCCATTTTTATGTAGCCATAAAAAACAATTTTCATGAAGCTTGTGGACATTCATGGAAATACTCATCCTAATTTATGTAGAGAAAATTTTAAAATCTCATGAACCTTGTTGGTTACTATTGTCAAAATGTGTATTTTCATGTGGATAGGGACTAGACAGAAATATACAAAACTGTAAACTGTTGTGCTAAATTAGTGGGTATGGATGTTGATTTTTTTCCTAAAAAACATTCTTTATAAGTTGTTTTTAAAATGCTTTAGTATCTAGAGACATTATTGTTAATCATGGCTCTGATTGACATGAGAATCTCTTGAAAATTACCCATACTACTATCAATTCCTAAAGTATAATTTCTTTGTTTCTTTTTTTGAGACAGAGTCTTACTGTTGCCCAGACTGGAGTACAGTGTGTGATCTCAGCTCATGTAACCTCCAACTCCTGGGTTCAAGTGATTCTCATGCCTCAGCCTTCCAAGTAGCTCGGATTACAGGCGCGCACTACCATACCCTGCTAATTTTTTGCAATTTTAGTACAGACGGGGTTTCACTTTGTTGGCCAGGCTGGTCTCGAACTCCTGGCCTCAAGTGATCTGCCTGCCTTGGCCTCCCAAAGTGCTGGGATTACAGGTGTGAGCCACTGTGGCCAGCCAAAATTCATAGTATAATTTCTTATGTCGACTGAAATATATATATATATATATATATATATATGTGAATGGTCAACGTAGGAAATGTTCAACATTTATATATATAAAATATATATTTATATATAAAATATAAATATATATTATATATGTCTTATTTTCTTTGTACACCCAGTCATCTCATTCACTCCATTTAGGAGACCATTCATCTGGAACATCTAAAGTAATAAATCTCAAGACATTATCATTTTCCTAATCAAATACAAACCATTTTAGAGAGCATCTGCTCAGATGAGTTGAATGTGAGATGTTGTAGGGAATTTCAACTAGAGCAGTTTTCTGGTTTTATCTGTTTGGTATATTGGTCATCAGCATAAAGTTTCTTTCAATGCAATGGTTCTGCTGTTAAAAACCATGGATTTCAGTTCACCTTTCATTATCTACCGAGAAGTGGTCATCTATCCCATGGTTATGTATATTCAGTAATAGACATTATTGCAAGAATGAGCACATTTTTATCTTTGCATCACTCTATTAGAAAAGTTTGGCCAGGTGTGGTGGCTCACGCCTGTAGTCCCAGCACTTTGGGAGGCCGAGGCGGGTGGATCACGAGGTCAAGAGATCGAGACCATCCTGGCCAACATGGTGAAACCCCGTCTCTACTAAATATACAAAAAAAAAAAAAAAAATTAGCCGGGCGTAGTAGCGGGTGCCTATAGTCCCAGCTATTCGGGAGGCTGAGGCAGGAGAATGGCGTGAACCCGGGAGGCGGAGCTTGCAGTAAGCCGAGATCACGCCACTGCACTCCAGCATGGGCAACAGAGCAAGACTGCTCTCAAAAAAAGAAAGAAAAGTTTATCCTTTTTTCACCCTGAAATTTATTTCTGTATGCCTTCTTCCAGTCAGTGATTCTACTATGAAATTATAACAGAACCATCCAGATCCTTCCATGTAAAAGTCCTTCAAATGTTAATGATAGCTAACTTGCCCTCCATACTAATGACAGCTTTAAATCCTAATCCTGGATTTGTTCTAAAGTATTAGGGTATTGGATTTTCTACCCAATTGTATGTCATCTGTACATTTCACAAACATGTCAGTTTTTTACCTCCATCCAAGCAACTAATAAAACATATCAAAGAGGACAAGGCAGAGCCTACTAGAAATGTTTTGCCTTTATTCAAGTTACTGATAAATTCATTGGAACTGGGCTGGGTTTCCTAGAGATTACTCTTCTGGTGGTCTCTTAGTGATTGGTCATTCCTCTTCGTGACTGGTCATTCCTCTTGTTTGCTTAACTACAGACCAACCTTTAAAATGCCCATTTATAGGAGGAGGTTATAAAAAGCACTTTGTAAAATGCTTCATTGTTTTAAGAAAACTTTCAGCCTTTTTCCATTAAAAAAAAAGTAACCATATCAAAGATGGAAATCAAACCGTTGTTTTTAAGACGGGGAAATTTCTAGTGCCTAAATATCTGTAAGCTGTGAGTTTCTGTAATCCGTTTTAGATTTGTTTCTTGGACTATAGATTGTGAGTTTAAAGACATTTAAAATTTTTGATTGCCCTCACCTTCCTTGGGGCACATTTTATTTATTAGGATTTTTATTATATCTTTTCAAGTTGAAAACCCTTCTAACAGAAGGGGGAGTCATGATAACATTTGGATGAGGTCTGTCATTTTACGTGGTCTGCAGGCTTAACTTGTCTTCATCTTGGTTTGAAAAGCTCTTACTGTTACTTTATTTGCATTGAGATTATTTGCAATTACTTGATCAAAATTTTGTTTATGCTTTTCTATTTCTTGTTAGTTATTAGCCTCCTTTGAAGACTTTAGCCACAAAATCATACCTATTTGTTCTTCAAACTTCTAAAAATTCATTTGGCTATAGTCTCGTTCAGATTTTGCTATGGCTAGTGGCCCCTTTGTCTTACAATTACAATTATTTTCACCCCAGAATTCCTGTTACCTACATACCAGCCAATTCTTTTTAGTTGGGCAGAATTAAACACAGAATAATTTCTCTCATTGTTTGTTTCTACTGTTTTTGAGAGGTGAAATGTTAAGCAAATTGTCAGTTTATTAGATGCTTGCTTTTCTAAAATGACAGTTACCCTCCCTCATCCTTTCCCCAGGTACTACTAATATTATTCCTGGTCTTTGGGCCAGTTTTACAGTGTACATTGGGAAAGCTGTGTTCATATTCTGTCTAGTGTAGAAGCTGCAGTGCATGCCCTGTTGTTCCTCTTTGTAAACTTGTTCTTCCTGTTTTCTCTTTATCTTAACCCAAATAGATTTTAAATTTCATAAAAGTCTGCAACTTTTTAAAAAAAAACAAAAAAGCAGGCATTTTTGTCTATCAAGAACATATAGTGTATAGTTATTTTAGGAAGTAAAAATTGCCTCTATTCTACTTTCAAAGATAATCACACATAACATTATGTTTTAGTCTATATATGAATGGGCAGAGAGACATGTTTTTTAAAAAATGGGCTTAGGCTATTTAGAGGGTGAAGGTATAGACTGTAGTATTCAACCAATATCCTAAGGCTATACCATAGTTAATTTCTTATTCTTGGACTTTTGGTTTGTGTCGAAGATGGGGTTTTTTGTTTTTGTTGTTCTGAAAAATGCTTTGAAGATATCTTTGCATAAAGCTGTACTTATTCTTCTAAATTTTTAGAAGTAGAGTCAAAAAGTATAAAGAATTTTAAAGTTTAATGTCAAATTGCTTTCTGAAAGTTTGTCCCGCTGTCAGTTCATACTCCCCACTGTCAGTACAAGTACTTTTCTATTTCCCCATTGCCCCATGTCCTCATAGAGTGGGAGTAGGGGAAGTACAGTGTGCATGTGTGCACATACACATTTTTAGGTGTTACCAACTTGGTAGCCAATTAATATGTGCATCTTTTTTAGGTACAGTGTTGCATCCATTTCCTCCTGTTGGCTCTGCATTTGAAATACAGACTTCCATTTTGAACTATACCATTTTGACAAATTCACTGACACCAATGAGATTGTATCTACCCCATGTTAGGGTTTCAGGTTCACTTTGTGAGTTTGTATATAGATACCTAAAATCAAACCAGCTTAGTCATTATTCTCACCAGAGCAGTCCTAGACATCACTTCTAGAAGTTCTTGCTTTCTGTGCAAAACATGTTCTCTCCTATCAAGTCAAAAATTTTATCTCGGTTTTTCCCCTCCTCTAAAAGTAATTTAAAATCTGGATTAAGTTGGAATTCCCTATCAGACATTTTTCCGTGTGTCCCTGAAGTGTTCCTCAGTTCCTTGCCTGAAGTCACCTACTTTTATTTATATGTCCTTTTTTTTCTTTATTCCTAAATTAAGCATTTTAACTTAAAGGAACAGTGAAAATGTTACCTGTGTGTCCCCATGACCTTCAGTTTTCTACCCTGAACAGCCAAACTTCTTAAATACAATGTGCCCTTTCCCTGAGCTCACAGGGAACTGAGACCTCTCAGCTGCCAGCAGATCAAATATAAACAGTCTTATTGACAGGTCTTCCAGGTATCCTGGTGGATGGGGTTGGCTCACAGGCATCCGAATTTTACTGCTATTTTTATAATCACTGAAGGCTACCTTAGTGTTCTGTGCCACATCTTTTCCTTGCAGGTGTACTTTGATTTCATGAGTGTAAATTATAATTTCAAATTAAATATAAGTTTAGGGTATACTTTGATTCTCTGTGAGTAATTATCTTGTTTGTTAATGTGCCAGTTAATAACATTAATATCTAAGACATAGTTTTACAGTAGAAGCATTTCCACTTGGAACAGCTTGAGTAGGAACATCCTGAGTTAGGTACACAGTATAAATAATATCTCCCAGGCTGTTAATTTTATCTTCTAGAGAGATTGACCTGTCATAAGACATTTCTAACTATTATAGAAAGAGGATACCTGATAAGTAGAAACACGTAAAATGTGCTTGGAAGAGATTGTTATTGGGCAAGAGCGTAGTAAAGGAAATACGGGAATAAAAATATACCTGGCGGGGTGCAGTGACTCACACCTACAATCCCAGCACTTTGGGAGGTGGAGGCGGTCAGATTACTTGAAGCCAGGAGTTCGAGACCAGCCTGGCCAACATGGCGAAACCCCATCTCTACTAAAAATACAAAAAAAAATTTAGCCAGGCATGGTGGTGCGTGCCTGTTTAATCCCAGCTACTCGGGAAGCCAGGAGAATCCCTTGAACCCAGGAAGCAGAGGTTGCAGTGAGCTGAGATTGCGCCACTGCACTCCAGCCTAGGTGACAGAGTGAGACCCTGTCTAAAAAAAAAAAAAAAAAAAAAAAACAACCTAATGTTTCCAAGTGTACTTATAAAGTGCATGTAAAACACAAAAAGGCTCATTTGATTTGTCTAAAATATGTTATTTTACTAATATGCCAACAATATAAATAGTAAAATGTTTAATAATTTTGTAGCTGAGAACTTGAAATGTGTTGAGAGCAAATAAGGAACTGAATTTTAATCTTTAACGTCAATTACTTTAAATAAATAGCCTTATGTAGTTAGCAGCTACTATATTAGAGAATATAAATAGAACATTTCTGTGGTTGCTGCTGGGCCAGATAGTGAGCATTTCAATAAATCAGAAGAATTTAATTTTTTATAGACACACAGATCTAGAATACTAATTCATGGTGGCAGGGCCTTTGGAACCCTGTCTCCTATGTTTATTTTCTGTCTTCTCCTCCCAACCCATTTCCTTGTTTTCTACTCTCTTTTTATTTAAATCCTTTGGCAGTAGGTGTAAATGGAGACCTTCCATTCACTCTCCTTCCTGTTCCTCATTTGCACCTTTGATCAACCACATTTGGGACAGGGAGTATGGACAGGACCATTTGTGGGCGGGGGGTGGGGGGATGCAGACAGCAAGGAATCAAGGCAAGAAATTCTGCGTTTATGACTTGAACATTTGGGTGGGGCAGTTTCCTCAGTATTGAGACAGTTGACCATTAATCCATGACTCCATTATCTAGCCAACTCTTACAGATCTCTTGAGAATCTGAAAAAAACAAACAAACAAAACAAAAAATGCTGTAGATCCTGTCCTATAAAAAGAAATTATGATACCAGATATAGAATTTTACATATGAAAATTTACTCCAGGACAAAAATCACAGCCTCATGGACTCTTTTGGGAACCTGATACTTAAGGGTTCTACCCTTGGTTTCACTGTGGGACTGCCTAAGTTGTGTTTTACCTCTTATGTCACACAGAATAAAATTGGTTTTAATACATGTGCCAATTTGCTTTGCAGCATCTGGTACAAAGCCATAGAGCCATAGACTTTTCAGAAAACAATTGATTCCTGAGAAAACAATTCTGGAAAAAAGAATTAAATCTAATATAATCCTTTTTTGTCTTGTACAGTTTCTTAGAAGCACACCTAATTGTGTAGGGAGATTTTGTCAGCGATTCCCTCATTGGCTTGTGAGTGCAACCCCTAAATGGCATTTAAGTTCTTCGACATATACATGTGTGTTATCTATTTCTGCATATTAGTTTACCCCCCCAACATTTAGCTATTTAAAACAAGAGTAAACATTATCTCACATAGTTTCTATGGGTCAGGAATTTAGAAGCAGCTTAGCTAGGTGGTTCTGGGTCAGAGTCTCATGACATAGTCAAAACATTAGCCAGGGATGCAGTCGTCTGATGACTTGCCTGGAGGCAGAAGCTCTGCTTCCACAGTGGCTCTCATTCATGTGGTTATCAAATATGTGCTGCCTGTATGCAGGAAGCCTCAGTCACTCAATAAGTGGCCCTCTCCATAGTGCTACTTAAGTATCTCACATCATTGCAGCTGGCTTCCCCTAGACTAAGTAATTCAAGAAAGAAGGCAATGCAGAAGCCACAGTATCTTTTATGTCCTAGCCTTGGAAGTCACACACCATTATTTCTGGAATATCCTATTAGTTACACAGGTCAGTCCTATTCAGTGTGGGAATGGACTGCATTAGGCATGGATACCAAGAGGCATGAATCATTGGGGTCATCTTGGAAAGTAGCTACCACAGTGTGTAGGGATGATTTTGTACCTTCCTTTCCTTCCCCACAAAGCTGATTGTTCTATTTCCTCTTAAGTCCATCCTTGGTTTGGGGGCATTTTTTTGTTTACTTGTTTTTCCATAGTAGCATTAGACAGGTGATAATGGGCATTGGTTTATAGGAAGCTTCAAAGTCAGTGAAATGTCAGTTCTGTAGTTGTTTGCAGAGCACTTATATCTCTGTACACCCCATACTGAAAATAAAGTAACTGTGCTCTTAATCTTAATTTTTCTTATCATAAACTCACTCTTCTCTTATTTTTTTTTTTTTTTGAGACGGAGTCTCGCTCTGTTGCCCAGGCTGGAGTGCAGTGGCATGATTTCGGCTCATTGCAACCTCTGCCTCCCAGGTTCACGCCATTCTCCTGCCTCAGCCTCCCGAATAGCTGGGACTACAGGCGCCCGCCACTATGCCCAGCTAATTTTTGGTATTTTTAGTAGAGTCAGGGTTTCACCGTGTTAGCCAGGATGGTCTCTATCTCCTGACTTTGTGATCCGCCCACCTCGGCCTCCCAAAGTGCTGGGATTACAGTCATGAGCCACCGCGCCCGGCCCACTCTTCTCTTTTAATGTAAAGTCTCTTACAGATAATAGAAATGTGCCTGTAGAAATCACAGTGATTTTATTGAGGTTAGTTCTAAATGAAAGTCATCTTAATCTCTTTTCTTCTTTTGCTAGGAAATCTTTTCTGCTGCCACCTACTGCCCATAAGATGGATTATTCTCCTCCCTTGTGCTCTGTGTTCCACTCCCCTACTTGTTAGCTATATGGTCTTGGGCACATTCCTTAATCTATTTGTGCTTCCTTTCTCCTATTTGCAAAACAGAGGTAACAGTTGTACCTATTTCTCAGATTTGCTGTGTGAGCTAAATGACATGACTGCAAAATACTTAGTGTGGTGTCTGGCATATTGGTAAGCAGTATGCTGTCACTAGTATTTACTTTGGTGATGATGTTGGTTATTGCAGTCACACTAGATTATAAATATATGTATTTTTAGATGTCTCTTTTACCTTCCCATCTATTGAACAATTGCTGTATGCCAGATACTGTGCTAAGCACTTCATAGGCCTCATTTCATAGGTGGGTGGTATTACTACCATTTTACCAATGAGGAAATGAGAGATAGATTAAATAACGTGTTCCAAAATCACACAGCTATTAAGTTGTACAAGTAGGCTTCATACTCAATAAATGTTTATAGAGTTGGTTTAGTTTTAAGAAAGATGTATCAGTGTGAAGTTCAGAAGAGCATCTCTGGTTGAAAACAAGAGACTAGAGTGGGTTAATGATCCATAGTCAGATCATTTATAATGAAAATGATCTTAGCCTCTCTTTTAAACCATAATGCCATTTAGCGTCACTTTACCAGTGCATATGTAACGGGAAGGGAATGTAAGGAGAAGTAAAATGAACTTTGCTGTTTTTATGTTGTGGAGTCACTATTTAAATGTTTGAGAAGAAAAGTTACAGAAATTACACTAAACTAAATCCAATGACAATTTATCGGAATTTTAAATTAATAAACATTTTAATAGAAAGCTCATTAATTCAGATTCCATTGTGTAAAATAAATTTACAGAGTGATGGTGGGAACAAAATAAGCATGTGCCAAGATTTGTTTCTTGAGTTATTTCTAAAAAGGTGGTAATCTGTGTTGTCTTGTTTCCTGATCTTGAACTAGTTTCTTCCCAGCCACCAAGAGGTCAGCTCCTCCTACTTTACCTGGCCCAGGGGCCAGTCCATCTTTATGATGGGATTGTAGAGATTATGAAATGTAACTTTACTCAGTCAGTAAGCTGGGTGGTCTTTTAAACCTACTATTGAGTATTGAATTTATAGAACTTTGCCTTTTTTTGTTTTACTTTTTCCCTCTCTGTACTTTGTCTTCCTCTGAAAAAGAGAACTCTGTTCTTCTCAGCAAGGACATGTGTGATTTGATTTTAAGTGGAGCTCATTGCATCAGGCAAAAGTTTTTTTGATGAATGTCTGTAGGACTGTGACTTTCGATATCAAAGATATTTATAATCAAAATAATTAGCGTTAAAATTATGTTCATTAAGTGATTTGAAAATAATTCAAGAGAAAAATATGAGATCATTACAGGTCTGAAGAGCATGGGTGTCTATCAAATTTTATTGTTCAGAAAGTGAATTTGTTTCTGGTTTTATGCTCACTTAAAAGGCTTGTGCTTTTTACTGTGATCATGCAAGCAGTCGTTGAATTTATCCAAGAAAGAGGAGACTGGTTTTGGCAATGTCACAAGCTCACAGGCTGTAGTCAGTGAAAGGACATCTGCACATTAATGCCAAATAGGATTTTGCTAAAGAGCAAATTAACATAAATGGGCTGGTGGCCATGTAGATGAGGTAAAACTGATGTCAGCCAGTGTAGTTAATGGCTGCCGTGGCCAGAGCTGCTCTCTCCATGTTGGCATGGGTGCTGATGTAGTGGTCAAACAGATAGATAAATTTCTGATGATCAGTGCCTCCCATAAGTCCTGGGGAAGACCAGAATGACAGTTCTACCTGTTATCTTCCCATACTGAAAATGAGAAGGAAATGCTGTTGGATGATGGTCATGCATAGGTTCTGAGTGTCATCAGAGCATGTGACATGCTGCAATAAGCATGGGTTTGTGGTGTTCCAGGTTTTCTCTGGATTTTTTTTTTAATGCAGCCTGTGCATGAATCATGAAAATGAACATTTTATCTGAGAAAGGCTTGGAGGAATCTGTGGTCTAGACAGGAATTGATGTTAGGTTATTGATGCACAGAATGTGGATGATCATTAAGGGTAAAACTTCTTTAAACAGGGCATATCTAAGGAAGGTCAGGAGTCACGAATGAAGTGTTAGCATAGTTCCTCAGTGATTGTTAGAAAAGGTGGTCAGCCTGGCTTTGGAGAGTAGGTTCTGTGTCATATACCCTTTCCTGCCACCTGTTCATTTGCCATACTGATGAATTAATATGACCCCATTACATGGGCTATATGAACCTAATGTGTGGATTCTGATGCCATAATATCTTCACTTGTGTACATGACAACAAGATTAGAAGCAGCTTTAGCTATTTTGAAGGAAATTAAATGAATTAAACCTAATCATTCACATTAAGAGATATTCACATTCCTTCCCCAAAGGCTGTGCTAAATGTATATAAGGGCAGCTTATCGGGAAATTAGGAAGTATAATTTTTATAGATTGGCTTTAGAAATGATAAACTGAACAGCTAATCCATCATAGAGTTCCCTATGTGTCCTTGGATATTCTGTGTCTCCCTCTAATTCAGAAATTCAAAGTAGAAAGATCCAGGACCAAACGTTGCATTCAACCATGACATTGGTTATTCTACTCACCATAGCACATGGTAGATCTACAAATCCCTTCAGTCCTAGAGAGAAAAAAACTTCTGAGTCTGCCTTTCGGTGTCACCAACCTTGATGGCATTGTGGCTTCTAGAGAGATGGCTTTTCAAAGTTGCCCATCCCAGTCAAGCTACCTCTCTTGCTCAGGGCTTAGTGTGAAATCTTTGGGAGAAAATTTGGCCAGCAGTACCTTCTCTGTCATTAAGAGAGATGACAAGGATGCAACTTGATAGCCACTAAAACAGCAGTCTACTAAACCAATTTGGACACAGTTAGATGCCCACTTAAATGTTAATGGATGCTGTGAAATAATAATAGACCTTAAAAGGGGGGAGGAGATAATGGTTAGTTGTAGAGTTGTACGTATTTCTAAAAGATTAGGGCAAAGTAAGCTCTAAGTAAGTTCTACGTCAAGATTTGACTACAAGATGCTTTCCTTTTCTTAATTTTTAATTTTTGTGGGGACATAGTAGGTGTATATATTTATGGGTTACCTGAGATATTTTGATATAGACATGGAATGTGTAATAATCATATCAGGGTAAATGGGATATTCATCACCTCAAGCATTTATCCTTTATGTTACAAACAATCCAGTCATACTTTGTTATTTTAAAATGTACAATTAAATTATTTTTGTACTGTAGTCACCCTGTTTTGCTAGCAAATACTAGGTCTTATACATTTTTTTTTTTGTACCCATTAACCATCCCCACTTCCCCCACCCCCGCTACCCTTCCCAACCTCTGGTAACAATCCTTCTCTCTAACTCCGTGAGTTCAGTTGTTTTAAATTTTAGCTCCTACAAATAAGTGAGAACATGCAAAGTTTGTCTTTCTCTGTCTGGCTTATTTCACTTCACATAATGACTTCAGTTCCATCCATGTTGTTGCAAATGGCAGGATCTCATTCTTTTTCTTTTTCTTTTCTCTTTTCTTTCTTCTCTCTCTCTCTCTTTTTTTTTTTTTTTTTTTTTTTTAAAGACGGTATCTTACTGTGTCTCCCAGGTGGTCTTGGCTCACTTGCAGCCTCAACCTCTCTGGCTCAAGCAGTCCTCCCACTTAGCCTCCCATCTTTCTCTCTTATGGCTACATATTACCCCATTGTGTATATATACCACATTTTCTTTTATCCATTCATCTGTTGATACAAGATGCTTTATTAAATTGACTAAGTGAATTGGTACTGCAGTTGCTGTTTCTTTTTTGCTGGTTGTCTGTCTTCCATCTCTATGAATAATGAAGAGGGTCTGTTCTGCCCATCAACACTGACCCACGTTACTTTCATTGCCTCCACCTATTTACTTACTTAAGCAGATGGCATATTGTAACATGGTTCAAATTTTTAGCAAGTTTTCCCAGCTGTGCACTGTTCATTTATTTTCAAGTGAACTAGACTCCAGCTGAGTGTTCATATACAGCTGATCCCAGCTGTAGCAAGAGCTTTGACTGAAATGGTCTCTGGCTCCCTGAGTCTGCAACTTATTCAAAGACACTGTCTTCCCGGTACCAGGACCATGCTGAGGCATGAACTTAAATCCAAGAATAGAGAAATTCAGATTTCATAGTGTTGGCCTTATTTAAAACAACGTTCCAAATAACAGCTTGGAAGGCCATACAGTTCACAGCCTGCAGTTGAAACAGTGTACTTGTTCTCTTTTGTTGTTATAGCATTGCTCATGCTCTCTCTTGGGACTTTTTGACTTGCAGATGCTAATACTGGAGACCGTGGACAGACCAATAATGCTGCTTCTGCATCAGCTTCCAACTCCACCTGAACAGTCCCGAGCAGCCAGCTGCACAGGAAAAACCACCAGTTACTTGAGTGTCACTCAGCAACACTGGTCACGTTTGGAAAGAATATTAAAAAGAGAAAAAAATCCTGTTCATTTTAGTGTTCAATTTTTTTATTATTATTGTTGTTCTTATTTAACCTTGTAAAATATCTATAAATACAAACCAATTTCATTGTATTCTCACTTTGAGGGAGATCCAGGGGGTGGGAGGGGTTGTGGGGAGGGGGAAAGCGGAGCACTAGAACATACAATCTCTCTCCCACGACAATCTTTTTTTATTAAAAGTCTGCTGTTGTATACTTTAAAAACAGGACTCCTGCCTCATGCCCCTTCCACAAAAGAAGAAAACCTTTTTCTGTGCTGATGGGTTTTTTTGAACTTTGTTTTCTTTTAAAGTCTAGTGTGAGACTTTGGTATAGTGCACAGCTTGAAATTGGTTGGGAGCTTAGCAGGTATAACTCAACGGGGACTTAAATGTCACTTGTAAAATTAATCCATATCTTCGGGTATTTATAGACTTGCCTTTGGCATGTTGGTGGCAGGTGTGGCAGACAAAGAAATGTGTATCATTCGTAACCCAGGGAGGTCAATAAAGTTTGGAACTCTACAGGGAAGATTCTTAGTAGATTTGTTAAGGTTTTGTTTTGCTCTCAGTTAGTGCTAGTGATGTAGAGGCTTGTACAGGAGGCTGCCAGAGGGGAAGCAGCAAGCAAGACTCAGGCACACATGCTCTACAGGTGGCTCTTTGTTTGCCTGACCAAAGTTCTTTGCAAATCTTAGCACAGTTTCAAACTAGTGACCTGGGAGGAGATGGAAGGGGTGTTGAGCAGGCTGAGCTAGCTGCTGAGGTCAAAGGCTGATGAGCCCAGAGGAAGGGGACAGGTCAGGGATACATCTCACCACTGTGAATAAGTTTGTCCAGATTTTTTTCTAAAGTTACTTCCCTTGGAAAGATACACTTGAGAGGACATTGTAGTTAAATAATGTGAACTGTAACAGTCATCTACTGGTTTATTTTTCATATTTTTTAATTGAAAATTGAGCTTGCAGAAATAGCCACATTCTACACATAGTTCTAATTTTAAATCCAAATCTAGAATCTGTATTTAATTTGTTTTTTAACCTCATGCTTTTTACATTTATTTATTGATGCATGTCAGATGGTAGAAATATTAAAAACTACACATCAGAATGATACAGTCACTTATACCTGCTGACTTTATAGGAAAGCTGATGATATAAATGTGTGTATATATGTTATATATACATATATTCAATACTGCCTTTTTTTTTGTCTACAGTATCAAAATTGACTGGTTGAAGCATGAGAAGAATGTTTCCCCCACACCCAGTTAAGAGTTTTTGTGTCTGTTTTCTTTGTGTATCAGTGAACGATGTTAAGAATCAGTCTCTCTTTTTGAAGAAAAAGCAATATTCCTTGGAAAGCAAGGAGAATTGAAGGACTATGTTTGCCGTGAGGAAATAGATTTTCATGACTAGTTTGTTTTATACTTTTAAGGTTGGCATCTATGTGGGCCTTATATACTCTAAAATGAACTTTAGTCACCTTGGTGCTTATGGGCCATTACTTGACCTATGAATCTTTAAGGCACAATCAGTTGTACTTTACATTTAAAGATCACTTGAGTGATGGCCGCCTTTCCCTCCTACCCGCTCCTTCCCCACATGCCTTCCAAGGTTAGCTGGTAACTGTAGGGCTGCAGAGCTGAGCCCATGGTTGTGTGTAACTTGCCCTCACCCTCCTCATTGCCACCTTAGGTCACTTTATGGGTCTCGTCCTCCAGAGGGTTCGGAAGTGGAGTCTGTTGGCAGCCCTCCTGCAGGCCCTAGCACCCTGTCCTGCTCCTTAACTGTGTGTGTGACTCTCCAAGAGAGTTGTCCTGCCTGCTGAAGTGAACCAGTACCCAGAAAGACAACTGTGAGCCATCTTGGTTTTCACTCGCTGTTTAGCTGAGGTCTTGGGCCACAAAAGGGGTTTCACAAACCTCTGGATATATCAGAGTTTATGAGAAAGGAAACATGCTCAGTCAAACCAAATCAAACAAATTGAATTTTATGTTTTATAAAGTGCTTCTGAAAGCTAAGATTTGAAAGAAGTCTGAAATCAAAGTATTTGGCAGCATAACTCCTTAAAGGTAGTGGCGTTGATAGACCATTTTCAGACAGAATTTATAAAGAATCTGAAAAGGCAGGTCTGTGATAGAGAAATGGACCTGCATTCAGATCCAACTGCCCAGCAAGCGTTTGGATGCAGACACTGCTCTGGACGTGGTATACTCCCCAGAGTCCATAAAAATCAGTGCTTATTTTAGGAAACAGGTTGCCCCCCACAACTGGGGTAAAAGAAGAGAGAAAAGTCACGCTTTTCTCTCATTTCATTGTGTGTGCATGTGTGCGTGTGTGTGTGTGTGTGTGTGTGCTGAGATGTGTGATTTTTCTTTCTCAAGGATCATGGTGGGATCACAGAACTCTTTTATACAAGTGAGATCCAGGTCTCTGAATATCTTTTTGTATATAATAATAATAAAAAGCTCCTCACCAAATTCAAGCTTGTACATTATATTTTCTTTCTGTGTTTTTAAATTTAAGTTTTATTGTTTTGTATGTAAATATGTGGACCCAGGAACTGTTATTAATGAGCAAAAAGTTACTGTTCAGGGCAGTGATTCTGTTTAATAATCAGACAAAATGTAGACGAGCTTTTTAAAGCCATATAGTTTTAACTCTGTACAGTAGGTACCGGCCTGTATTATTGTAACAATAACTCTAGCAATGTATAGTGTATCTATATAGTTTGGAGTGCCTTCGCTTCCATGTGTTTTTTTTTTTAATTTGTTCTTTTTTAAATTTTAATTGGTTTCCTTTATCCATGTCTCCCTGTCCACCCCCTTTCCCTTTGAAATAATAACTCACTCATAACAGTATCTTTGCCCCTTCCACAGTTAAGTTTCAGTGATACCATACTCAGGAGTGGGAAGAGGAAATCATATTCGTAATTTCATTTCGTTGAAGCCCTGCCTTTGTTTTGGTTCTGAATGTCTTTCCTCCTCGGTAGCAGTGAGACCGGTTTCATTTCATACTTAGTCCATTCAGGGACTTAGTGTAGCACCAGGGAGCCCTAGAGCTGGAGGATATCGAATAGATTAAATTTTGCTCGTCTCTTCCACAAGCCCTAACCATGGGTCTTAAAAACAGCAGATTCTGGGAGCCTTCCATGCTCTCTCTCTCTCCTCTTTTATCTACTTCCCTCCCAAATGAGAGAGTGACAGAGAATTGTTTTTTTATAAATCGAAGTTTCTTAATAGTATCAGGTTTTGATACGTCAGTGGTCTAAAATGCTATAGTGCAATTACTAGCAGTTACTGCACGGAGTGCCACCGTGCCAATAGAGGACTGTTGTTTTAACAAGGGAACTCTTAGCCCATTTCCTCCCTCCCGCCATCTCTACCCTTGCTCAATGAAATATCATTTTAATTTCTTTTAAAAAAAATCAGTTTAATTCTTACTGTGTGCCCAACACGAAGGCCTTTTTTGAAAGAAAAATAGAATGTTTTGCCTCAAAGTAGTCCATATAAAATGTCTTGAATAGAAGAAAAAACTACCAAACCAAAGGTTACTATTTTTGAAACATCGTGTGTTCATTCCAGCAAGGCAGAAGACTGCACCTTCTTTCCAGTGACATGCTGTGTCATTTTTTTTAAGTCCTCTTAATTTTTAGACACATTTTTGGTTTATGTTTTAACAATGTATGCCTAACCAGTCATCTTGTCTGCACCAATGCAAAGGTTTCTGAGAGGAGTATTCTCTATCCCTGTGGATATGAAGACACTGGCATTTCATCTATTTTTCCCTTTCCTTTTTAAAGGATTTAACTTTGGAATCTTCCAAAGGAAGTTTGGCCAATGCCAGATCCCCAGGAATTTGGGGGGTTTTCTTTCTTTTCAACTGAAATTGTATCTGATTCCTACTGTTCATGTTAGTGATCATCTAATCACAGAGCCAAACACTTTTCTCCCCTGTGTGGAAAAGTAGGTATGCTTTACAATAAAATCTGTCTTTTCTGGTAGAAACCTGAGCCACTGAAAATAAAAGAGACAACTAGAAGCACAGTAGAGTCCCAGACTGAGATCTACCTTTGAGAGGCTTTGAAAGTAATCCCTGGGGTTTGGATTATTTTCACAAGGGTTATGCCGTTTTATTCAAGTTTGTTGCTCCGTTTTGCACCTCTGCAATAAAAGCAAAATGACAACCAGTACATAAGGGGTTAGCTTGACAAAGTAGACTTCCTTGTGTTAATTTTTAAGTTTTTTTTTCCTTAACTATATCTGTCTACAGGCAGATACAGATAGTTGTATGAAAATCTGCTTGCCTGTAAAATTTGCATTTATAAATGTGTTGCCGATGGATCACTTGGGCCTGTACACATACCAATTAGCGTGACCACTTCCATCTTAAAAACAAACCTAAAAAACAAAATTTATTATATATATATATATATATATATAAAGGACTGTGGGTTGTATACAAACTATTGCAAACACTTGTGCAAATCTGTCTTGATATAAAGGAAAAGCAAAATCTGTATAACATTATTACTACTTGAATGCCTCTGTGACTGATTTTTTTTTCATTTTAAATATAAACTTTTTTGTGAAAAGTATGCTCAATGTTTTTTTTCCCTTTCCCCATTCCCTTGTAAATACATTTTGTTCTATGTGACTTGGTTTGGAAATAGTTAACTGGTACTGTAATTTGCATTAAATAAAAAGTAGGTTAGCCTGGAAATGAAATTAAAATTCACAAGTGTGTGGTCTTTATTTCAGTACCCAACCCTCTTCCTTCACCCTACTATTTTGCCGCTGCAATATGTAGTCACATCACCATTTCCATTCCTCTAATTAGGGAAACATTAATCTTTGTTATACAGAACAAGATATCAATACCACTTCTTGTTCTTTCCAATGATTTTATTCCATTGTGTAGCCCCAAGAGGTGCAGCTTCCACCTTGGAAACCTTTGGATTTGATGTAGAGGAAGCTTTGCAGACACTGCTTAGAAAAGAAAGAAAACAACTCTGAAAGGGACAGTTTTTAAATGTGTATAAGCTGCTGTCTTTGATTACTGTGTTCATGATTTGGTGTGGCTGTATTTTCTTTTAACTTTCATCCTATTAGTAATGGTCTTTGGGGGTCTCTGTAAAATATATGGACACCACGAACAGTGGGGCTGTACCTCCCAGGTAACCAACACATGTTGTGTTTGAGTCTGCTCATTTCCAATACTGGATGATGTATGTAAACATGTTATGTCTCTTAGTGCAAAAAGAAACATCATTTTTTTAGGGCTGGCTCACTCTGTCAGGCCTAATCTAAAGGCTAGATATAAGGTCATGTGACTGCTGCTTCAATAAAAACAAATTTATATTCGATAAAGTGTGGTCCTCTTATTTATTTACTGTGGTGGTGGGGTTGGCTAATTCCAACATTGGTAAAACAGTTAAACACATTTAACCAGTAGGGGCGGCAGGGGAGGATTGGATTAGCAGAAACAGAAGTTACTTGTGCGATGCGCCTCCTGCTGGCACTGAAGTGCATTTGTTTGGGATTTGCTGCTGTCTTGCATAGGTTCTGGGATTGAGTTAAATATTGTGTTAGTGTCCTGCAAGACCTTTTAATTTAGAATCCTGAAAGACTGCCTTTTTAGTTTCTTTTCTTTTTTTTTTTTTTTTTTGAGACGGAGTCTCGCTCTATTGCCCAGGCTGGAGTGCAGTGGCGCGATCTCCGCTCACTGCAAGCTCCGCCTCCCGGGTTCACGCCATCTCCTGCCTCAGCCTCCCGAGTAGATGGGACTACAGGCGCCCGCCACCACGCCCGGCTAATTTTTTGTATTTTTAGTAGAGACGGGGTTTCACCGTGTTAGCCAGAATGGTCTCGATCTCCTGACCTCGTGATCCGCCCACCTCAGCCTCCCAAAGTGCTGGGATTACAGGCGTGAGCCTCCGCGCCCGGCCCCTGCCTTTTTAGTTTCTAAGTCTTTCCAAAAAGTACTGACCAAACAGTCCTTCGGGATCATATTTCAGGAGAGCAGTGATGGTAGATGTCATTTCGTTTTTTTTTGTTTTGTTTTGAGACAGAGTCTTTCTCTGTCGCCTAGGCTGGAGTGCAGTGGCGCAACCTCGACTCACTGCAACCTCCGCCTCTCGGGTTCAAGTGATTCTCCTGCCTCGGCCTCCTTAGTAGCTGAGACTACACCACGCCCGGATAATTTTTGCATTTTTAGTAGAGACAGGGTTTCACTTTTTTGGCCAGGCTGGTCTTGAACTCCTGACCTCAAGTGATCCGCCTGTCTCAGCCTCCCAAAGTGCTGGGATAACAGGCATGAGCCACCGTGCCCAGCCGGTAGATGTCATTTAGAAACGTGTTCTAGGAAGGTAGTGAGGAAAGGAGAGATTAGCTTTTAGATCCCTGTCATTGAGAAGTTTGTGAAAGGAAGTAAACAGAAGTGTTGGGATGGTCACACATTTCTCAAGTGTAGGAATATTTCACTCATCACCACCATCAGATTTAGGAGAGCTGAAGGACATAAAGGGAAACCTACCAGGAAAAAACAAGCTGCCGTGGAAGATGGCATAATGAGGCCCACAAGTTAGGAGTCAGGAGCTGGGAAGCCATGGATAATCATACGTATGTTTCTCCTTACATCCTCTTTCTCCAGAAGGGAGTGGCCACTCTGGCCCTTCCCACAGATTTGTCATCAATGTCAAGACTTAATTAGACAAAGTTCTGGGCTAGGTAGAGAGAGGCTGTTGAGTGGCCCTGACTAATGAGGGGGCAGATGGTAGCAGTAGCTTGCTTAGGTCTTTTGCCCTGAGCTTTGGAGACTGACTCCATCCTCTCCTCACTGACCCAGAAAAAAAAAAAAAAAAAAAAAGTGGTCACAAGGATGCCTAAAAACTGATGCTTAGTTCTGTTTACTCAAAAGTTCAGGGAAGGGAGTAAAGAAGAAACTCAAATGTTGGAGTAGGAAGGTTAAAATCTGGCTTCTAGTCCCATAAACTTGTGATCCACAGACCTACTGAAAGGAAGTACCCTATGTGAACTCTTCAGGGCATCTAACATTGAATCTTTCTTCACTCTTGAAATACATTTAGTTTTTATAATCTATATAAATTATATGTACATATCAATTCAATGTTTGGAGAACTACCCTGGAGTTTTTAAATCAAGACTGGGAGATGGAAATTTGCCCTCCATTCCATCTTAACCTCACCTTACCCTGTCCTACAGCTTACAACAGTTTCAGGCTCTTGAACAAATAGCACTCGAATCATTTCAGTAAGGAAAGGGAGATGCATATGATTTATGAATACACTGGAGTGAAATCTATCTTTCCAAATTAGAAATTTGTATTTCTAATTATAAATGGATTCATAATTAAAATTCCTGGGAGCAAAAGCTGCATTCATTGAGTTTGGAAAGAGAAGCTCTTTTTTTCCCTCAGTATCTTTTCTAAAAATAAGTGCTCCCTATATCTCCTTAATGCAGAAAAATCTGGTAAAGTCAGAGGGATGACAGAATATGTTTACTTGCTTTGATTTATATTACTGATGATTTACCATGTTCTCAAAGTTTGGCCTGCTTCTTGTAAAATGTCAAAAGCTAAGTAATTATCTGTTCTTTAAAATTCAGTTACTGTGAAGTTTCATTTGAATGAAATATTAGACATTTAAAATTAATTCCTACTTTTTTTTTTTTTTGAGACAGAGTCTCGCTCTTTCCCCCAGGCTGGAGTGCAGTGGCACGATCTCAGCTCACTGCAACCTCCGCCTGCCTGGTTCAAGTGATTCTCCCGCCACGGCCTCCCAAGTAGCTGAGACTACACGTGCCCAGCACCACACCTGGCTAATTTTTTGTATTTTTAGTAGAGACGGGGTTTCACTGTGTTAGCCAGGATGGTCTCGATCTTCTGACCTTGTGATCCGCCAGCCTTGGCCTCCCAAAGTGCTGGGATTACAGGCCTGAGCCACCTCGCCCGGACTACATTTTAATTATGGTATGCACATATGTTAAACTTTTATACAGAACAATCATTTTATAAGTAAGCCAAGTTAAATAATTCATTTTTATGTTCTTACGCCGGAGTCTTCAGATTTATACAGGATAATAATAAAATAAGTAGTAAAAATATGTATGCTTGCGTATGTTTCTATTTCCACACCCCCACATTATTTTCCCCAGAAAAAAGCCAAAAAAGTTTACCCCTCTAGCCAAAAGTACATTATTTAATTCCTTTTGCCTTGATTTGACATTAAACCCAGGGCTACATTTCCCAAAACTAGTTCTTAGGTGTGGAATGCCTTATATAAAGTATAATTTGTGAAAATGCAAAAAAATTTTTACTCACAAGTGGCTATAAACAAGGCAGGCACTTTCATACCCTTTAGCTTTGAGAATAGATGTGTACACAGAAATATAAGGTGCATGTAAATGGTTCTTCTCCGGTGTGTTTAACTGATTGTCAGCGTAGCCTTGTCACAGAGCATACCCAGCATTCCAGCCCCAGGAACAAACCCAGGCCCCATCAAGTGGCAAACAGACCTACCTACACCAAATCACACACACGCACTCACAGCTGCAGTTTGTGCCCTTGCTCCTACAGACTCATGTCCTTGGGAACCTTCACTTGGGTACCCAGTGCCCGCCATCACAGCTCAGCATCCACACAGGGAAATTCCTTGTGCTGCTTTTGTCACTTATCATTTCTCCTTTTGATCCAAATCGTTTGTGTTTCTGTTTGTTTTTTTAACTATAAACTCTGTGAGCTCAGGATCTATATCTGAGTCAATGCTGTATACCCCACAGCAGGCTACCTATTATCGGTGCTTAATAATGTGTTCAAATGGATGCAGAGACACAGAATGATGTGGCCGGAATGAGGTCATGCCAAGCTTCTGACATTTGGTGCAGGCCTCCTGGCTTCTCATCTCTCTAGAGGACTCCCACAGATACTCATGCGCCTGCCGATGAGTACAGGCCTGGAGCCCACAAAGCAGCTCGGAAGAGGAGGGGAACGAGTGGGAAGTGGGAGACAGGACTATTAGAGGTAGCAATGAAAAGACTCAGGAAGCGAACAAACGTGGGTATGTGGGCATAGACCCCAGATGGCCCATCCTTGGTCGCTTGGTCCCTTCCACACCTTGACACTTTAGTGGGATCTGAGGGATTTCTCCCCAGACCACAGGGCCTTTTAAAAGGAAAGGGCAACCTTGCCTCTCTGATGGTCCTGACCTACAGGTCAGTGCACTCTCCACGTAAGAGTCTGTGGCTTCACTCCCTACAGACTGAACTGGGGGTGGGGGGCACCCATGTCCTTCCTGAGGAATGCTAGCCAGCTGTCATAGCAGGAATTCCCTAGGGAGACAGGCCAGCAGGGCATTGTCGGCTCTTGGCAGTGTCCATCTGTCTTGGCCCGGGAGTGGCGGCTCAGAGGGCTCTGGGTCTGGCTGCCTCTCGGAGGTGTCACCCAAGGGCAGCCGCTCAGCTACCTGTGATGCCGAACAACTCCTGCATGAGGGGCGTAGCAAAGGGGTGTATGTCCTGGATGCGCAGCAGCCGCTGGGTGTGCTGAGCATTGATGCTGCGGAGCTCGGTGAGCATAGCCATGATCTTCAGGAACAAGAACCTGCATGCCAGCCAGAGAAAAGATTGTGGGTGCAGCCCGCCCTGACCCACAAGCCTCAGGGCTGCTCTGAGGCTGCACAAGCATAATCTCTGGACATTTCAGGTCAGCCAAGAGACAAGGCTTGGCTGAATTCCGTAAGCTTCTCTTTTACCCTGTAGATGAGAAAGGCAGAACAGCCTGCCCAATACTCTCCCCACTCCCATCCCATTCATGGGAGCTGTGTCTTTTTTTTTTTTTTTTCTTTAAAGGGACAGGATCTCGTTCTGTCACCCAGGCTAGAGCATGATGGCACGATCATGGACTCACTGCAGTGTCAAACTCCTGGACTCAAGAGACCTCCAGCCTCAGCCTCCTGGGTAGCTAGGACTAGAGCACATGCCACCATACCTGGCTAATTTTTTAAAATTTTTCTAGAGTTGGGGTCTGGCTATGTTGCCTAGGCTGGTTTTGAACTCCTGGCCCCAAGGGATCCTCCTGTCTTGACCTCTCAAAGTGCTGGGATTATAGGTGTGAGCCACGACACCCAGCTGCGGGAGTTGCATCTTTGTACACAGAGACTTCCGTGGGAAAATGTAGATATTGCAGCTACCAGTTTGGGGGTGTGGGGCTGTCACTGCCTTCGTTAATGTCCAGGGGCCAGGACTGAGCAGAGTCGTTGTGGAGGTTAGGGGCTGCAGGCTGGAATCCCTTCCTGGAACTAGCTTTGGATCTAGTGTCTGAGATGTACCATATGCCTCAGTATCCCCATGATGGAAAAGAAAGTTGGCACTTCCAGCCTCCTGCCTCCATACAAGGAAGGGTTGAGCAAATAAAGACATGGCCACTCCCAGCATCCCAGGACACCAAGCCAAAAAGAAAGCTGTGCAGGCCAAATAAGGATTTCAGTTTATAGGTTCACACTATAATACTCAGTGTTGGCCTTAACCCTTCATGGCCTTGGGCTCCGTAAAATCCAAGTTTGTCTCTGGGTCTGTGGGCATCAGTCTGGGCAGTAGGTCACAGGAGCTACTGAGGACCAGTGAAGGTATAGAAGCCCCTTTCTGGGCCACGTCCCCCTGTTTGCTTGTGTTTTTCCTGGGAAGTGGTTAGGTAGTGCTCAAAAGTGTGAGCTTTGGACCTGGTCTGGCTGGGGCTACCTCCAGATGCCACCCTCTGGCCATGAAGTCTTGGGCAATTTCCCTGAACCTCGGCTCCCTCACATCACCCTCACGGGTCCTCACCCCCTGCTGTGCTCACCTATGAGCAGGCTGGGGCCGATTGCATTCAATGTAGGACTTCAGAGTAATGGCGAATTGCTCCTGCAGCTGGTCCACCACGCGGTGCTGCAGCACACCTGGGCGGTCTGGAGGGGAGGGAGGTGTGGTGCAAGATCATGGGGCAAAGACAAGCTCAGTCCAGCCCAGAGTCAGGGCATTGCTCGCCAACCACCCTCCAGAGCTGGAGTCACCCAGGCAGGGAAGTGAAGGAAGACCAGGGCTGGGCATCACCCACTGACCCCAGGAGAAACCAGCGAGAGCCCCCATCCTGGCTGCGCAGTGAATGAGGAGCAAGGCCATAGACTGGGACCTTCCCTGGGGAGGGCAGATAAGGCTGGGGGGGATGTCAGGCAGCCTAGGGGAGATCCTCACCTGGGGAGAAGAGGGAGATGGCCTGCATCAGCACATACTCCTCCTCATGCAGCTGCAGCTTCTTCAGCATGTAGTGGAATTTCAGCATGGGCTCCAGTAGAAGTTGCTGGAAGCCACCTGTGGATGGTAACAGGATGGAGGGGCAGCTTCTCAGCAAGCTGACCAAGATCTAATCATCCCTCACCAATATCTTGTTTTCCACCATTCCATCTTCCTGCCCTGCCATCCCAGAACCTGCATATCCTGGCGTAGCTCCCTTCCTCCCATAACTGCAGTGTTTCCCTCCCTCTGCCAGGGCAGGCAGGCTCTCTCGGGCACCTGCAGTGTCTTCCAAGCAGTAGGACAGCCGGCCACACTCCCAGGTTCCAGTCTCCGCGTTGAACACTGTGTTGAATCTCAGTTGACACAGCTCGAAAGCGGCCCCCTTCAGCAGGGAGATCTGGTCCTCGATGGGCAAGTCCCTGGCAGCAAGGATGGGGAGGGGAGGACAGCTCCCTGGGAGGCAGCCCACAGACCGGCACCAGCAGCCATCCCATAATCCAGAAGTTGGGGGCGAGAGGAAGAGGGAGGATGGCTCCTTTCCCTGAGGATGACTGTGGCTGCTGTCTGGCTGCCTCTCATCTCTCCCCTCACAACCCAGCAGACAGCTCTGCCCCGCAGCATCCTCTCCTCCCCTCCAACCTCCGGGAACTCCACCCACTGAGCTTGGCATCCAGGTCCCTTACAGGCTGGCCCCATCTCCTTCAGCTCCTATACAAATCCTGACCTACAGCTAGTGCTTTGGCTTCTGGTCCCTGGCCTCCTCCTTTCTGCCTCAGTTTCCCCCTTGGAATGACTTCCCCTTTAGTATATCCTGCTAGCCCCTCAGGCCATGCTATGTCTTTGCCCCTCTCAGAAGTCTTTCCAGAGTGCAGTCTCCCCTTTCCAGAGTGAAAGTGCCGCCCTTTTGGCCTGAGTTCCAGTAGTGGGGATGTTTGCTTCCTGCTGTCGGTGTTGGGTTTAATGTGCACACATGTATTTCTACTGTTTCCCTGCAGCCCAGATGCCTGAAGCCCCACTCCTAGCGCTGAAGCACAGGCCTAACCATGGAGGCGGCTTAACAAGCCTCTGAGATTATGGTTACATGGATACCCTTCCGGTCCTGCAGGGATCACTCCCTCCCAACCTGGGAGGGGCCCCCACCTCCCCAGTAAGGAGGCATTCCTTACAAGGAGGAAGCTTCACAGCCTGAGAGGGAGGCTGCTTACTCTGGGTTTTGAGGAAACACTACCTCTTGGCCTTGGGAATTCAGACCCTGTGCTACTGGCGCCCATCCTTCTTTTAGATCCCTAACACTGAGCTACAAATGCCATGTAATTGATCTTATTCTTCTGTGCCTCCCCATTGCCCAGCTTAGGACCTGGCATCGAGCTGGCTTTGGTACTTCCAAATCTAGCCTCCACCACTGATTAGCTGTGACCTTGTACAAGTTTCTTATCCTTGGGGAACTTCAGTTTCTATCTGAGAATGAAGATGGCAGTGACACCTCAGGTCACTGTGCTCGACATTGGTGGCCTTGAGAAATAGCAAGTGGGAAGCCCTGGTGTTAAATTGTCAGTCACTGGATTTCACCAAAGATCTCCCAATGTCCACATTTATAAGTATTCTTCTCTCCCTGCCCCTTTAAGCTTATTTGCTACCATCTGAACCCCATTCCAAACCTGCTGTCAGCATCACCCCATTAAATAAGTCACGCATGACTCCTACAGGGCCAGAGAAGAACCTCTGGGCTCCTAGAGTATAACCTACCCTCAACCTGCTGAAGAAACCAGGAGCTTGTGGCAGGTGTGTTTCAGCCCCACTTGACCAGGCTTGGCAAGGCAAGGTGGCCTACCCAAGGACAGATACACCTGGCACCATCCCTAATCCTACGACTGCACACATATTCTGGGGCTGTGGTTCCTGCCACCCCAGGAAGTTCCCATGTCTCCCACTAACCCCAGTTGCCCGATGGTTGTTGCCTCCACATCTAGCTCTGGGGAGACCTGACCCTTGGGCTCTGAGGACCACCCGCCCTCCCCATGGCCTTCACAGCCTTATCTTTTCTATTCCTCTCATTCCTTGCTCTGGAACTGTCAACATGTGATTCCTGCCCCTTTAAGGGAGAGTACAAAAGACTATCTGAATGCCCACTCTGTGCTGGGTGTTCTTCGGATGTGTTCTTATTTCACAGAACAGCCCTGCAGGGGAGGCATTTTTAGCTTCCATTGAGCAGGTGAAGAGGCAGAGACACTGGCAGGCCCACAGCCACAAAACTAACCAGCCATACAGCAAGGGCTCTACTCCCCAGCAGCACTGGCTGCCCGGGGAAAGGGCACAGGAAAAGGAGGGTCTTCTGACACCAATATCCCCCAAATTCAGGATCTACCCCAGGCCCTTTGAACCTCCTGGCCACTTCCAGTTCTTTTCCACACCCAACCACCCAGTCTCCATGTCCTACCTGAAGTAGGAGATGACTTTGGCAAAGCTGATGATGCCTTTGAACATGTAGGTTGACATGTCAGCCATGTGGGGCAGCAGGGAGAAGATCTCTTTCCCGCCACTGTCGGCTGGGGGTTTGTAGTTCCAGACACTGCCATCCTCCCCCCGCAGCTGCAGAGAGACCTTCAAAGAGCACAGATCTTTCCGGACCTGGCTCCACTTGGCAGCTTCTTCCCTCGATGGGGCCTGCAGAGACTCTGGCAACTCGCAGCCACTGCTAAGCACCCCTGGCAGCTAGGACACATGCCAGGAGGTGGACAGAGGAGAGACAGCATGTGCTTTCATAGACAGGTCCCAACTCAGGCCCCAGCCAAACATGCACAGCCACAGTTGCAGCTCGAGAGGATGCACAAATGCAGGCATTCACACCCACATGCATGCGTGTGTCCTCACACATATACACACACAGCATTTGTTTCTTCTCTCTGGTGTTCTCTATCAGATGAAGGTGCTTTGGGGATCTATGAATTAATGGTCACACACATCCCTGCTTGGTTAAAATGGAGGGTAAGGGGGACTGCAACCATGGTGTGTCATCCCAAGCATTCCAGATGTTGGGCTCAGGAGACTCAGAAGGTTTAGGGTGCTATGGATGGGAAGAGCAGATCTGAGGTCACTGGGCTAATCCAGTTATTTGGGCTGTGAAGGGCCACTTGAGATATCTATCAGTGCAAAGGGGAAGGAGGGCACTTAGAGCACAGACATAGTTAATGTGCTGGGATCAAGAAACACCAGTTCACAAAAGTCACACCCCCAACAGGTCCTGATCCTGTCCTCATAAAGCCCCGAATGCCAGCAACACTGGGGAACTGCCTAGCTTTCCCTCCACTTATTGCTTAGACCCAGTTCCTACCTGCCTTAAAGGAGAGAGCAGTGATTTTTCAAACCTGAACCTGCAACAGAATCACCGGGGGGTCCTGCCCCTCCCTGGAGCTTCAGATTCAGGAGATCTGAGGTGACCTGAAAATCTGCATGCTGATGCTGCTGACCCAGGGACCACACTTTCAGAACCTTTGGGAATGAGACTAAGGCTTTGAGGAGCTAGCACAGATGCAGGACCAGCTCTCCAAATCTACCCTCCACCACTGATTAGCTGTGACCTTGTATAAGTTTCTTATCCTTGGGGAACCTCAGTTTCTATGTGAGAATGAAGATGGCAGTGACACCTCGGGTCACTGTGCAGTTCCTCCTACCCGGAAATTCTTGAAATGGGAGAAGGTAGTGTCAAAGGTTTTCATCTGAGCGTCCATCAGCTCCCTGATCATCATCCGCTGCTCCTCTGTCAGCCCCTGCACTCCCAGTGGCTGAGTCCCTGTCCGTTCACTTTTCTTCCGCTTGATCAAGGCCCGCCTCTCCTCCACGGCCTCGTCGGACATGATCACTGCAGGGACAGTGAGGCTGGCTCAGGCACACGTGCCCCTGGTGAGCCTCCAGCCCCCTGGAGAGCCACTGTGTAACCCTCTCAAGGCAGCAGAAGCCGTTAGGCAAAAGAGAAAGTAATGGTGACAAGCAATTCTCCCCTGTCTGGACTCAAGAGGCCTGTGGGCTCTTCTGGAGAAACACTTGGGTGAGGACAGAGATGAGGTGAGGCTGGTGTTTTGCCCTCTGCAGTGGAGTTTGTGAGGACACTGTGGGGCCCTGGCAAGAGCACGGGCTTCAGAATCCAAAGGCGCTGGGTTTGCATGAAAGCTTTGCCACTTACTACCTGTGACCCCAAGCAACCTCCTTAACCTCTCCTGCCTCCAGGTTTCTCCTTTGTGATCCGGAGAAACCGTGTTTACCTCGCACCGCTGTTAAATGAGACCTTGCATGTAGGGTGCCTAATATAGTTCCTGGTACATAAGAGATGTTCAGTAAATGGCATCTACAATTATCATTTTCTGGTGAATTATATACCAAGACTCTTCAGAGGTGTCTGGGTCTCCAAGACCCTAGAGAGCTGGGCTACAGCTTAGCAAGAAATAGCAACTCCAGAGACTTCTTATATAGCCCAGAGCCTTAGGGTCTTCTGTGGATTTCTGGAGCCCACTCATGTGTGTAGAACAAAGCTATGAGGTCCTTGGTGGGGAGAGATCAAGAATGCCTGCCAGCAGCCTAGAGAACTTGTCCTTGAAAGAAGCAGCTTTGGGTCCCTTTGTGTTCCATGGAGACAAATATGCACTAGAAACACCTAGCCTTTTCCGCATGAGCCTTAATCTCATAGTGACCTAGGAGCACAAATATATCAAAGTTAAATAGGTAGAATGAGAACACCTCATGTCACCTGTCTGCAAACAGTTCCCCTATAAAGATCCAGGTCTGGGGCAGCTGATGGGGCTAGCACCTAGAAGGCCCCGGGTCCTATCACCCATGTGGCTCCTGCTTCCCTCCCCCAGATTCACACTCCTACCCGCAAATGTGGTTTCAAACCATTACAACAATTATGAAGGGGACAAAAAGAATGATGCAGGAGCAACTGAGGGGAGACAGAGGGCACGCCCTGTCCAGGGCTGCCCAGCACACATCCCAGGGCAGAGATTACCGACTCCCTCCATCTCCCAGAGGGCCGACTGCAAGCGCTCCCCCAGGTGGCTGCCTGTTGCACACGGACACCAGCTCACATGTGCACGTGTGTTCACGCGCACACTCGGCGCGCATCTCCACACAAGCATGCCCACACCCACGGCACGTCCTTACTCAGAGCCGTGCACCCCGGCGCCGGCCCGCCCGCGCGCCCACTGCTCACTCTCCTTCTTCATGCCGCTCTCCAGGCACTTGCGCAGGCGGCAGGCCTGGCACTGTCGCCGGGTCTTCCGGGTGATCTCGCAGGCGCCCTTCCGGAAGGGGCACCTCAGCCGGGCGTTGCGTTTCATGGCCCTCCTGTGAGAGAATGGGGAGCAGAAGGGGGGATGCACGGGTGCCCGGGCCCTCGGCCTGGGGCTCCGGGCCATACCACCTCCCTCCCCAGCCCCTACCGACTCGGGGAGGGGGACACTAGCCTTTGCGTCCCAGCTGGGTCAGGCTTTATGGGAAGGGTGTAGGTGGGAGTCCCTAGAGGTCCAGGACTCAGCTAGAGGGGGCAGAGCCGGGGAGGAGACCTTTTCTGGCCATTCCGGCAGGAAATGGGACACGTGCTTTTCGCTGGCGCGGGCAGCCCCAAAACCACTTTCAGGGACACTTCCTCTCCAGGCCCATCCTCAGCGCCTTCCCTTCTTCCTGAAACACCTGTCCCCTTCTCTTTCACAGCCTTGTTACCAGAAAGTTTCCATGGAGATGGGCCTCTTCCTCGATTTCCCCTCCTTAAGGGAGGGAGCTGAGGAAACCTGACCCCAGGAGGGTAAGAAACCAGAGAAGCCCGCCCCACCCCCCCGCCTTCCCCCCCGCCTTCCCCCCACCCCCCGCCGCCTTCTCCAGCTCCCCTTCCAGACTGGGCGGCCAGGGAGGAAGGGGTGAACTATGGGGAAGTTCTTATACCCTACGGGGCAGCGACTTCCCCATGGCAGAGTGGATTCCCCTCGTTGACCTAGGGGGCAAAGAGGTCGAGCGCCTGGAACAGCAGAGCGTGCAGGCGGGACCCACGGGCCCGCACACCCCTCTCTGCGGTGCGCAGAGAGGCAATGGGGCAGATGCCTTTTGGAGACTCTGGTACAAGATCTCCTCCTCCCAGCCCGGAAGTCCTGCCTGTCCCACAAAAGACACGGTCAGTGCAGTCCTACCTTTACTTTCCCCATCTCCACAGCTGGATGGAAAGAAACAATCTCTCCCTTGGCTCTGGCCTCTGATTCTGGTCCAGAGTGGAAACTGAGGGAAGGCTGGCCCAGGAGCATGGAACAGCCAGGTAGGGCTGCAGAGGTCCCCGAGGGCAGGCCTGGGAAGCTGAGCCAAGCCCGCAGTGACCTGGCAGGTTTGAGCTTGGAGGCCTCGGGCCTCGGACCAGTGACCAGCCCAGGGGCATGTTCTTCACAGATGCCATCCCTGCCTTTTGCCTTCCCAACTGGCCTGGGTAAGAAAACTCTGATGCTACATCAAAGTCCACTGAGAATGGGTAAAAGATGAAACCGGGGCTCACATTATTTAAAGGTATGCTATGTATCAGATGCTAGGCTAGGTATTTTGCAGTTTTGTAAATTTAGTTCTAAAACCCTGTGAAACTCATAATCTCATCTGCCTAGCACAGATGAGGGAGACTGAGGCTTGGAGACGATGGATCCCCAGCTGTCCTCCAGGTACATGACAAGCTGAAATTTGAATCCAGGTCTGCCTGATACTGGATTTAGCTTTTGCCCACTACAACATGTTGCCTTTTTCTGAGAGTCCCAGGAATAGTACCCAAATGAGGAAGGGAGAGCAGAAGATTCCTGCATGCTGAGGCAGGATGCACGAACACTGCTTGGGCAGCCTCTTCTGTGCCAGCAGCATCTGGAGCTGGTGCAGACATCCACCCTCTTCCACACAGTCAAGTGGCGTGTGCCCAGCTCAGGGACATACCTGCTGCTCTTTGCTAGTGACTAGTTCAGGCATAGGCTGGGCCCGGCTCTAGCCAATGTGAGGGGACTCCTGGGAAAGATTTCCTTACTCTCAAAGATGGGCCTTTGTGCGCTTCTGCTGAACATAATGATTCCTGCCTGGGGCCCCAGCACTGTGCCCCCACAAGGGGAGCCAGACTGCAATCAGAGCTCTCAGGTGGGATGGCTGAAGAGAAAAATGGAAAGAAATGAGCTGCTGAACTCACTAACCTGGAGGCCTTCAGACTTCCTGTTAGGAGAGGTAACACATTTTCCTTATTGCCAAACCAATTGGCGACAAGTGTCCTGTGACTTGTAGCTGAACCCAGTCTGACACTGCTGATGTGTCTCACCCCTGTTATAACTCATGCAACACGAATGTTCATTTCTCCCTGGAACCTGCCCTTTTCCATTTGAATGCCCAGCCACCACGAAGAACTCTGCAAAGGGCTGTCAGGCTGGCTGTCTTGGGAATGCATGAGGGTCCCACATGTGGCTCCCGAGATGGGAGCTGCTCCTTGCATACCCTGTGCCCTCCGGAGGGTGCACCTGGAGTGCTTCCTCACACATGGCTTTCTCCCCTCCCCGCCCTTCCCCTCCCTTCGGTCTGTTTCTCTTCCCATGGTCTAAGCATTTATTTTATGCCATTCTTTATGTAACAACCACCCCAGAAGGCGGATGTGAACACTTGGATTTGGGATTTTCAAATTCCTTATCTTTCACTGAGTCATTTTCCATTTTATTCAAGAGCACATGGAGAAACCAAGGGATATCTTAATGGAAGGAGACCTTTCCTGGGTAGAACAGGAAGACTGAAGATGAAGGATTCCTCTGGGATATAAATGGCTCCCTTGAGACTAATTACAAGGCCTTTGGGTGGGCCACCAGCCCACACTCTGAACCTGGGGGACAGGTCAAGCTGAGGCCCTGAGACGTTACCCAGTGGGTCAGTGGTGGCACGTGGGTGAAGGCTGATGGGTAACTCTACCTGAAAAAGCCCTTGCATCCTTCACATGTCATGACATTGAAGTGATAGCCAGTGGCCTTGTCCCCACATACACGGCAGATTTGGGGACCTCCGACTTCCTCATCTGCGTTGACACTGGGCTTTCCAGGAACAGACTCTGTGTCCTCACAGTGTACAAAGTCAGCATGGTTCCAGCTTTCTTTGGGTCTCACCTCCAGGTTTGCTTCTGGGCCTCTTGGACTAGAAATGAGAAAACCACAGAGAATGAAAAGACTGGACAGGGATGTGTAGAGGCCTCAGAGGAAACACTCTGTCCCTTCTATGCATCACTCACATTTGGGCCTGTGAACTCGGGAGCTGACCTCTCATGGGGAAAAAAAGCGGGGAATGGGGGTTGGAATTGTTATAAAGAGAGCTGTAATCATGACATTTTGTACACAAAAATAGAGCCCTGGAGTAGAACATGTGAACAGGAGCATGGGAAAGATAAGGGTAAGAGGGAGGAAGAAATGAGAAGAAAAGAGAGCAGGCTGTCTGGGTCGGATCATGGAGGCCACAGCTGAGTGGACTGAGGTTAGGAGGCCACAACCTGGCCAGAGGTCTGAATGGGGAGCAGCTCATGGACAGATTACTTGTTCAAGATGATTTCTGGGACTGGGGACATTGAGGGAGGATAGTCTTTCAGGTGGGGTGTGGCCCAAGCTCCCACAGGGAGCTAGAAAGGCTGAGCAGAAAGAGTTTTCAACTAAGTAGCCAGGCAGATGGGGAAAAAGTGGAGGCATGGTGGGCAAGATCACAACATGGGAAGAAAAATGGCCTGTGGTCCCAGCAGAGCTGGGGTCTCAGTGAATATTGAAGAACTTGTGCCTATTAATAGAGCTGTAGCTAAGCATGGTGGCTGATGCCTGTAATCCCGGGGCTTTGGGAGGCTGAGGCAAGAGGATCGCTTGAGCCCAGGAATCTGAGACCAGCCTGGGCAACAAAGTGAGATCTCATCTTTACAAAAAATAAAAAAAAACAGCCAAGATCGATGGTGTGAGCCTATAGTCCCAGCTACTTGGGAAGCTGAGCGGGGAGGATCTCTTGAGCCTGAGGGTTTGAGGCTGCAGTGAGCTAGAATCATGCCAGAGCACTCTAGCCTGGGTGATAAAGTGAGACCTCATCTCTAAAAGAAAGAAAAAAAATTGAGC
The DNA here is from genome assembly GCF_000001405.40 of Homo sapiens. Classification (NCBI taxonomy): domain Eukaryota; kingdom Metazoa; phylum Chordata; class Mammalia; order Primates; family Hominidae; genus Homo; species Homo sapiens. Next base: position 119,806,278 of record NC_000003.12, on the reverse strand, counting down.
TGTACTCAAGGATGTCCTCCCCAGGCAACTTCCACCTTGAGAGCATAACTTGAATTCTACTTGGAACAGACACTGAGGATGTTCAGTAGAAATGGGGGATTGTCCTGTTACTACCATCCCCAAAATTCTCTCTAGGCACTGACTGACAAGGGCAGACACCACCACAGATGACGATGCTTTTTCTAATGCCAAAATCGAAACTTTAGTAAAATTCTAACACATAAATTTCTGTTTCCAACATCATGACAGGTGACATCTGACAGTTTCACCTGTAAGAGTAAATAAGGAATTAATCTGTCTCTGACCCTGGCCCTCCATTACACTGTGAATAAAATACATTGACTGGAAACCTGAACTGAACAGGCACAGGGGAAAATCCCTGATTTTTCAAATCATAATCCTGACTTTATGTAGGCTTGCAGACAAAATGTATACTTTAGGTGTTCACAAAAACCTCAAGCCAAAAAGTTGATTTAAGATTTAAAGTGCATTTGGGTTGGTAATTCTCCCAGACACCCAACAGAAATCCTCCTTTTTTTTCTTTTCTTTTCTTTTTTTTTTGGTGGGGGGGAGGGGGGGACCAAGTCTTGCTCTGTCACCCAGGCTGGAGCGCAGTGGCTCCATCTAAGTTCACTGCAACCTCTGCCTCCCGGGCTCAAGCGATTCTCCTGCCTCTGCCTCTTGAGTAGCTGGGACTACAGGCACCCACGACCATGCCCAGCTAATTTTTGTATTTTCAGTAGAGATGGGGTTTCACCATGTTGGTCAGGCTGTTCTCAAACTGCTGACCTCAAGTGATCTGCCCGCCTCAGCCTCCGCCTCAGCCTCCCAAAGTGCTGGGATTACAGGCGTGAGCCACCGCGTCTGGCCAGAAATCCTCCTTTTTGGGGGAACTCACTTTCCACTTTATACCTAGGCACAAATAATCACATATAATTTCAAAGAAATATGAGCAAATACTCAGAAGTCATGAATGAAAAGACTGGCACAGCATGATGAGCAAGAGTCAGCAAAACAAAACAAAACAAAACAAACCAAAAAAACTTCTAGAATTAGACATGAGAAAATGCCCTGAGTTATCAAACACAGAAATGTTTAAATAAACAGTACGAGAGGTTGAAGACATAAACAAAGAATAAACGACCATAAAATTGACCAAGCAGATTTGAAAATGAATAAAAATTTACTGTAAAAATCGGAATAAACAATGACTTCATAAACCAATAATAATAATATCTTGGGAGTTAGGAAAAACAAAATACAACTAAAATATGGATGGATGCAGTAACTAAGGTTCTGTATTGTTGAAGGGAAAAAAAGATGGTAAATCTTAGATTTTGATTAGTAAAGTGTGCTTGTTGAAATGTCTAGGGTTATCATTAAAAGTCCAAAAATAGAATGCATAACTTGGAAGCTAATAGAAAGGAAAAAATGGAAGGAAAAAAGTTCAAAAGAAGGCAATTAGAGAGTTAAGAAACTGAAAGGGTGAGACGAATAGAAAACACAGATGTATGGTAGAAATACCAAATATGGGGCTGGGTGCGGTGGCTCATACCTGTAATCCCAGCACTTTGGGAGGCAGAGGCAGGCAGATCACCTGAGGTTAGGAGTTAGAGACCAGCCTGGCCAACATGGTAAAACCTCACCTCTACTAAAGATACAAAAAGTTAGCCGGAAGTGGTGGCGGGTGCCTATAATCCCAGCTACTTGAGAGACTGAGCCAGGAGAATCGCTCAAACCCAGGAGGCGGAGGCTGCAGTGAGCCGAAATCGCGCCACTGCACTCCAGCCTGGACGATAAGAACAAAACTTCGTCTCAAAAAAAAAAAAAAAAAAATACCAACTATGTTGGTAGTTAAATGTAAATATATTAAATGTAAATATATATGTATATATATATTTTTTGAGACGGAGTCTCGCTCTGTCACCCAGGCTGGAGTGCAGTGGCATGATCTTGGCTCACTGCAAGCTCCACCTCCCAGGTTGACGCCATTCTCCTGCCTCAGCCTCCCGAGTAGCTGGGACTACAGGTGCCTGCCACCACGCCTGGCTAATTTTTTTGTATTTTTTTTAGTAGAGACAGGGTTTCACCATGTTGGCCAGGATGGTCTCGATCTCCTGACCTCGTTATCTGCCCACCTTGGCCTCCCAAAGTGCTGGGATTACAGGCGTGAGCCACCGTGCCTGGCCATTAAATGTAAATATATTAAAAGACACTGTGGGACTGGATGTGGTGGCTCACGCCTGTAATCCCAGCACTTTGGGAGGCTGAGATGGGTGGATCACTTGAGGCCAGGAATTCAGGACTAGCCTGGCCAACGTGGAGAAACCCCATCTCTACCAAAAATACAAAAATTAGCTGAGTGTGGTGGCGCGTGCCTGTAATCCCAGCTACTTGGGAGGCTGAGGCATGAGAATCGCTTGAACCTGGGAGGCAGAGGTTGCAGGGAGACAAGATTACGCTACTGCACTCTAGCCTGGGCAACACAGTGAGACTCTGTCTCAAAAAAAAAAAAAAGTACACTGAGAAAGATGGTTTCAGCAGGTAGCTGCAGCAATCTTAGGTTCAGGATTAGTGTTTTGGGACAGATTTTGTATTAGAGAATATGGGATGGAACAGATACCAAAATGGAAAATAATGATTATTCAGGTCCTTTGTAAAAGGTCACTCATTGTCTTAGTGCATTCAGGTTGCCATAACAAAATATCGGAAACTGAGTGGCTTATAAACAACAGAAATTTATCTCTCATGGTTCTGGAGGCTGAGAAGTCCAAGATTAAGGCACTGGTAGATTCAATGTCTGGTAAGAGCCTGCTTCCTGTCATCTATGGCACTTTCTCCCTCTGTCCTCATATAGTGAAAGGGGCTAGCCAGCTAGCTCTTTGGGTCTCTGGGACCTCTCTATCTCTCTCTCTCTCTCTCTCTCTCTTTTGAGACAGAAAAAAAAAAGAAAGAAAAGAAAAAACTCTGCCACCCAGGCTGGAGTTCAGTGGTGTGATCTCAGCTCATTGCAGCCTCTATCTCCTGGACTCAAGCGATCCTCCAACTCAGCCTCCTGGGACTACAGGTGCATGCCACCATACCCAGCTACTTTTTTTTTTTCATTTTTAGTAGAGGCAGGGTTTCCCCATATTGCCCAGGCTTGTCTGCAACTTCTGGGCTCAAGTGATCACCTGCCTCAGACTCCCAAAGTGCTGGGATTACAGGCATGAGCCACCACACCCGGCCTCTGGGGTCTCATTCATGAGGACACTAACTCAATCATGAGGGTTCTACCCTCATGACCCAATCACCCCCCAAAGTCCCCATCTTCTAAAGCCATCACACTGGGGATGAGGATTTTAACATACGAATTTGGGGGAAACATAAACATTCAGAACATGGCACTCATTTATTCCTCATAACAATCATCATAGCATTTATCATATTGCTCAACAGACATGTGTTGAGCATCTACTACACACCAGATATATTCTGTTATGTATTCCAAATAACTTGGAAGTCACTCTTATGACAAAAACCCAGGGACTTTACATAACCCTCTAACTGTTCACAGACACAAAGAGTGTTCCAAAATCAAAGAGCATCACAGGCAGGCAGAGAAAATGTTATTAGCAGGATAGTATTTCAGAGTGTACATTAGAAGAGACCAACCTCCCTTACATTTTCAGCATCATTCAGGAGCCATGAGGGATAGCAGCACCTGGGGCAATGGAGACAGTTGGCAAAGATTCTGCACATCAATTGTGAACTTTGGACAATTGAAGATGGTGAGATGCTGCTTTCTCGCAATAAATATAAATGCTCTTCCCCATAATGGAAGTGACAAGTACAACATGACTACATGAATCACAGGAGAAGCCCACAGGTGACATGGACCAAGAAGATAAAAGAAATATCACCAAAGGACCAGAAAAAAGACATTTACTTAAATCATGTCTAATTTACACTTTCCCCAATTTCTTAATGAGGAGATAGTAGAATTAATGCTAGAATCTCATTCCGCAGTATTTGTATAACTTTCATTTTGTTTTGCCCAAGTGTTAAGCAAGCCGACTCTGGCACATTCTATAGTTCCTTCTCTCATATGCTTATGAAGCCCCCGCTAGAGAACCCATTACAGCTGTTATCCAAGGTGGCCCCCAGGAGCCATGCCCCGAAAGATTCACACCCTTGTGCAGCCCCCTCCCATAATGAGTCTAGGATGGTCTGTGACTTGCTTAGTTAATAGAATGTGGGGAAGAGACAATTCTGGGTCTACGCTATAAGAAGCCTGGTAGCTTCTGCTTTTGTCTTTGGAGAGCCCTAAGCCACCATGCAACAAAGTCTGGCTACCCTGCTCAGTGACCACCCAAAGAGACCATGCGGAGAGGCCATGTGAAGAGGGAGAGGCCTGAGATCGCACCGATGAGACAGGACCAGCCACCCCAGCCTCCCGGCCGCCCTCACCAAACAGCAGATGTGTGAGTGAGCCCTCTTGGACTCCCCAGCCCAATTATGCCTCCAGGTGACTGCAGCCTTGGCCAAGGTCCTGTGATGCAGAAGAACTCCCCAGCTGAGCCCAGCCAACACAGAAAATCATGTCAGAAAATGAAACAGTGGTGGGTTTAATCCAGTGAGTTTAGGGGAGATTTGTTACACGGCAAGAAATAATGGAAGTGGAACCCCTGGAGTTGGGTTAGAAATAGATCTGAACTGTGGTGATGGGGGAGCCAGCCCAGCAGCTGCAGTCCTGCTCCCATGCCACTCTTCCATCACTGTTCCTTTACAGAATGTTGCCCTCTGGGCAGGAAAATGACAGTGACTGGGTGTCTGAGGTGTGCCAGCTACATCTCTCTTTCATGCAAATTTAGGGAGACCAATTAGATGTGTACTTTTAACTGAATACAACTGTGTTTGCTTCTGAGGGCTCCACCTGCTTCTCACGGTGCTTAGTAATCGGTGAAATCTCATCAGAAGAAGGTTGAAAGGATCATCTCCTGTACTGAGTGAAAGTAAACACTTCTTCAGAGAGGGCTTTGCAAAGATAATTAATTGTAAAATCCGGTATGCAGGGTAAGTATTAAAGCTAAGGACTACGTTCTCAGAAAGGAAGAATATAATTCATTTATTTAATAAATGAGTGAATAAATCAATGAATTTAGTCTTTCTACGTGACTAAAATTGTCAGTTTGCTGAAGGCACTGTCAGGCTGCACTGAGCACACACAGCCCCTCTCCTCTTCAGGTGAGTGATTCATTGACATTATTTAGCTGGGAGGAGGTGGAGCCAGAATCTCAACCCATGTCAGTCTGACTCCAAAACCTGTGTTCTTAATTCAGTGCTATGCTGCATCCTTCACAAGGTTTGTCTTTGAGTGGGTAAACCGTTTATTAAACTTTCTTCATTTCCATGATTGCCTGCAAACTTTTTCCTAGGTGGTTCACCCCAGACAGGGTCCCTCCATGCCATGGGACTCCTTTAATGTAGCTCTCTGTTCCCAGGCAGGAAGTGATTCCCTAAGACCCTCACTCCTTTTCTTGCCATTTCAATTCCAGCTATAGAAGAATGGACCGAGGAACCTTACTGCCACTCTGACCACATCCAGAGGCATCTTGTCCTATACGCTCTGAAGGGCTTGAGCCCAGGAGTTCAAGACCTGCCTGGGTAATACAGCAAGACCGCATTCTCCACAAAAAGGGGAAAAAAACGACCAAAAAACACCCTATGATTAATGAAAAATAAATGGAAGATAATATAGACAAAGGGATGAAGGCAAGAAAAGCTTCAAAGGAGAACTGTGATCTATGGAAAAGTAAAAGACCCATAATAGCCAAAATAATGTTGGAAGAGAATAACAAAGTTGGAGGACTTACACTTTTTGATTTCAAAACTTACAACAAAGCTAAAATAACCAAGATAATGTGGCATTAGTATAAAGACAGATATAGAGATTGATGGGTCATAATTGAGATTCAAGAAATAAACCCTTACTATTATCATTAATTGATCTCTGGTAAAAATGCAAGGCAATTCAATGGAGGAAAGGCCAGCTTTGCTAAAAAAAGGTGCTTGGAAAATTGGATATTCACATGCAAGATGAATTAAAGCTCTTATCTCGTGCCATACACAAAAATTTACTCAAAATGGATCACAAAATCATAGACCTAAATGTAAGAGCTATAACTATAAAACTCTGAGAAGAAAACAGGAATAAGTTCTTATGGTTAGGGAAAGATTTCTTAGATGTGACACCAAAAGCGTGAAGGCTTCGGGTATTATATGTCTTTGTGTGTGTGTGTGTGTGTGTGTGTTTGTTTGTTTGTTTGTTTGTTTTTTGAGACAAAGTCTCATCACGCAGGCTGGAGTGCAGTGGTGCACAACCTCTGCCTCCCAGGTTCAAGCGATTCTCCTGCCTCAGCCTCCTGAGTAGCTGGGATTACAGGTGCCTGCCACCACGCCCAGCTAATTTTTGTATTTTTAGTAGAGACGGGGTTTCACCATGTTGGCCAGGCTGGTCTCAAATTCCTGACCTTAGGTGATCCATGCCCCTCAGCCTCCCAAAATGCTGGAATTAGAGGCATGAACCACCACACCCAGCCTAGTTTTCCTTATAAAGCATATTACTGGTGGTTGGTAAGACAGATTGTCATATTACATTCGGAAGACTTATTCTATTCCTGTCTTTTAAAAGTTTTTTTTTGTTTGTGTTTGTTTGTTTTTTAATCAGAAAAAATATGGCACAAAAAAGTTGATAAATTGAACTTCATTGAAATTGAAAATGTTTGTGCTTTCTACACTATTAAGAAAGTAGAAAGATAAGACACAGACAGAAAATATTTTAAAAATCACATATCCCATAAGGGACTTGTATCCAGAATATATGAAGAACTCTTACAACTCAATAATATAAATACAAATAACCCAATTTAAAAATGAACAAAAGATTAAAATAGATATTTCACCAAAGAAGCTATGAATGACCAATAAACATGTGAAAATATACTCAAGAATATTGATTATTAGAGCAAGGCAAATTGAAACCACAAAGAAATACATCTTACAATACACAAGAATGGCTACAAATCAAAAAGAGGTAAGAATCGGCAATAATGTGGAGAAACTGAGCCCTTATGCACTGCTAGCAGGAGTGTAAAATGGTGCAGCCACTTAAGAAAACAATTGCTCAGTTACCTAAAATGTTAAACACATTCACCATAACTCAGCAATTCCACTTCTACATATCCACCCAAGAGAAATGAAAACCTATGCCCACACACAAAAACTGCACACAAATGTTCATAGCAGCATTATTCATAATAGCCCAAAACCCGACCCACATATTCATCAACCGGTTCGTGGATCAATAAAATGTGGAATGCACCTGGAATACTAATATACAATGAAATTCTATTCAGCGGTTTAAAAGAATGAAGGATAGATGCTACAGCACAGATGAACCTTGAAAACATTCTAAGTGAAAGAAGTATACCCAAAGACCGCATTTTGTATAGTTCCGCTTATATTAAATGTCCAGGAAAGGCAAATCCATAGAGAAAGTAGATTCGTGGTTGCCTGTGGCTGAGAGTGGAATAGAGAGTGGCTGCAAATGAACATGAGGTTTCTTTTTCTTTCTTTCTTTTTCTTTTTTTTTTTTTTTGAGACGGAGTCTCTCTTTGTCGCCCAGGCTGGAGTGCAGTGGCGCGATCTTGGCTCACTGCAAGCTCCGCCCCCCGGGTTCACGCCATTCTCCTGCCTCAGCCTCCCGAGTACTTTTTGGAGCATAGAAATGTCCTGGAATTAGATTTTGATGATAGCTGCACAACTCTAAATATACTAACAGTTATTCAATTGTTCACTTAAATGATTAGACTTTATGATACATAAGGTATCTCTCAATAATGCTATTTTTAAAAATAATCAACTGGACATTTCTGGACATTCCAGAAATTAATAGTACAATATCTGAAACTGACAACTCATTGGATGTTTTAACAACAGATTGAATCAGCAACAGACAGTGATAGTGAGTTCAAAATTAGGTCAACAGAAAATATATAAACCGAAGCACAGAAACAAACAAAAAAGAGCATTAAGAAAAGAACAGGGCGTAAGAGACACACGAGACTCAGTGAAATAGCCTAACATATGTTACGGACACAAGAATCGGACAGAAGCAATCTGGGAAAGCACACTTGCCAAGAAGTTTTTGAAACCAATGAAAGGATTAAAAACACACATACCTACCCACACATCGTAAAATTGCTGGGAATCGATGACAAGAAAACTAATCTTACAAATACCCAGAAAAAAAAAATTAACCACAAAGAAATAAAATTAAGATTAATGGTTGACTTTTCAGTTGAAATTGTAAAACAGAAAAGACAATGGTTAATATCTTTATTGCTATCCAAGAATTTGACCAATAGTTTAATTATCCTTCTATTGTAAAGGCAAAATAAAGACATTTTCAGACAAAGACTGAAGAATTTGTTGCCAGCAGATACTTGCATTACAAGTAATACCAAAGAAAGTTATCCTGGCAAAAGCCAGTGGGGAGCATGGAACTTCAGGAGGGAATATGGAGAACTAAAAAGGGTAAATATGTGGGTGCATATAAAACAATATTGAAGGTTTAAAACTACAATAATAATAATGTCCTGTATATGCTATCTTTTAGAGATATGTATGTATGTATCTGTGTGTGTAGATATGTATATATATAGAATTGAAATAGTGATGAATTTGGGGTTGGAATTATTTTCATTTTCTCCTCTATAATTGTCTGTATTTCCTCAGTTTTCCCTTTCCTCTTTAGAGTAAGAGTCCGATAGCTGAATGCCTGGAGGCTGACACCCCAGAGCACCACCTAAACAGCTTGAAGAAGGAGGTATGGTAGACGCAGAGGAAGGGCCATGACACCTCCTGCCTGGCCCACTGAGCTCTCCCATAAACAGATTGTTCCTGCTGCTTCCTCATGAGGCCATTTCCTTTCTGTGAATGCTGATTTTCAGTATAAGATCCCCTGTGTTTGTTTGGGGGTAATGGAGGAGCATTAGGACTTCATAAGAATGAGAAGGGGACACACACACACACACACACACACACACACATATCTTTGTGCAGTTACTTCATTTGCTAAGAGGCCCCAAATCCCCTATTAAAGGGAGAAGGGAGGTCTTCCATGAATGACACACACATAAACATGGGAATGACTGATTGTGACCAAACAGGACCCAGCTAGCCGGCAGCCTCCTGGAGGTCAGAGGACTTTGTTTTTTGCTCCTGGCGGCTGGAGATATAGTGGGCATTGTCTTGTTGTCATAGTCAGGAGGCCATGTCCTAGCCCTTGCCACTGATGTTGAACTAACTCACTTTACTCACTAACTTCTCTATGCTTAGTGTCTCTACAATAAAATGGAAGCTGCTGAGAGAGGCTGACATGGCTTTGGGCATGAAGAGGAAGAGGAGAGTGCACTGCTGCAGGGGCTGTTGCCATAGACAGATCTGGCAGGGCAAGAAGTGAGGAGAGAGAAGGTGGGAAGGAACCAGAAAGGCAGATGCCATGCTGAGGCTGGGCCAGGGGGAGCCCCCAGGAGAGCATGCCCTCCAGAGAAGACAAGTTTGAATGTGGAGGGAAAGAAATGAAGAAGAGCGGTGCAACTGGAGATAGCAATGGAGGAGAATTTGAAAGAAAATGTGTGTGAAGTTTCTGCTACAGAAGGAGCAAGGCTCCCAGGAGTATGTAGAGAGGAGAGGAATAGGGTTGGGAGGGAAGGGAAAAGGGGAGAGCAGTACAAGGCTTGAGTGAGCTCAGGGCTGGACAATGGAGCAAGGAAGGGATGCGAAGCAGCATTGAGGATTAGAACTAGATAGAACCTGCTGGGTGGAACATGACCAATGGAAGACAGTGGGTTCCAAGGAGGCTCAACAATGGGACTCTTGCAAGTCCCCTGTCTTGGGGCTGGGAAAGGAGTCAGGGAGAAATTTCAGGTCATGTCAGGCTGAATGAGACCCTGCTTCAATTCCAGGGACCTGGGGTTTTCTGATCAACAGGGGATTAAGCCGTGAAGTGCGGTACACTTGGTGTGAGTGTTTAAGTGATTTGAGATGACTCAGTGGTACAGGGTAGATCACAACTACAAACTAGAAAAAAATCACAAAGTTGAACATGGTCCTCCCCCTACAGAAGAAACATGAGGAAGAGGAGGACTAAAGAGAAGTGCTGGGAGAAGACTTTGTGCCTTGGGGGAAAGTGAGAGGCAGGGAGGTGATCCACTAGTGACCTTTGGAGTCAAATATTTAGAGACTCAGTGTGAGAACACGGGTGAGTGCTGCAGATACATTTGGGCCAAACAGGAATTGGGTACAGACATGGGAAGTGGTCATCTTTAGTGCAAGAAAGAATGAAATGATCAGTAGAAGGTGCAAGACACTGCCTATTAGGTTGGGAAGTTTAGTGATGATGTAGGGCAAAGGAGAAAATCCCACTATATATTTCTAGCAAAATACTAGAAAAGGGATGATCTACAGGAGAGAAGCCCTTGTCAGGGCGTGGTGGGATATAGTTTGAGAAACACAGAGAGAGGGAAAACTAAGGCAGTGAGAATGGGGGGATTGTAGTTTAGAAAGAGTCAAGAAGCCAAGTGAAAGAAATTCAAGCAAAAGAACAGAACCCAGCCTTGACTATTTCCAGGCACCGGCAATGGGAGGGAGGAGGCAGCATTAGGAGATGAGGAAGGCAGATTAACGGGGAGCCCAGAGAAACTGCAGGTGATGGGCATGTTTCTTAAGAGAATAGGAGAAAAGAAGAGGGCTGCTGGCCATGCAGAGGCTAGAGAAGAGTCACAAGGAAAGGCAGACACCCAGCAGTGCTGTGTGGTCCTAAACAAGGGAGGCAGGGCTGACTGGCTGAGCAGAGCAGGAGACTGAAGGAATTCACAGTACAATGCCTCAGAGCCCTTTTATGTCCCTCTCCTGCCCCACCCTCTTCCCATCCCCCTGCAGGCACACAAAGCTTATCTGTTACTGAGTCATCCCTTAAGGTCTGCCTATGTTGCACTTTGCCCTGCTAAAGGACTCTCCAGGGTCACAGCCGGAGAGTCGCTGTCTGGGACACAGCTAGTCTCCACTTCTGCACTTGCCCAGCTCCCTTACTGGCCTGTGCACTGACCAACCCCAGCCAAGAGCCAACTCCCCAGCTAGTGGTGTTTGGAAGAGCAATTTCATCTGGTGTTCAGGTTAGTCAATGGGCAAGTAGAGGTGCCCTTTAGTCAGCTTACGTGGGTTCTGAGGCTTACACAATTTGGGCAGTCCTATTTTATTTTATTTTACATTATTTAATTTAATTTACTTATTTTGAGACAGAGTTTCAATCTTGTCACTCAGGCTGGAGTGCAAAGGCACGATCTTGGCACACTGCAACCTGTGCCTCCTGGGTTCAAGCAATTCTCCTGGCTCAGCCTCCCAAGTAGCTGGGACCGCAAGGCATGGGCCACTACACCAGATTAATTTTGTATTTTCAGTAGAGACAGGTTTTTCACCATGTTGGCCAGGCTAATCTTGAACTCCTGACCTCAGGTGATCCATCTGCCTTGGCCAACCAAAATGCTGGGATTACAGGCATGAACCATGGCGCTTGGCCTGGGCAGTCCTATTTAAGAAAAAAGAATATAGGCCAGGTGTGGGGGCTCATGCCTCTAATGTCAGCACTTTGGGAGGCTGAGGTGGAAGGATCAATTGTGAGGAGTATGAGACCAGCCTGGACAATATAGCAAGACCCTATCTCTTAAAAAAAAAAAAAAAAAGGCTGGGTGAGTGGCTCACACCTATAATCTCAGCACTTTGGGAGGCCAAAGTGGGAGGATCACTTGAGCCCAGGAGTTCGAGACATGCCTGGGTGACATGGTGAGATCCTGTCTCTACAAAAAAATTTAAAAATTAGCCAAGTGTGGTGGCACGTACCTGTGGTCCCAGCTACTCAGGAGGCTGAGATGAAAAGATTACGTGAGCCCAGGAGGTCGAGGCTGCAGTGAGCCATGTTCACACAACTCCAGTCTGGGCAACAGAGTGAGACTCTATCTCAAAAAAAAACACCCCAAAAAAACAAACAAACAAAAAAACTCAGCCAGGCATGTTGGTGCATGCCTGTAGTCCTAGCTACTTGGGAGGCTGAGGTGGGAGGATTGCCTGAGCCCAGGAATTCAAGGCTGTGGTGAGCTAGGATTGTGCCACTGCATTCCAGCCTGGGTGACAGAGTGAGACCCTGTCTAAAAAATAATTTTAAAAAACACGCAATTACAAATACAAAATTATGTACCGAAGAGAATATTTGTAAGAAAGAATGAGAAAAGAAATCACAACAAATGACAGACATTAAAAAGGACAAGTAACAACATCACAGAATTCAGAAAAATGTCATAACACTTTCATTAATTAATTGCCTGGCATGCCTCTATAATGTTTTTGATCGTGTCCTTATGGTAGATAGAATAAAGGCCCTCAAAGATGTCTGCACCCTTATCCCCAGAACATGTGAATATGTTTCCTTATATGGCAAAAGGGTCTCTGCAGATGTGATGAGGGTACAGAACCTGGAGATGGGGAGTGTGCTGAATTATCCAGGCAGGCCTAGTCTAATCACATGAATCTTAAAATTAGAAAAGCTTTCCTGGGTTTGATCAGAGAAAGAGACGTAATGTGGAAAAAGGGTCAGATGCTAAGTTGCTGGCTTTGAAGATGGAAGAAGGGGCTGTGAGCCAAGGATTGCCACGGCATCTAGAAGCTGGAAGAGGTGAGGAAACTGATCCTCCCCTACAGCCTCCAGAAGGCAGCCTCCACTGATTGGGCAGAGTTGGGATCGCTTGGCCCACGGTGGTCCTGTCCTGCCTCTCTGCTGCACTGTAACTCTTTAATCTTGCCTGAGTGGTAAGGATTGAGGCTGTTCATTTTCCTTGTGGTAACTCTGGAGGGGAAAAAGTGGACTTTGGCTAGAAGAGAATGGGTGGGCAGCAAGTTTCCAGAGTTACAGTGAGATCTGATTGTGTTAGTCCATTTTGTATTGCTACAAAGGAATCTGAGGCTGGGTAATTTATGAAGAAAAGAGGTTTGTTTGGCTCGTGCTTCTGAAGGCTGTACAAGCTTGGCACCAGCATCTGCTTCTGGTGAGGTCTCAGGAAGCTTCCAAGCATGGTGGAAGGTGAAGTGCGAGCCGGCATGTCACACAGCAAGAGGGAGCAAGAGAGAGAGGAGGTGCCGGGCTCTTTAAACAACCAGCTCTTCTATGAACTAAGAGTGAGAATCACTCATTACCGAGGGTACCAAACCAGTCATGAGGGATCCACCCCCATGACCAAACACCTCCCACTAGGCCTACCTCCAACATTGGAGGCCACGTTTCTTTTTTTTTGTTTGTTTTTTGTTTTTGAGACGGAGTCTTCCTCTGTCACCCACTCTGGAGGGCAGTGGCGCGATCTCAGCTCACTATATCCTCTGCCTCCTGGGTTCAAGTGATTCTCCTACCTCAGCTTCCCGAGTAGCTGGGATTACAGGTACATGCCACCACGTCCAGCTAAATTTTTTTTTTCTTTTTTGAGATCTGAAGTGATTTTATCTGTATTTCCTTCACTTTAAGCCAATCATGAAATTTCACAGTGATTTCTGGAGTGGAGGCAGAAGGAAGGCAGTGTTAAGAATCACTGGGGCTGTGGCCTAGTTGGCCCATGGAGGTGCAGGCAGGGTGGGCCCTCACTGGGGCAGCTGGAGGAGCACGGACTGCCCTGCCGGCAGATTGGTGATGTTCCAAGAGCGAGAGAGCTGGTACGTGATGTCCTCTGCAGCTTCCAGCTTGCACAGCTCCATCAGGCCGTCCCCTGCAGTGGCCAGTGAGTTCTGGCCCTCTCTGCATCCTGCTGAGCCACCTGTTTGGCTTCCACTGCTTCTGTGAACTCCTTCCTGAAGGTCAGATGTGTCAAAGACACATCATCCAGGATGAGCCCAAAGGTGGCTGCTCGCTCCATAAGGTCGTCGCTCACCTGCCTGGAGACCAGTTCTCTCTGGGTGATTAGTTCTCCAGCATCAAAGCGAGCCACCACTGACTTGAGGATCTCAGTAGTGATGGATGGCAGCACACGCTCATCATAGTCTTCTCCGATCCTGGTGAAGATGCGAGGAAGCTGGCTAGTGACAGGCCCAAAGAGGATGCACGGAATGATATTGACATTCTGTAAATCTTTGCTACCAGTGATGACTGGCACATTATGTGGTTGAGAACGGTGGTCAAAGATAATTGGTTTCTGTACCCATGGTATGAGAAAGTGAGTCCCTTACCCTACCACAATGTCCTGTACTCCACAGAATCGGTCAAAGATGACAGTTCTGTGCCCAGCATCCATGTTATATAAGGCAGAGTTCACCATGCCTTCTGCAACAGCTAAGGCCAGTCCAAACTTGCCGATGGACTCAAACACTTGGCAGCTATGTTTTCTTCTGTTGAACCCTCTCACACCTGTTTCCACTCTGAACTCCACATCTAATTTTTGTATTTTTAGTAGAGATGGGGTTTCACCATGTTGGCCAGGCTGGTCTCAAACTCCTGACCTCAAGTGATCCGCCCGCCTCAGCCTCCCAAAGTGCTGGGATTACAGTTGTGAGCCACTGAGCCCGGCCTAGAGGTCATATTTCAACATGAGATTTGGAAGGGATAAAACATCCAAACCATATCACTGATTTTGACAAGAGACCCATCAAGTAACTTTTTTTTAGGACAGGGATGATCAAAGAATGCTTTTGATAGAAAATGGTATTACTTCCTTCCTCCATCAGAAGAAGACAGGTGTGTCACATGAGCTGTCAACATTGGTGAAGCAATCACACAAGGGGACAAATGGTGTTACATAGGAGTGTTCACAGCCTCCCACCTCTCCTTGTACAGGAGACTCTCATAGATGTTAATCTAGCCTGACATTGCAGGAGGAGGCCACTCTGGAGGCCAAGCCCACCCCAAACCTGCTCTCAGAGAAGCTCCTGGTGCCCAAGCAAAGGTCCATAGGCCTTCTGGGGCCTATGAGGGATGGTGTAATTGCTCTGTCCCAGGGACAAGTAATTCCCTGGCCCATTTAGATCCTCTTCTAGTGAGTCTGGATGTCAGACATACAGACAGAGCTAAGTTATAAGGTCTGCTGGCTGGACTGCTGCCCAGGGGGCTGCCATATTCAAAGACACCAAAACATTATTGGAATGAATCAGAAATCAGGTGAATTTTAGATTGCCTCCTTTCCTACCAAAGCAGTCATCACCCTGAGGTGGAGACTTAAAACACTCCTTGACAATGCAGACTAGTATCTGTACGGTGCTCAGGGACACTCACATGCCTGTCACACAGGGCCACTCCAGCCAACCCAACCCTGAGGACAGCCCATTGAAGTTGGCAGACAGAGCCAGAAATGGAAAAATATGTGGTGTAGGGCTGTTTGCAAGGAAGAAATGTACTGTTTTATTATGTGAACACTTAAACATGCCTTCCAAGAAGTTGTGTGGTTTGGAAAATTACACAGAATAAATTATTTATTTTGACCATAAAGAACATAGTACACATTTAAAAGAACATCACTTGCCAACAAGCACATGAAAAAGTACTCAACATCGTTAATCATAAGGCAAATGCAAAGGGAAACCATAATGAAACATCACTTTATATTCAGGATGGCCGCTATCACATAAACAGAAAATAACAAGTGTTGGCAAGGCTGTAGACAAATGGGAACCTTGGACTCAGGTGGTAGGAATGTAAAAATGGTGTAGCCATTATAGATAACAATATGGCAATTTCTCAGAAAATTGAAATAGAATTATCATATAATTCAGCAACCATTTCTGGATGTATATCCAAAAAGAACTGAAATCGGGGTCTTGAAGAGATATTTGTACACTGATGTTCACAGCAGCACTATTCGCAATAGACAAAATGTAGAAGCAACCCAAATTTCATCAACTGATGAATGGATAAACAAAACATGGGACATACTACAATAGAATATGAGTCAGCCTTAAAAAAAAGGAAATTCTAACACATGCTACAATACGGATGAACCTTGAGGACATTATGCTAAGTGAAATAAGCCAGTCACAGAAAGACAAATATGAGGTATAGTAGTCAAGCTCATGGAAGCAGAAAGTAGAATGGTGGTTGCCAGGGGCTGTGGGGTGAGGGGAATGGGAGTTGTTTAATGGGTAGAGTTTCCATCTTAAAAGATGAAAAACCTCTGGAGATTGGCTGCACAACGATGAAAACATACTTCACATTATTGAGCTATACACTTAGAAATGCTTAAGATGGTAAAATTTGTTATTTGAATTTTACCAGAACTAATTAATTTTTCAATCCTGCTCCTTCTGTATATTTTACAAATTAAAAAAAGAACATCACCAAATAAATGTTGATCAAATATTTAAATAATATTTAAATTGAATTTAAATTGAAAAGGAAGCCAAAATAGTAGACTGGTTGGGGTGCCTCAGTCCTGCCCTGTGCATGGCAGCCACAGTGCACTCAGAGAGAAGGCAGGACAGGGAAGCTGTGAAGCAGGAAGGGCCCCGAGGAAACAGAAGTTGTGAGGAGGAGAAGCAGCAGAAAGAAAGGAAACAAAGGAAAGTAACATCAATAGTTGATATGGTTTGGCTGTGTCCCCACCAAAATCTCATCTGGAATTGTAGCTTGCATAATGCTACATATGTGGGAGGGACCTGGTGGAAGGTAATTGAATCATGGGGGCGGTTCCCCCAATACTGTTCTCATGGCAGTGAATAAGTCTCATGAGATCTGATGGTTTTATAAGGGGAAACCCCTTTCGCTTGGTTCTCATTCTCTCTCTTGCCTGACACCATGTAAGACATGCCGTTTGCCTTCCACCATGTTTGTGAGGCCTCCCCAGCCACATGGAACTGTGAGTCCATTGAACCTTTTTTTCTTTGTAATTTACCCAGTCTCAGGTATGTCTTTATCAGCAATGTGAACATGGACTAATACAGTAGTTAAAAGCACTACAATCAGGAAGAAAAAGATAACCATGTCAATTAAAGTGCATTTGATCCCAACCTGAGTTCTGAACTACATTTTAATCTCTAGGAGGTCAGGGCCCTGGCAATTGAGATTTTTGCCTTCCTTCTCTCCCATGCCTGCTTCAGAAGTGCCCCCGTTTAAGGTAACCTGGAGCCTGTGCTTACAATCTAAGAGAGTGATGCTCCAGCTTTCAAGTACATACAGATCACCCAGGAGCTTATGAAAATGCAAATTCCCATTCAGTAGGTCTGTGGTGGGTCTGAGCTTCAGCATCTCACAAGCTCCCAGGTGAGCTGATGCTATGGGTCTGCAGTCCACACTTGCAGTAGTAGCAGGGAAATCCAACTAACCAGACAGAAAATTGGCAGTACACAAACAGACTGGCATGGAGAAGATGATCTTGTCAATAAAAACAACTTTATGGTGCTAGGAAATAAAATAAATAATCAAAGAGATATGTGAAATGACTCACATTATAAATTGTTGTTTAAAGTCAATATACAGGCCGGGCACAGTGCCTCACACCTGTAATCCCAGCACTTAGGGAAGCTGAAACAGGAGGATCATTTGAGGCCAGGAGTTCGAGACAAGTCTGGGCAATACAGTGAGATGCCATCTCTACAAAAAAATAAAAAATTAGCCAAGTGTGGTGACATGTGCCTGTAGTCCCAGCTACTTGGGAGGCTGAGGCAGGAAGAACACTTGAGCCCAGGAGGTCAAGGCTACAGTGAGCCATGATTGTCCCACTGCACTGCAGCCTGGGCAAGAGAATGACACCTTGTCTCAATCAAATGAAAATAAATAAATAAATTTGTATAATGATGGCCAGGGATGGTGGCTCACACCTGTAATCCCAATGCTTAGGGGGGCTGAGGCAGGAGGATCACTTGAGGCCAGGAATTTCAGATGAACCTGGGCAACAACATGAGACTTTGTCTCTACCAAAAATAAATTTTAAAAGTGTCTGGGCATGGTGGCACACACCTGTAGTCCCAGCTCTCTGGGGGGCTGAGGCGGGAGGATCACTTGAGCCCAGGAGTTCGAGACTGCAGTGAGCCATGATCATACCACTGCTCTCCAGCCTAGGTGACACAGCAAGACCCTGTCTCTTAAAGTAATAATAATAATAATTTTTTAAAAAGTCAATGTACTTTGAGGGTGAGATAGTTCCTTCCCAGGAAAAGGATGTGGGGAGGACATACAGATAAATTTAGTCTTCAAATGAGTCAAAGCACAAGCTTTGGAACCAGGTCACTGAGATTATGGGAAGAGAAGAGTGGGCAACTTGAATTTGAAGCAACAGAGTCTAAGTAAAAGGGGGTAAATGGATAAAAAAACAAAAATCATAATCTTTGGGATAGAAACTCTTGGAGATAGCAGGATTATATTTAATTATGTGTGTGTGTATACATACATATACATACACACGATTACATATATTTAATTATGTGTGTATACACACATATATATACACACACGCATAATTAAATATATATATAATCATCCTACTATCTCCAAGATACACATACACACCACACACACACACACACACACACACACACACACACACACACACACACACATATTAATAGCAGAACTGGCCAGAGGATAAAGAGAAAAAAGCAAGTAAGGGGAATGTAATATAAGAATACTGAATTTCTAAGATGCAGGCAAGTGATGCCTATAAAACCATTGACGTTGTTCAGTGAAGGGAGACGTTTGGTGAATTTAACTCACATTTGCACAAGTTTTGCTGTTTACAAAATGATTTCAAAATTACAACTTCATGTCAAGGTGCCTGTGAGGAAGGCAGGGCAGGGCTTATCCCAAGTTGAATAAGGGAGTCGGGGGCAGGGCAGTTCTTATTATCCCTTTTGCAAATGAGGAAACTGGGGCTCTGGGGTGTGTTCCAGTTCATGAAGTCAATTAATGACGGAACTTTTTTTTTTTTTTTGGAGGCAGTCTCACTCTGTCCCCTAGGTTGAAGTGCCATGGTATGATCTCTGCTCACTGCAACCTCCACCTTCTGGGTTCAAATGATTCTCGTGCCTCAGCCTCCCAAGTAGCTGGAATTACAGGTGTGTGCCACCACACCTGGATTATTTTTGTATTTTTAGTAGAGACGGGTTTTCGCCATTTTGGCCAGGCTGGTCTTAAACTCCTGACCTCAAGTGATCCACCTGCCTCGGCCTCCCAAGGTGCTGGGATTACAGGCATGATCCACCATGCCTGGCCAGAACATCTTTTCTTTTCCCTTATTCTGATTCTTCCTGTCATGTAAATAGATACATGATGCAAGTTGTTTTTTCACAGAATTCATGGGGGCAAAATGAGGCTATATGTTTTAAATTCTTTATGAAACAAATCAAGTATTATTAACAAAACCTCCTCACTGGCCCTGGCATGGGGCAGGCCTCCAGAGGAAACTCAGATAGCCAAAGTCACGGTTTATGAATTCAAGAAAGAGAAGTCAGCTGCTCTCTTCAGGGGGCCATAAATGAAAATTGGCCTTTATGCTTCCTGGGACTTGGTCATCAGATCCAAGAGGTCAGAAGGTTACTAGACACAGATCAGGGTTGAGAGCTGGCACCAGCCCAGGTCATAAGTACACACAGTACCCTCTTCCAATATTTAACAGGACACAGTGGCCTCTGAGTTAACTGCCTATGTCTTATCAATGCATGTGTAGTGCCAGTGTTGCCTGTGGTTTTATAGTTTGACTCTTTGGAACTTACACAGATCCAGGAAAATTATTTCAAACATTACATGAGGGATTTGGATATGTCTCTTTATGTCAATTTCCAGTTGGATATTCAGTTTGTTATATCGATGTTTCAAAGAGGTTCAGGAGGTGTTGCAGGGAACTTTTCCCAGCCCCCTTCAAATTGTGCCACCTAAAAAGCCCCTGTATGCAAGAGAGGTTCCCTACACATTCCTCCTGTCCTCCCCAGGTTGTGCCCAGGACACCAATATCTGAAGTGTGAGGGCAAGAGTCTGATGGCTCAACAAACAGAACGTGGCAACCACACTAAGAATTTGAATTAATGTTGTCCACGTTCCCTGAATTTATTGTTCTTTTTAATGGAAAAATCATGGGTCTGCATTCCAAGGGTCCTAGTGGCTATTGGATCATCTCTGCTTCTATCACCCTTGGGATGAGCTATATAATTAACTATGGAGATATGATAAGGAAATTAATCAATGCTTAACAGCATTTAATAAAACTCAATATTCATTCATGATTTAAAATTCTTGGTTAACCAAGAGGAATAGAAGAGAGCTTCACTAACTTGATATGGAATAGTTACTAAACACTTTTACTAGCTATCTTATTGGAGAAGCATTAGAATCAATCTCATTAAAATAAAAAATAAAGATTTTATTGCTGGCACTATGATGGAGAAGTTGGTTACAGAAAATCCTCCTGGTATGCAGCACCTAGAAATACTAAATTTTTAAGAATGTCATTTTTCATGCAGGATTGAGCTGGTAGGAAAGTAAAGGAAGTCTCAAGAGGCCAAAATTTATAAGATTATGCTAAGCCAGAGGCATGAGAAAGGGAAGTCATGATCATCCTGGAGTTTTCTGGACTCCTGTAGGCCTGGGGCCTGGATTTTAATGGTAGAATAGGAGACAAAGCCTGGAGCCTAACCAGATCATAGACTATAAACTCAAGATCCCCTAAGGGTGACATCCTCAGTAGAAACCATGGAGGGAGACAGGTCTATCCCAGGCCTTCTCAGCCTTGGCTCTGGGTAGAGCAAAAAGAAAAGTCTCCTTTGAAATTCTTAACAACAGGCCTGCAATCAAGTAAGTTTGGGTCAGGATTCTCACTATTTGTGTGGCCAGTAGACCCCAAGCTTATGGTGGTCCCAGTTAGTTCTGTCCTCAGGTTCCTGGCAAAAGCAAAAATAAATCCTCTAGAGGAAAACAATTTCAATCTCAACAAGTCCCAAAGAGAAGTTTCCAAATGAGTTCATAGTACAAAATAAAAATGGAAATCAGGAACATGACAAGAATTCCTAGGACATCTAAGTGTTTGTAAAGAGTATCTCCTAGAATTGTGCAGTATAGAACCCACACAACTGTATGCATCACTTCTGAGACTATCTACTTTCATGGCTACTACTCAGCATTATGCTGAATGGCAAAGAAAAACCAATAAGACACAAAAAATTAAGGTTTGTAAAGATTGGAAAGGAAGGAGCAAAACTCTTACTATATATAGATGATATGTTTGTCTAACTAGAAATTCCAAAGGAATCAACTGATAAGCTTTTATAACTATTAAGAGAATTCCATAAGGTAACTAGGCAAAATATCAAAACACAAAATAGATTTTCTATTTATTGGGGGAAAAAATCAAGTAGAAAAGGTAAACATTATAGTGGAAATTGGCTCAGGAATAGGAAATAAATACAAAAGGACACAGAAATGGACATGTGTAAGTGGGAATTTAGTACATGATAGAGGTGATATTTCAAACAAATAGGAAAAAGATGGACTTTTCAATAAATAGTATTGAAATAATGTATTGCAATAAGTGCCAGGTGAATAAAGACTAACTTTTTAAATAAAAGTATTACAGGAAGGTGCACCAAAGTAGCTTCATAATTTTGGAAGTTGAGAAATCTTTTAAAAATCAGCCTCAAAGAGTAAAATCCAGAAAGAGGGAAACTAACAGATTCAACTACATCAAAATAACAACAACAATAATAGTAAAAATTTCTGTTGGCTAAAAAGTATGATTTAAACAAAGCTTAGAGAGAATATTACACACATATCAAATAATTTGCATTGAGAATAAATAAAAAACTCCTACAAAGAAGAAAAAAAATCCGACATAAAATAAGCTAAGGATATGAATAGGTAATTTAAGAAGAGAAATACAATGGCCAAGAGGGGTCCTATAAAAAGAATGCTCAACTTCATTAATAATCAGGGAAATTAAAATATTGAAATAATGGGTTGTCATTTGCACTAATTCAATGGAAAAAATAATAAAATACTGAATAAACAGCAAGCATTGTTTGGAGTGTGGAGGAACAGTAACTATCCTTCTCTGCTGGTGGGAGTACAGTCGGTTCGGGTACTGTGGAGGGCTGTTTGGCAGCCAAAAATTGAACCACATATATCCTGTGATGTGGCAATTCAACGTCTTAGTAGTTCCTCTAGTGCAATACGTGCACATGTCTAGAAGCAGACAAACACAGTGAGGTTCATTGGTAAGACTGAAAAATTGGAAAAGCTTAAATATCTATCGAAAAGAAAACGGCTAAATAAAAGAAGTGTACACTGTGAAATATGACGTAGCAGTTAAAATAAATGAAGTAGAGCTCTATACAGATATGGAAAGTCTCCAAGTCTTGCTATTGAGTGGAAAAACAGAATTAGAACAACATGGCAACAGATAGGTTTAATAGTCCATCTATGCATAGATGAACACACACACAGACACAATGGTCTGGCAGTAAATATATCACACTAAGTACTTTTGGGGAAACTGGAGATTAGGATTGACAGAATGGCCAAAGGTGAATTTAGGTTTATCTATACTGCTTTCTCATTTTCAAGGAGCATGAAATCATGTATTACTTTATAATTTAAAAAGTTATTACCTAAAAAACCTAGTCTAGTCAGTTTTGTGGTTGTCTTGGGTTTATTCCATAATAATTTTGGAACAAGTTGACAGCTTTTAGATCAGGAGTTGGCAAACTTTTTCTGTTAAAGGCCAGATAGTTAATATTTTAGGCTTTGTGGGCCATACTGTCTCTTTCGCAATTGGTCAATTTTGCTGACTCAATGAATCAGCTATAGCAGGCACTATTCCTCTCCCACATGGCCTCTAATGATATGGCCAGAGTTGAAAGGATGTTGTAGGGCAAAAACAGCCATATACAATACATAACGAATGGGCATGGCTGTGTTCCAATAAAGCTTCATTTATAAAAACAGCTGGTGGGCCAGAGTTAGCCTGTGAGCCATAGTTTGTCAACCCCAGGTTTAGACTTTTATGACATAACTAAAATATTTTTAAAGCGTATTTGTGTACCACAAAATACTTTTTCCCATTAACCAACTGATTAAATAAGCCTCTGAGGCCTCCCTTAGCATCCTTTCAACTCTGACCATATCATTAGAGGCCATGTGGGAGAGGAATAGTGCCTGCTATAGCTGATTCATTGAGTCAAGACTCAGTGGCCTCAGAGGTGTCTGTTGACCTGTCCTAGATATGGAGTGGCCTTAAAGCAGTGCCTCTGGCCATAGCTTCAGCCGAGCTGGGCTGTAAAGTGGAGAGAAGAAGGACCTGGTGGCACTGACCACATGCAGGCAAGACTCGGTTCTGTGGGACAAGGTGCCCTTTCAATAGTAGAGGTAGAAAACTCACTGGTTTGAAGCCAACTCAGCCGCAGCACTGTGCAGGGGTATGGCAGGTGCTCTGAGGGACCCCTCCTTGAAGTGGTGAGTCCTGGTGACTGTCATGCTGCTGTCCTTGGCCTCAGGGGGCTGCCAGCACTAACCCAGCAGGCCAAAAGGAATCAGGACTGAGTTGATCCCAGTTCCCATAGTCCCCAGCTCCCACAGTCCTTGGAGGTGGTATTTCCTGGGTCCAGGGACTCCAGCCCTGTAACAGGGAGCTGGTTGTATGTGTGACTTGTGGTAACTCATGCAGTAGTTAAGGCTTCTCCTGTGGTGATTTTTCTAGGAGGCTAGTGCAGGACCAGAGAGCATCAGTAATGGGGCTCAACATTAAGTGATTGTTTTCATGCTTTTTTTTTTCCACCCTAGAAATGAGGAGACAGCAGCAAGGCCAACATGATTCACGACCCACTATGATGCTGACCTCAAACAGAAGGTATATTTGTGTTCACACACATCTTTTGGCTGGAGCTGAAGGGCGGTCAGCCCCCAGCAAAAGAGAAAGAAAGAAAAACCATACCTGCTTGGTGGTAAGTTCTTTGCTCCGACTTCTCCCCTGGGGTCCACTTTGAACAATCCGGTGCAAAGGATCGATCAAGGAGTAGCTTTACCAAGGAGCCGCTGCCTTGTTCAGGACAGGAGTATTAGCTTATTCTCTTGCTTTTCTCACTGTGAACACTTGGCTTGCAGGCTGAGGCCGAGATTCCCACTGAAGTAAAGGCAGTGCTTCCTCTTCCCGTCCTAGTCATAGGTTATGATTTCCCCGGATATGAGACAATCTTGTCTCTCACCTATATTTCAGTCCAAGTCAGATGTAGGCACTAAGCGGCTCCATTGCCCCTCCTAAGTCCCAAGTCCAGCACTTGAACTAGCAAATGAAGAGATTACCGTATTTGTTCTCATTATGTTCTCCCTACTTTTTTCTTTCAGGTCTCTTCACTACAAAAACACAGGAAAAGGGGAAGAGAGTGGCAAATATCCGCTTTGTCTAAGTAATTCTGAGTGCATTTCATCAGTCTGAGGGTCTCTGTCCTTTACCACTAGGGGCAACATTAATTTGAACCTAGATCTCCTTATACTTCCTCCTTTGTTGAAACCACCTCCCTGGATAGTGTTACTTGATGTGAAAGTGAGCAAAGTATTGATTTATGACGGTGCCAATCACCAGCATGGTTATGTAAGAGGGGGGCAGGCACACAGGGAGAGGGAAAGGGTGTGAGATGAGGGGGCTGAGCACAGTTCTCGAGAATGTGACCCCACCACTTTGATCTCAGAACAGAAGGCTGACCAGGAGTGGGGAGGATGGACCAGCTGAGGGCTCTTTCCTCTCCCGGGTCCTGCCAGAGGGGAGCTGAAGAGTCCTCACTCTTCAGCCTCAACCTTCTTATTCCCTAGCAGCAGGTGCTCCCAAGTGAACAGAATCAACAAAAGCCGAATGTGGTGGATACCAGGATGTGTTTCTTCTACTTGCTTTGTTTATAAAGATGCTTTATGGCAGGTGAGGGGAGTGGAAGTAACTGCTCCTACCTAAAAGGCAAACAAGTACAAGCCTCTGGCAACAGTAAAGCAGGGGCATGGGCCCCAACAAGAGAGGGAGAGGGAGACCACGATTGAGCAAACAGGTAGAAAAGAGAACCTGGGATTGCCAAAAAATGACCACAGTTGTCTTCAGGTGAACATTTGGACTTCCTTACATTTATTTATTGACTTAAGTTGTTATTATTTTGAAGTACATGCTTTAATCCAGCCCTGGTGAGAAAAGCCAGAATATCTAAGTATGATTTGTTTGTTTTGTTTTTAATTGGTTTCTTCTCTATCCAATTTGCACTTCCCAAGGGATGAGAAAGACTTGAGGCTGGGATTTCCTAGGGGTTGACATTTCTCAAGTGGATGCTTGCCTTGCTGTTTTCAACCAAGCGCAGAATGTAAGGTGCTTACACAGCTCACTGCTGGGGACTTACTGCCAGCAGTGGGGACTGGGACCCACAGCCATAGAGCTCTGTCCTTTTTCCAGTCACATTTCTGATTATCCACATGGGATTCTGCTAGGGCTAGGAGGTATTGGATTACAAATCCCACTGGACAGAAAGTTGACTTGGGCCTTAGGCAGGGAGGACCTAGAGTAAGTGAAATATTGAATGTCATGAGGATATTGGAAAGAAAAAGAGTAAGTGAAATACTGGATTTCAGTACCAGTGGAAGTAGCCTGAACAGTGTGCTCTGGGGTAGGAGGACAGCATGGGGCTATATCTGGGGCCTGCAGGTCCCCTGAGAAACACAGATCAGAAGGCCATGGCTAAAGCCAAAGAGGGTGGGAAAGCTGGAAAGGGTTAAGAACTCACCCCAGGAAACTTATTTCCAAGATCAAAAGTAGGCCTTTCTGCACTGACAGGTATCTCCAAGTCCAGGGAAAAAAGGCATGACTCCAGCTCAGGTAGGCCACCTTGCCAGAAGTCCTTAGGTTATGGGTAACATACGTAGCTTTCATCATCTCTCAAATCCCTTCTGGCTCACAAGGGCCTGACCTTCTCTCTCTTAAAAATATAGTGAATTATTTACAGCAGAAACAGGAAACTAAGAACAGATTATGAAACCACTGAGGTAAAGGAAATATTCTCAGGTTTCTGCAGGGATCTTTGGGTCTCTTTTCCTTTGGGTCTGTGGTGTGAAGTCCCAGCTAGAAGACAGGAGAAGGCTGTAGGAGTGCCAGGCCTCTCTAGTCTAGCACTGCACTGTTAATATCAGACATGGCTCTATAGTGAAATGAGTTAAGAATACAGCCAGAAAATACACTCTCGTTCTTAAGGACAGCTTACTAATGCCCTCAGTTGAGGGCCAGAGTCACTCTCAAGCCCAGCTGGGAAGTCAGAGAAATTTGAGGCCTTGACCTCCATTCTATACTTTGCCTATTGCAGCAACCAGAAATGTAGAGCTCCTAAGAAACTCATCAGAGAAAAGCAGATCTGATCAGCCTGAAGAGTTTCTTTTTTTTTTTTGAGACAGTGTTTTGCTGTGTCACCCAGGCTGGAGTGCAGTGGCATGGTCATGGCTCACTGCAGCCTCAACCTCCTGGGCTAAAGCAATCCTCCCACCTCAGCATCCCAAATACCTGAGACTACAGGTGTGTGCCACCATGCTTGGCTAATTTTTTTTTTTGTTTTTCTTTTGTAGAGACGAGGTCTCATTATGTTGCCCAAGCTGGTCTCAAACTCTGGGGCTCAAGCAATCTGTCTGCCTTGGCCTCCCAAATTGCTGAAATTACAGGCATAAGCCATTGTACCTGGCCAGTTTCCTCAGTGTGAATTCATTTAATGTTTTACCCCTCTCCAGAGAATATTAATATTTAAAAAGAGGAACAGAGAGAACAAAATAAAAGAGTGATGCACTGATGATATAAATTCAGGTGGAATCTGAGGAAAATAGGTGTTTATCAGCCAGTCACATGGTCTTTCTCAAAAATCTCTTAGCCTCCCTCTGGGGTGTGCTCAGGGGCACTTAGGGCAGGAGCATGGAGGTGACACTCTGATCCCCATGAGGCAGTCTTGGAGGAAACTTCTCCCTTTTCATCCTTAAGTGGAGGTAGTAGAAGTTACCCAAAAAGGCTAGGAATAGGAATCTTCTCTTTGAAAGCGGTTTCATTTTATCACAAGTAGAAGCAGTGACACAAAGTTTAACTTCCCAGAAATCGCAGATTCCAGCAACTGGAGGACCACTAAATTTGAGCACCAGCTGTTCCAGATCCTATAATTACTCTGAGGCTCCATAAATTACACTTGTGGTCAGAATTCCAATGTCTCTCTTAGAATTTTGGAACACTTTGTTTTCACCTCATTTGTAAATTACACTGCAGAATATGGTATCTGTGACTTCCTGCCTTAGTTGCTTATAAGCCCCCTGAGAGGAGAAGCCCTTATATCACCTGGTACCAATTGCATTTGGTGGCTGCTCAGTTCAGTGTAGTAATTCTTTTAAATATGGTTTTTACTAATATGCTTTAATAGAGTTCTGCCTTTATTGAAGAGAAGAAAAAGGACCACCTTGAGAGGACCTTCCCTGCAGCTAGCTCATGCTACTACTAAATGAAACTCATACTTACTTTTGATTTATTATTAAATGAGTTAGCTCTTAAATGTGTGAAACCTCTTTTCATTTTTAGGCTTTAAACTTGTAATGATGGCAAGTGTCATGATGAGGATAAATTACCCTTTGACAGCAAAGAGATAATTGGGTATTTGGTATATATGGAATTATCTAAAACTTATTTGGAATTATACATATATTTTCATAAATCACTATAATGTTTGAGAGGGATAAAGGGATTGAGGGGAAAAGGTGCAAATCTGGAATCTGGTAACACCGCAATACCTCTTCCCAGAAATATTAATATGACAGTTACCTTCTCTCAACAGCTGTTGCTGTCAAGTTTCTTTGCTCCACAATATTATATTAGAAACTCTTGAATAAAATGTAAATTGAGAGGTCATACAGGAAACAGCTGAGAGTCAAATCATTTCTCAGAAAAATTGTTCCTATTCTATGAATAGACATCCAAACACTGACCACATTTACATCTATTGTTTAGTCAATCAATTAGACCTGTTTTGTCTCTGTAAATGGAAACACAACACTAATTCCCAGAGCAGGTATTCAATAAATTAATTCAAATATTTAAGTGTCTTAAAATTGCTAGTCACATTTTATGTATTTATTTTATTTTTATAAGGTACAATTTATCAGTCTTTACTTTTTTTTTTTTTTTTTGAGATAGGATCTTGTACTGTTGCCCAGGCTGGAGTGCAGTGGGGGCAATCATGGCTCACTGCAGCCTCAACCTTCCAGGCTGAAGCGATTCTCCTGCCTCAGCCTTCTGAGTAGCTGGGCCTACAGGCACATGTCACCATGCCCAGCTATTTTTTTCTGGTAGAGACGGGTTTCCCTAGGTTGCCCAGGCTGGTCTTGAACTCCTGAATTCAAGCGATCTTCCCACCTTGGCCTCTCAAAGTGCTGGGATTACAGGCATGAACCACCACACCCAGCCAACATTTTTTATTCTGGTAAAAAATACATATAATATAAAATTAACCATTTAAATCATTTTAAGTGTACAATTCAGTAGCATTAATTATAATGTTTTGCAACCATCACCACTATTCATATCCAGAACCCCTTCATCATCCCAAATAGAAACTCCATCCATTAAGCAACTCCCCATTGTTATCTTCCTTGAGTCCCTGGTAACCTCTAATCTACTTTCTATCTCCATGAATTTGCATATTCTAGGTATTTTATGTAATTGGAATCATACAATATTTGTCCTTATGTGTCTGGCTTATTTCAGTGAGCATAATGTTCATGCATGTTGTAACATGGGTCAGAACATCATTCCTATTTATGGCTGAATAATAATCCATTGTATGCATATAGCATCTTTAATTTATCCATTTATCTTTAGGCTACTATGAATTATGCTGCCATAAACATTGGTATATAAATATTTGTTTGAGCTTCTGCTTCATTTCTTTTGGATATATACCTAGTAGTGGAACTGCTAGGTGTTTGAGTCCACTCAAAATTCATATGTTGAAATCCTAACCCCCAAGGTGATGGTTTTGGAGGTGGGGCATTTGGGAGGAGATTAGGTCATGAAGGTGGAGCCCTCATGATTGATGCCCGTTCTTCCACCTGAAGTTATAGTGAGAAGACTGTCATCTATGATCCAGGAAGGGATCATAGATCCCTTCACCAGTCACTGAATCTGCTGGCACCTTGACCTTGGACTTCTCGGTCTCTATAACTATGATAAATAAATTTTTGTTGTTTATAAACTATCCAGTTTATGGTATTTTTGTTGTAGTATCCTGCATGGACTAAGACATTGGGTCATGTGGTAGTTCCACATTTAACTTTTTGAGGAACTACCAAGCTTTACCACAGCAGTGGCATCGTTTTACACTCCCACCACCAATGTACAAGGGTCCCAATTTCTTCATGTCCTCTCCAACATCCTCTCCTTGTTATTTTCCATTAAAAAAAATTATATCCATCCTAGTAGGTGTGAAGTGGCATCAGGCCTCCTGTTTTCAGGCCTCCATGGTTTCTGATGCGAAATCAACTGTTAATCTTATTAAGGCTCCCTTGTACAGGATGAGTTGCCTCTCTCTCACTGTTCTCAAGATTCTCTTTGTCTTCTGACAATCTGCCTATACTGTATCTTGGTGTATCTCTTCGTGTTTATTTTGCTTGGGCTTTGTTGAGCTTCCTGGATATGTAGACTCATGTCTTTTATCACATTTGGGACACTTTTGGCCATTCACATATAATTTCTGTCTCTCTCTCTCCCTTGTCCTTCTGAGACTCTCATAATGCATATGTTGGTCCACTTGATGGTGTTCCACAGGTATCTTAGTCTTTGTTCACTTTTCTTCACTCTTTCATTCTGCTTCTCAGAATGGATAATTTCAATTGTCCTATCTTCAAGTTTGTTAAATCATTCTTCTGCCTGATCAAACCTGCTGTTGAACTCCTCTAGTGAAATTTCTCATTTCAGTTATCATACTTCTCACCTTCATAATTTCTATTTGATTCCTCATTATAATTTCTATCTCTGTATTGATATTCTCGTTTTGTTCATATATTATTTTCCTGGTTTCCTTTCTTCGTTTCCATGATTTCTTTTAGTTTTTTGAATACATTTAAGACAGTTGTTTTTAAAGTCTTTGCCTAATAATTTCAATGTTTGAGCTTTCTCATGGACAGTTTTGTCAGTTTATTTTTTTTCCTTTGAATGCATTATCCTTTCCTGTTTCTTTGTATGCCTTGTGATTTTTAAAAATTGAACATTCAAATATTACAGTGTTTTAACTCTGGAAGTCAGATTCTTCCAGTTCCTTACGGTTTGCTTGTCTTGATTGCTGAAGGCTTAGCTTGTGTTCAGCCAGTGTTTTTGATAGAGCTGTCCTTGATTGCCAGGAGCTAAGTAAAACAAAACAAGTAAAACCCCCTCCTCTTCTAGTCTTTGTGGATTGGCTCTGTCTTGGGGCACTATTAACACTTTGGTAGGCCATTTAAAATTCCCCATGAGGCCGGGCATGGTGGCTCACACCTGTAATCCCAGCATTTTGGGAGGCCAAGGGAGGCGGATCACCTGAGGTCAGGAGTTTGAGACCAGCCTGGCCAGCATGGCAAAATCCTGTCTCTACTAAAAATACAAAAATTAGCCAGGTGTGGTGGCAGGCACCTGTAATCCCAGCTACTCAGGAAGCTGAGGCAGGAGAATCATTTGAACCCAAGAGGCAGAGGTTGTAGTGAGCTGAGATCACATCACTGTACTCTAGCCTGGGTGACAGAGCGAGACTCTGTCTCAAAAAAAAAAAAAAAAAAAATATATATATATATATATATACACACACACATATATATATACACATATATATATATATATTCCCATGAGCCTTTACTTTCTACTTGTACTGAGCCCAGAGATCAGCCAGTGGTTAGGGTCTTCTCAGGTCTTTTCTGAACATGCGTCCTGTCCTGGCATGCATGTTGCTTTCTAAACTCCCGAATACACACTGGCAGTTTTGAATTGCCCTAATTTCCCAAAGGAACTCTCTTCCTGGCTTTTGCTCCCAGACCTCAGACATTCTATTGTATGTCTGAACCTTAATCTTTTGCCCCCAGGTGGCTGCAGGTTTTGTATTCACCTTACAATGTTTCTGAGCAATGATTGTCACTTCTCCCTCTTCACGGGTTCTCAGTTAGGCAAAACGAGATGCATACCTCATATAAGTTCTTCAGTTAGCTCCCGAATAGGTTAGAACAGACAAACAAACTCCAGTAATTTGCAATTGAAGCCTGCTCTGCTCCCTCCAGAACCAGGGTTCAGGGTCCCATACTGGGAACACGGGATGCTGTCTTTAAGACTGCTGCTGAGACAAAGAGGGGATGTGGCAAGGACAAGTAAAAATGCCACAAAGTTTTCCTATCATTTTCCCCCCAATTTAAAAAACTGGCAAATGTCCTATCATTTTTAAGTTGCTTTTTCTTGGTTCAGCACTTTCTTAATTGCTGTAAACTTCTGACTCTTTTCCAGAGTTCTAGCAAAGTTGGCTCTGACAGTTGCTTCTTGTTTTTCAGTATTTCTGTAGAGGGACGGGAGTTTGGAGCTGCCTATTCTACAATTTTGCTGATGTCACCAATGCTAGTGGACGACTTGTTTCTTCTTTATGTTTCAGTTCCCTTCTTTGTACAAGGGGATGATATAGGTAGACAGCTTGTGTTGAGGCTTTCCTTTTGAGAACAGTGATCAATACAAGAACAACCTAATCCAAAAGTTCAAGACCTTTTTGTGTTAGGCTTTGTATCCACATTGGTCATAACAATGAATGACCTTTCCCCAGAATGAGCTGCAGGCATCTGTAAGTCATTTTTAAATGACCAGTGTCTTTGGAGTCCTGTAGATAAGTCATAAAGACATTCTGTTTTTTTTTTTTCTAGATATTTGTTAAGTTTTTAACTTAATTCTGAAACCCATCTCAAATTAATTTTTGTGTTTGGTGTGTTGTAGATGTCAAGATCTATTTTTCCTTCTTTCATTTATTCTGTTATTCCAGCACTATTTGTTGTAAAGGCTCTCTTTTCCCCATTATTTAGCTCTGCAACTTTAGTAAAAAAAACGTATGTTAACCATACATGTATGAGATGATGTCTGGATTCCCTATTCTGCAATATATGTCTATTTATCTATCCTTATGCCAATATCACACTGTCTTGATCACTGAGGCTTTATAGCAAGTCTTGAAGTAGGTAGCATGAGCCTTTCAACTTTGCCCTTTATCAAGATTATTTTGGCCCTTCCTTCCTTCCTTCTTTCTTTTCTTTCTTTCCTTCTTTCCTTTTCTTTCCCTTCTTTCTTTCTTTCTCTCTCTCCCTCTCTCTTTCTTTCCTTCTTTCTGACATTTTTTCACTCTGTTACTCAGTCTGGAGTGCAGTGGTGTGATCATGACTCACTGCAGCCTCAAACTCCTGGGCTCAAGTGATCCTCCTGCCTCAGCCTCCTGAGTAGCTAGGTGTGCATTACGAGGCCCAGATAATTTCAAAAAAAATGTTTTTGTAGAGATGGGGTGTCACTTTGTCGCCCAGATTGGTATCAAACTCCTGGCCTCAAGTGATCCTCCTGCCTCAGCCCCCACACCACCCCTACAAAGTGCTAGGATTACAGGTGTGAGCCACTGTGCCCAGCCATTTTGGCTATTCCTGTATTCTTTGCTTTACCGTATAAATTTTAGAATCAACTTTGAAAAGTTATTAAAATGCCTGTTAGTATATTGATTGTGATTGCATTGAATTGCCAGATCGATTTGAGGAGAACTGACTACAAAACAACATTGAGTGTTCCAACATGTGAACATGGCATAACTCTCAATTTAGATCATTTATTTTTCTCAGCAGTGTTTTGTAGTTTTTAGTGCAGAGGCCTTCCATGTCTTTTGTTAAGTTTATTCTTAAGTGTTTTACGTTTTTTGGATACTAAGTCAATTTAAAAAAAAACACCGCTGTTCTAATTGTTTGCTGCTAGTATATAGAAAATATATTTGTATGTATATATATTTATATTGATGAGATATAACTGTGACTTTATTAAATAGTTCTAGTAGTTATTCCTTAGTATTACTGAGGATGTTCAATGTAAATAATTATGTTTTCTGCAAAGAAAGACTGTTTTCTTCTTTTCTGATCTTTATGCTTTTTTTCTTTCCTTATTGCATTAGTTGGAACGATTAATACAGTATTAAATAGCATTGTGGTGGGGGTAGATATCCTTGTGGGGGACATTCAATATTTCACCATTAGCTATGATGCTAGCTGTCACCTTTATAGATGCTTTTGTCAAGTTGAGGAAGTTCCTTTTTATCCTAGTTTTTTGAGAATTTCTAAACGTGAATGAGTGTAGAATTGTGTTAATTTTTCAGTTAAGATCATATGCTTTTTATCTTTTTTCTATTAACATGTTGAATTACATTGATATTTCTAATGCTGTACTAACCCTGCATCTTTGGAATAAATGTGCTTTGTCCAGAATAATACTCTGTCTCTCTCTTTTTTGGAATTCTGATTTGTTTTGGTCATATTTCATTAACGACTTTTGCATTCATAATCATTGAAAGCAGCTATGCTCACCACTATACCACCAATGCTGCAATTGTAATCATGATATAGACCTGTAACTTTATTTTCTTATCTCTGTCAGATGATATGATTATACTGGTCTCTTAAAATGTGATGCAAACTGCTTCCTCTATATTTTCTGAAAGAGTTTGTATAAGATTGGCATTATCTCTTCCTTAAATGTTTGATGGAATTCACCACTGAAACCATCTGGGCCTGGATGTTTCTTTATGGGAATGTTTTTGATAACAAATTCAATTTACTTAATAGATACAAGGTTATATAGATTTTCTATTTATCATTGTATATTTTTTGGTAAATTCTGCTTCAAGGACTTTTTCCATTTCATCTAAGCTATCATATTTATTGTCATAAAGTTTTCAAAAATTCCTTTATTATCCTTTTAATGCCTGTAAGATCTATAGTGACATTCCCTCTTCCACTATAGTGATACCCCTCTTGTTCGTGATGTTGATAATTTGTGATTTCTCCTTTTTGACCAGTCTCTTCAAAGAATAAAATTTTGTTCTTGTCAATTTTCTCTATCATTTTAAGCTTTCTGTTTCATTAATTTCTGCTCTTGTGTATCTTAAAACATCTCTCCTACTACTTACTTTGGTTTTACTTTGCCTTTCTTCTGCATCTTCCTTAAGTGGGAACTTAGATAACTGGTTTTAAGCCTCTTTTCTAACATGAGTGCATATAGCTACCATTTCTCTGTAAGCACTGCTTTTGCTACATCCTACAAATTTTGAAGTTGTATTTTCTCAATCGTTCACATGTTATTTCTTCTTTGATCCAAAGGTTATTTAGAGATACACTGTTTAACTTCCAAATGTTTGGGGATTTTCTAAAAATATGTATCTGTTCCTGATTTCTAAGTTAGTTGTTTCTGTGGTCAGATAACATATTTTATAAGATTTCCATTGTTTGAAACATATAAAGATGTTTTGTGGCTCAAAATATGGCTTATCTTGATAAATGTTCCATGTACACTTGAAAAGAATATGTATTCTGCTGTGGTTGGGTATAGTGTTCTGATTAGTGTTAAGCAAAGGTATGTAGTTTTGTTAAAATCTTCTAAACTTTACTGATTTCTTGTCTAATTGTTCTATGCTATTGAAAAGAAGGTGTTAAGTCTTCAACTTTGGAGATTTGTTTACTTCTTTTTTTGTTAGTTTTGCTTTGTGAATTTTGAAGCTCAGTTATTAGGGGCATAAATGGATAAGACTATTTGGTTTTCATTTATTATTTTTATGAGATATCCTACTTTATCTTTGGTAATACTGCCTGCTTTGAAATTTTTTTTTTGCCAGCTGTAGTAATAGAACCAGTCTAGTTTTCTTATGCTAAATATTTTCCTGTTGTATCATTTTCCACCTATTTACTTTCATTATCACTGTTTTTATATTTAAAAGTGTCTCTTGTAAATCATATGCTTGGTTTTGCTTTTCTTCAAAACAATTTTAAGAAAAAAAAAACAAAACAAAAAACCATTTTGACACCTGTGCCTTTTATTTGGAGTGTTTAATACACTAATATTTAATGCATGTTAAAGTTGAGTTGAGGTGTATCATTTTGTGATTTATTTTCTATTTGTCCCAACTTGATTTTAGTCTTATGTTTCTCCTTTTTTTTCCTTTTTCTGGGTTAGTTTTTTCGTATTCTCAGTCAGCCAGGGGTATGTGGAAAACTTGTCTCAACCCTTCCAGGATCTCCCCATTAGCACTCTGGTTGGTTTGCTGCTCACCCCAACTGGGACTGCATCCTTGGGCTAACAAAGCTGTGGCCTTTCCCTATTCATTTCTGAGTTTGCTACTTTTAGTATATGCAAAGTCACAAAATTTCATGCCACTTCTCGACCCTAAATATTGAAATTTAAAACTTTATAAGTATTTCTCCTCTGGCAGAAGAGCCACTGGGTTTTTGGCCAACTCCAAACTGGAAAACTACGATTCTTGCTGATTGAGCTTGATGGGAGGTGGGGGAAAGAATTAGCCTTCTGCTGTTTCTCCTTGAATCTCTAGGAGCTTTTCAACTTGCTGCCCATCTCTAGTAGATTTCTAGTTCCCTGGATGCTTTTGTCAATTTTGTCCAGTTGTATGGTTTTTTTTTTTAGTGGAGGAGTATTGCTGACCTCTTCATTCTGACATAATTGAAAGCTGATTTTATAGATATGTTTTAATAAAATATCTTTAATTTTTATTAAAAATAAAAGAAACAGTGAAAAGAACATTTTTGCTTCTTCTCTGAAACTTCTGTTGGAGGTTTCTTAAGCTGTCGAATGTCTTTTGTACAAGGATAAATGGGATAAATTCCTTTTAGGATGTCATACAGAAGGCCTCTCCCTTCCTTTATGACTTACTTGGTTCCTTGATAATAACATTCACAAGTTGAATCACAAAAAGTTAAACGTTTATAAGGAATGAATGTTATAAATTAGAATTATGTCCTTGAAACTCATTTCATACCGTAATATGCCAAGACATAATAAATGATCTCTAAAACCACACACATGTTTACTTTTACAAACATTAAGTATGTAGAATTTCATTCAATAAATACCTACTAAGGGATTGATAGGTGCCAGAGACTGGACTGGCTAAGCACTGCAAATGAAAACAAATGAACTCACTAGGTACAGCTGCTGCCCTGCCCTCACACGCCAGTGAGAGAGACGATTACGCAGGAAATTACTATCAAGTGTGTTATTGAGGAAGTACCAAGTGTTATGACTATGTCCAGTATCAATGTTTTCTCACACATTTTTTTTCTTTGAAATTCTTTATGCTTTACAAAGAAAATATAATTAGAACCTGGACTGAAGACATATCTTCTGTAGTAAGTCTGAATGGTAAATGCTTGGAGAGGGACAATTTCCTTGGGAAACACGTCATCTATTCTCAATTTGGAATGTACATTAAATCACTTGGGAAACTTTAAAAAAAAAATCCGTTTGCTTGGGCTCCCCTTCTAAAGATTCTATCTTAATTGGCCCGAGGTGAAACCCAAGAAGCACTTTTTTTTTAAAGTACTCAGGTGGTTTTCGCATGCAGCCACAGCCAAGAACCACTGTAGTCCTCACTTCCAGTTTCCTCATGTGCCACCTATCATAAAAGGTGCCTCCTTCAAGATTGCAGCTAAGTTTTCTGGGAAGTTCTTCTGCGCAATACTTATGGCTTCCTTCTACTGCACTAATATCTGGTAGGGAGGGAGCCCTTATTCTCAACACCTCAAGTTTCTACAGAACATGAGGTACTCATTCCTATCCCTTTCTTGCTGGAGGGGTTAGGGGAGGGGCAGATGATAGCACATCCATATTCTCTCTGTCTCTTATTGTTCCCCAAATGAGACCGAGAAACTCATCTGATGGGTTAGAGACTGATATCCACTGCGCCACTGCCTATACAGTGGTAGGTGTGGTCGTTTTCCTTATAAGCAGGAAACATGCTCCACCTATTTCTCTTTTGTCCTTTATCCCTTTGTGATAGTAAAATTAGCTAACTGGTGCTTATTGGGTATTTACCGTGTGTTGCCTGCTAAGCTTTTTATATAAATTGATTCATTACATCCCGACATCAACCTCATGAGGTACAACCTATGGTTATACCATTTTACACATGAGGAGGCTAAGGCTTAAATAACCCAGGGATTAAATAACCTGTCTGACACACTGAACTTGGACTGTGATTTCAATCCGGACAGTCTGGGTCCAGAGCCTGCTCTCTTAACTTCCATGCTACTGATGGCAGTGGCCACATCAGACGGTCTGCCACTGCCATCACACTGGCTGCAGCAGGGAGGTGCAGCCAAGGCTGCACCCTCCATGGAGCTGGTGGGAGCTAGGGACAAGCAGGAGCCCCGCCCCTTCTGAGTTGGGGTGGGAGCTCCCCCGGTGCCACTGCAGCCACCCAAACCATGGCTGTAGACCCTGGCCTCCCACTCCACAGAGCAGGCAGGAGCCTTGCCCTCCCAGCAGGGCTTCAGCCACCCAACCGTGGCTGCAGATGTGAGCCTCCCTTTGCTCTTGGGGGACTGGGAGCAGGCAGGAGCCTGCTGCTGGGCACAGCTGCAGCTGCCCAAACTGTGGCTGCAGACTCAGGCATCCCTGAACTCTTGGGGGCCCTGGAATGTCCCCCTACCCTAACAGGCTTGCAAGTGCCTGCTCCTGCTGCCTGGCTTCTCCCCACTCCTGGTGCATGTTCTGATTGTGGAGCAAGGTTGGGGCCGAGCCAGGGCACTGTCACAGGCCAGCAGGGTGGGCGCACGTTCAGGGCAGTGCTGACATGCCAGCCCCCTGCTGCCTTGGCCCCCTCCTGTCTTTGGGCACTGAAGAGCACAGGAGGGAAGCTGAGGGGGTGCTGAGGGCAGCTCAGCACTGGCCTGCAGGCACCCCTTTGCAGGAAGAGCCTGGGTGCCATGAATGACAGGGGAGGCAGACAGCTCCTGGGCAGAAGGGGGCAGGGCCTCAGTGAAGTCCCACCTTCATGCCAAGAAGGCCTGAAGCCTGGGCGCCGGGCTGCCAGTCCTGCTGCCTGGAGGGGGAGCTTATATCCCTTTTTCCTGGGCCTGCCCATGGCTACCCATGGACCAATCAGCATGCACTTCCCCTCTCTGAAGATCAAAAAACCATGGACTCAGCCAGAGCAGAGGAGATGTCTGAATGACCAGTTGCAGAGAGGCGCTACCTTCTCTGCTGAGAGCTGAATACTCATCCTGATGACCTGCCTGCAGAGAGGAGCCACCCACTCCATTGCCTCCTTTTTGCTGAGAGCTGAACACTCGACCAGATGACCTGCCTACAAAGAGAAGCCACCCACTGTGGGTCTCCTCTGAGCTGTTGTAACACTCAATAAAGCTTCTCTTCATCTTGCTCACCCTCCACTTGTCTGCATACCTCATTCTTCCTGGACACAGGACAAGAACTCAGGCAAAGGCCCCACTGTCCACGGAGGTATCCAGCCAGAAAAGCAACACTCCAAAGATCCCATAACCCTACTATATTGCTAGGGTTCTAGCTGGCTTTTGTTCCACAATTGGTAAGCACAGTTGAAGGCCATTCACTCTAACTCAGGGGCTTGCTGGCATTCTCCACTCCCCTATTAACTGAGTCTATAATCCTCTGTGCAGTTTGTTGCATAAAATCACTCCAAGTATTTGTAAATACAACTCTACCCTCAAGTGGGTACCAGTGGCCTAGAACTGAGTAGGAGGATGGGAGTTAGCAGTGGAAGCTCCTCCTGAACTAACAATCAGGCTCTAACATAATTTGTCTGGGAGTTCTGCACTTCAGGAACTTAGAATTCCCAACAATTTTGTGCTAACAGTTTCGCATCCTAAAGAGATCCTTTACCCACACTGCACACTTTCCTTTTGGATTTTACCTTGCCTCAAGCTAAAGCACTGCCTCTCTTTACAATGATTCACTATATCTGATTACGCATCCATACAAAAAGTTTTCTGCCTCAGACAGTTCATTGTGATTTTGTATCGCTATTGATCGTACTAGTCTAGCCCCAATTCACTACATGGCTCCAGTCACTATGACCACTTGGCTTTAAATGTGTGTTTTTATTGTCACTATAGGTGTTTTATTTTCAAAAGCAAAAATTAGAAAAGTTGGAGCATTTTAACTCAAGCCATTATAAGTAAAAGATTGCCGGTATCAAGAAAAAGTTTTCCTCTCCTAGTAAACTTCAATTAGTCAATGAGAATTGTATAACAACTTGTATTTTCCTTGACTGTCTAAATGCAAAACATAGTTTTAGAAGTCTACATAAGGATAAAGATTTTTAAAGAAAATATCATATTTTAAGTTTCATTACACATGTCCTTTATTAGAAGCTACTTTAAATCCTTTTTCAAACATGAATTGATTTTAATTAAAATAAAATTTTACTGGAACACAGTCATGTGCATTCATTTCTGTGTCATCGAGTGCTGCTCTTACCCTACAACGGCAGAGTTGAGTATGCAGTTATGATGGCGACCATCAGACCCGCAAACCCTAATGTAGTTACCATCTGGCCCTTCAGAGAAAGTCTGCTGTTCCCAGCTGTATAGCATTCCCCTCCCACCTTCTATCCCATCAGCCCAACCTAACTCACTTGTCATTTTGTGTTCTCGATGGTTTATTTCAAAAGTGAATGATATAACCTTTACCTAGCTCAGGTTAGCCTTTTTCAAAGAACAAAACAAAATTTAGTTGCTTCCTTACTGGTGCAGTGTTTTTTGTCAGTGATCCTCAGGGGGAAAAAAAGGTGTCCCAATCCTAGTTTTGCTAGGGCAAGGTGAACCCTTTCAAGTTTGTATAATTAGTTTTTTTAAAAAAAAACTCAGAAAATTAATTATTAAACTCTGATTATTGTTTCTATTTTATTTGTTCTGGTTTCTTCTTCAAGAACTCCGATTGCTGTGGGATAGGTCATCTACAGCTAACTTCTGTCATTTTAATCTCTTTGCCCATTCCTTCC